>NC_000001.11:111068986-111372016 GCF_000001405.40 Homo sapiens | reverse complement strand
TGCTCTGCTTCCTCTCCCTATGAACTGAAAATATTTTTTTAAAAAATAAAAGTAATAAAGACTTGTCTTATGAGATGTCAAAAATATTACATAAAACATTTATTAATGAAAAATAATGCAAAGTTCACAATTACTTTTGTATTTATTGAAATGTATTTGGTTTTCCTTCTTTAGGCTATTTGTTTCCCCTAAATGATGTGCAATTTTCCTTTTTCCATGTGTGTGGTTCAGCGCTCATGTAGGTCAGCCTATTGGGCGGGGGGTGGGGGGCTCTCAGGTAGTGATAGAAGTAGGAGGTGAATGATAATTTCAGTGTTTCTTTTCCAAGGGATCAGAAATATTTCTAGGCTAATCTTCAAGTTACTGTGAAATGGAAAAAAATGTTTTGGGTCAAGGTAATAGAAAAATATATCTTAGGTGTTAGGTGTTAGACAAATAGTAAGACGTGAGAATATTGGGAATCTTGAGCAATAATTTTTATATACCTGGTAAGATTTTACTGGATATACTAGTAAGATTTATATACCTGGTAAGATTTTACTAATTTTCCAAAAGATCTTGGGCTGGGTTATCTGCCCTTCTGTATGCCAATGTATATTTTTACTGTTCAAAGAAGGAAGGAAGAACAGAGTGGAGATCATTTAACCTAAAAAACGCAGACTGTTCTATTGCTTGGGGAGTAACTTGGTTGATGGAAGCCAAGACATGGGCTGTAGTCTGGCAAGTCCCATCCTGAGTTGTAGATATGTGCACAGTGGACAGCAAAGCAACTGGGCAGACCCAGTCAGCAAACTGGGAGAGTAAGACCCATCAGGAGCTCTACCAATAAAGTGGGCCTCAGACAGGAATCATGTCTGGAAAAAGAAGAAGGAAACTCAAGATTTATTGAGCACTCTCCATGTGCCAGGCACATGTCCCTGGAGAACAGTGGGTAAGTGTATAAAAATCTGAGAACCCTACTAAAAACTCCAGTTGGATGAGTCAGAGACTTGGGAGGCTATGGGTAAGCAACTCAGTTGGGGCCAAGTACTCTTGCCCTGTGCTCCCATGGCACCCCACAATAGCCCTATCTCCCCAACTAGTCTCTGAGTTCCTGGAGGGCAGGGATGGTGTCACCAATTTTTGGCTGATCTGACCAATGGGATATTGGGGATATGACAGAATGTGACTTCTACTATGCTCTTTCTTGATTTACTTACTCTGGGAGAAGCTGTCTGCCACTCTAGAATCCCTATGGAGAAGTACATCAAGGAAATACTGAGGCCTCCTGCCAACAGCCAGCACCAGCTTGCTAGCCATGTGAGTGACATATCTTATGAGTGGATCCTCCAGCCCTCATTAAACCTTCAAAGACTGCCCCAGCCAACATCTTGACTGCAACTTCATGAGAAAACCCAAGCCAGAACCACTCAGGTAAGCTATTCCTGAATCACAGAAACTATATGAAATAATAAATATTGCCTTATTGTTTTAAGTGGTTAAGCTTTGGAGTAATTTGCCATACAGCAATAGACAATGAATAAGGTCAGGAGTAGCTTGTTGGTTGAATACTGCCAACACCAGAACAGTTGAAGACAAGACATTTATTAATTAAACCAATTTTTATCAAGTGCCTAGTCTGTGCCACGTGCCACATATCTAAAGATGAATGTATTAGTTCATTCTCACATTGCTATAAAGAACTACCTGAGACTGGGTAATTTATGAAGAAAGAGGTTTAATTGACTCACAGTTCTGTAGGCTGTGAGGAACTGTTAGTCAATTATGATTGAGGAGGCCTCAGGAAACTTACATTCATGGTGGAAGGGTAAAGGGGAAGCAAGCACCTTCTTCATATTGCGGAGTGGGAGAGAGAGAGAGAGAGAAGGGGGAAGAGCTACACACTTTCAAACGAGCAGATGTCGTGAGAACTCACTATCAGGCAAACAGCAAGGGGGAAACCACCCTCATGATCCAATCACCTACCACCGGATACCTCCCACAACATTGAAGATTACAATTCAACATGAGATTTGGTGGGAACACAGAGCCAAACCATATCTATGAACATGGCCATGAACCACCTCTTTCTTAAGCGGGCTAAAAGGAAGCTAGAATCCTTGAGGAAATTCTTGGCTCAGCCTGAGGATTTGCTTTTAAGCAAAAGCTAGCAGCTGCCCCTGCACCTGTGCCCTCTCTTATCTGCCTGGCTTAGCCCCAGTACTGAGGGGTACAGCCACTGGCAGTGGAAAATCTATAGCCTTGGGGTTATCAAGGTGAGACAAAACAGAGCCTGGCACCTGCAACCCTAGCTTCCCAAGTGCGTCTGACCCCTCTTTCAGCCATATATCTCTCTTACTCACAAATCTAGTCGGTTTTATTTGTTTTTGTTTTTGTTTTTGTTTTTTCCCTAGGGAGTCAGACTCTAGCAAAGTAGGTTACAATGTTCTTTGCACCATACTTCCACCCCTCCTCCTAGGGTGAGGAGAAGGGGGCAGGGGTACAAAGATAATGTTTCTCTGGCAGCAGCTGCCCTCTCCCCATTCTTGCCCTTGGCTGCAATAAGGGAAGAAGAAGCTGAAGAGCTGGCAGCTGCAGCATCTTATAGTTGTTCCGTCCTTCCTCTACAGCTGTGCAGCAAAAGCACAAGGAACTGAGGAGGAGATGACGCACAGGGATAATCATGCCACTTTCCTGAACTGGATTCCTTCCAAGACCCTGCTGCTGACTTTGGGCACTGGGCTTGGTCCATCAGGAGGAAAATTACATGCTTTAAATGAGCATTCCAATATGTTGGCTCTATCCCCCATGAGCTTTTCTAGCCCTGAGCCCTGGACCTGGGGACCCTAAGTCCCAGCATAGCACCCTTCATTCTCTCCCAGGGCTTCTGCATTCTCTGAGGGAAGAACTCAGCCTCAGTGTCCAGCTGAGGCTTCCAACAGCAAGGAGTTCTGTCAGAGTAGCCGGGCCTGGGCTGGTGAGGGGGTCTTTGCTGCCTTTGCTAGGTTTCTGTCCCTCTGGGTGGGGTAGGGGTGCTTGCTGTTATGAAGGATAGGAGACAGGAACACGATGGTCTCAGGACTTGGGGTCATGAGATGGCAGCTAAGCTGCTCCCACAGTGATAAAAGGGACCTCTTCTTAAATGAGGCTGAACCAAGAGGCTGAGCAAGGCAGCTGGTGTGGAGGCACAATGGAGAGGATGCTGCCCTGGGCCTGTGAGTCTCCCATTCCTTTTGCCCTTTATCCTATAGGTCATGGGGGTGCCTTGGGAATGGGGTGTGAAGGCCAGCATCTGTTCCAGTGAGATTTCTTTATGGAGTTCTGATATAAACCTGGAGGTTTCTATATGGAGTCCCTCTGAGCAGAGGGACTTGAGCTCCAAGCCTGGGAATAATAAAATGGGGCCCTGGGAATCGCCACTGATAGGTCCAAAGGCCCTTGGGTCCTTGAAACCCTGTGAGTCTCCTCGCTAGCACTAGATCCTAACCGGAAAGTCCATATGAGGATTTCTTGTTATTGTATTATTTTTTTTTGTTTGTTTCAGGCTCAGCTACTCTACTGCAGGTGCAAATAGGTAAGGAGTAACAGCCTCCTACCTACACTCCACTCTTCCTAATAGTTAACTCCTCTTTCTCTTTTTTCTTCCAGCTCTAAATTTCTTTCTCTTTCTTCATTTCCTTCTCCTTCCATGATGAAGTCAGGACTAGAGCCCCAAGCCCCCAGCCTGCTTGCTGGATCCCAGTTTGTTAGAACTGGGAGGGAACATATAGATCATTAATCTCAAACTCCTCATTTTATAGGTGAGAAAACTAAAGTGCAGAGAGGGAAGTGGCCTGTCCCACACCACTCGCATCAGGATTTAAACATATGTCTTGATGCTAAGCCTGGTGTAGTCTCTATTATCTATTACTCTCCACTCCTCTTTGTTTTGTCTTTTTTCTCCTCAAATGTCCTAACATTTTTTTCTAATTCCTGGGCATTGGGCTATACATATGAGACACGGCTAAGACCTAGATAGGGGGAGTCAGGAGAGTAGAGTGGGAAGGGCATGAACTTTGGAGTAAGACTGGCTGGAAATAGTAGATGCACAATAAATACCTGGGGAATAGATGGATAAATGATTTGGTATTAATCTTAACCTTGCAGTCTTGAGCAAGTCAGTTTTTCTGAATCTCATCTGAAAAGAAGAGAATAATGTTTCCCTTGTAGGATTGTTATGAGAATTAAAAATATAAGCAAAAAGATGCATGTAAAGCCTTTAAATAAAGCTTCAGTCACCTCATATGCCAACTACAAAAGGTTACCATTTTATTGATAATAACGTTTAACAGTCTATTCTTGTGATAAATTGATGCATAATATCTGAGGAACATCATTACCCCGACCACTTGCTTCTGTGATAGCAAATTCATTTTACTTTATATCTTGACTCTTACTGAATTTTAAAGCTTTCTGGCTATGAAAGATGCTTAGGTCTTGCTGAGACTATGGAAAAAAATGTCATGACTATTTAGCAAGGTCTTACATAGACATAGGAAAGGTGTGTAGCAGTATCTACCAGGTATATGCCAAGCTAATTCTTAGGTTACTTACTCTTCCCTTGAAGAGTTTATTAGCAAGTGAGACACGCACTGGGGGACTTGAACCACATAACTGCTGCTTTCTCCTCTTAGGCTCAGCCTATAAGCTAGTGTATTACTTTACCAACTGGTTGCTGTATTGACCAGAACCAGCCAAGTTATTTCCTAAGAATGTGAACCCATATCTGTATACAATTGATGTACGCCTTCGCCACTGTGAATGACAAAATTGCTTCTTATGAATGGAATGATAGTGATGTCCTATATCCTCAGTTCCAAGCCCTGAAAGAACAATCTGTAGGAATTGAGTCTACAGTGAGTGAGAGACAGGGAGGGATAATGGAAAGTCCAAGCTCAGTCTCCAGTTCATTCTCACTAGCATAAATTTCTGAGAGGAAAAGTCCTTTGCAGACAGTTTGTTCCTGAAAAGAATATGCACATTTCTGACAGTTATGGTAAAATATAACATAAACACCACCTGGGCAGTTGGGGAGGAATGCTTGCCATGGGGACTTTAGAAGTTGTGCTTGGCAGCTGCCCATTCCCCAGAGAGTCACGAATGAGGGCAAGAAAAGTTGCTTTCTGTGATATCTGCATCCTGCAGGCTCACAGAGTTCTCACGGAGATCTCACAGAAGCACATTTTGTTTCTTTCTGCAGCAATGGTGACCTGGTCAACTTGCTGGCCACTGGTAGAGGGAACTTTGGTACTCAGAAGTAGAGCCTCCTCATGGCCAGGGGATGAGGGTGGAGGCAAGAGAGTCCCCAAGGCTGAGGTGGGAAACAATAATGCCAGAGAAGGAGGTGAAGATGGTTATTCTAGAGGAGAAAAAGGTTGGCACCTGCAAAGATGATATCTGAGTGGGAAGGGCTGGCTACAGCAGCTATGGAGAGATAGCAACGGTGCAGTGAGAATCAAGTACTTAAAAGAATATAGAGAATGATGCATGGTAGGGAGGAAGGTTGGTGGTAAAGAAGAGCTATTGTCTGCTGATGAGAATGGAAGAGCCCTGGGCTGAGTCATAGGCTTTGCTGCTGGAAAGTAGTAAGAAAAGATAATCAGCATCACAGACATGTGGACTCTGGGGTTGGAAAAGGAGATGGTGAAATAGATTTGACTTGTATATAAAAAAGCCATTTAAGCTACTTTTTAGATTATGAAAGTAATGCATTCCCATAATTATTTTAAAAATCAGATAACTCGATTGTTTGACATAAAAAGTAACTTGCTCCTCTTCCTTCTTCCCCTCCCCAATTATCTAGAGGTAGCAGTGTGATGGTTAGAACAAGTTGCAGTTAAGTTTTTAAATTCTCACTGTAATAGTCAGTAGACTTTCTGATGGTTACCTATAAGTTAACAGGCTAATGCTTACTTGTGGTATTTGACCAATATTTCTTCTTCCTGAGATGTCCTTTCCACCAACATGGCTTTTTCTGCCTCCACAACTCGAATAAATAAGAGTCTTTGCACCCACAACTCCAAACTGCATCTTTTCTTCCCCATTTTAAATTATCCAGTTTGATGCTAGTCAATTTACTTCCACCAAACAAACAAACAAACCTTTCTAGCTATTAAATACCTGAACTTAAAAAACAAAACAGATAAATTAGAGAAGTTGTGATATGGTTTACGAAACATTAATTACAGGCTTATCATAATCAGGAACAAACCTGGAGTGTTTAAATACTGTTTATAGGCTATACAGTTATTGACTATGGCAGAGGATATGACAGAATTTTAATACCTATAAGTTCTGTTCTAGATATTGAGGCACTTTAAAATGTTGGATTCAGCTTAAATTTAATAGTACATCTTTGGGGGGCAGAAATGCCGTATTATATATATATATAGATTGTAAGTCACATCTTAATTTTGGAAATAGTAAGTATTAAGAAATAAACATCTAAGAGTTAAAGAAATATAATATTTGAACCACTGCCCTATGAAAGATCCCACTAGTAAAGAAAATGTATATGTACCTTTGATGTTATAAATAAATGGAAACATACTATTCAATAAGTACACTGAAGAAAAAATTTAAATTAAAAACACGTATTTGTTGATTAACATTTACATTTTTGGGTTTCTTTATCTTAACTCTAAAAATCCAGAAGGGGTTATTATAAAATACAGAATAAGAATTGCTATCAGAGATCATGTGGGGAGAATTCCTGGGGTCTGTTAATGTTAATATAGACAAGCTCTCTGCCTATATTCATAACCATTGGTGCCACAGATGCCAATCACAAGATTTTCAACTGTTCTGTCATTGACTTCTTTCGCCAACGTGGATTTGATGGCATTGACCTGAATATCAAATATCCAGGGTCTCAGGGAAGCCCACCTGAGGACAAACAGTAATTTACCATCCTGGTTAAGCTGGGAATTGTGGGATATGATGAGGTTTCTCTTCAAACAGCCTGATCAATCCTTTATTCTTTAATTCATAGTACCCCCTTTCCCTTTTCTCCTCTTTCTTCCTTTCTGCCTTTGTTACATGCCCAGACATGCCACAGTACCAAGTGTTATCAGTACCAGCTCACATTCCTTTCCTTATTTGGAAAGAAGACTAGCTCTCTAGCTCACTGCAGACACCCCGTCCCTTTCCCCTCTCTCCCTGAGGTGCCCACCTTATCTAAAGAAAGTTCAAATGTTTAGCCAACCAGGAGTAGTTTAGATTGTGTGGCTCGACTTTGGCTAATGGGGAAAGGGCACAGGGGCAGTGCTTGCATCAGGAATAAAGGCCCTCGCGCCCCTTTGTTCAGGTGTGCTCTCATGGCGACTGCACAAGCAGAAGCACCTCTTTGCGCAGAAGTAAAATTGCTTCGCTGAAAATCCTTTGTTTGAGTGTTTAATTTCCTTAGGATTTTGAGCATTATTTCCAACAGAATGGAGCACCAGCTCTGTGTCGTCTTGTAGAGAAGCTTGTACCTTAATGGATTTTCTGTAAGGGCTGAATTTCCTGGGGATAGCAAAGGATGTTGCCCTCAGGCAGTACACGAGTTAAGGTGTTTGGGAGTTGCAAGCGATAGAAACAGACTCTTTGGTTAGTGTAAGCCCAAAGGGAATTATTGGAAAGATATAGGTATCTGAAGAAACACAAGGGAGAAATCCTTGGACTGGGAAGGAGGAACTGTTCATTATCTCAGTCGTTCATTCAGTAAATGTTTATTGAGCATCTACTGTCATCTAGGCACTGTGCTTCACACTGTAGCTAGGGCAGTTAATGACAGAAACATGATCCTTGCTCTCGTGGGGCTTGCAAAGAGGATACAGACTCCAAAAAAGTATCAAATAATCATAAGTTGTGATAAGAGCTATGATGGAAGCAAATAGGATGGTCAGGGAAGTCTTCTCTGAGGAAGTGACATTTAAGCTGTGATATGAATAATTAACAGCAACCAGCCACAAAAAGAATAGGGAGAAAATTGTTCTAAGGAAGTTGGAACAGCATTAGCAAAAGCCTGGAGGCAGGAAAAACCTTTCCGTGGCTAATTAGCAAAAGCTTGGGGGCAGAAAGAGCTTAGCATGGCTATCGACAAATCCAAAAAGTTTAGCACTTTAGAAGGAAGAGTGAACTCTGCCAGGAGGTCCTAGTTTTTTTCTTTGGAATTGCCATTAACTGTAACTTGGACCCTAGGACAACTAGTATGTGTAGTATCTCTTTGTTCCAAGTTATACTTTATCAAGACCCATACCTGTATATTGGGGACTATTTCTAGAAAAGGGGAATTGCTAGGAGCTGGAAAGAAGCCTAAGAGGTGCTTACTGTAGAAAATAGATAATAAAGACAGCCACTCAAATCCACCCTCACTCTCTCTGTAGGAAATGCTGGAGGCTTTTGAAGAAGAGGCTAAAGGAACAGGACACCCCAGGCTGCGTATCACAGCAGCTATATCTGCTGGCAAGGAGACCATTGATGCAGGATATGAAATTTCAGAGATCAAGAAGTGAGTGCAGTGTGTCTCTCAGGGGTCCCCAAATCCCAGAGCAGAGATTTCTAAACTTTTTGGTGGACAGCATCCCAAGCAGTGCTGTAAGTGTAGTGTTGGAAAAACTAGTGTCCAATGCCAAACAGACTTGAGGACTTGGTGGCTTTGGGATAAGATGGTGGCTCCTTTAAATGGTCATTGTGGTAGGCTTTGGGAAGAAGAAGACTAAGATTTAAGGCCATGCAGAATCTTTATAATAGCAATCCTCATTATCAATTTCTCCTGAAAAATGATATAAAGTCACCAAAGCTATTATTGACAAAGCAATAGGAGAGTTACTCACTATGATTCCCATGCTCCCAGAGACATGTGTTTCTCAGTTATGAGCTCTAACAACCACATTTCCTAGCTTTCTGCTTTGGGTTTTTTCTGTTTTTGTCAAGGAAGTAAAAAAGGCTTCCTCTCCAGCCCTATGGGGGTTGCAGAAAATAACATCGTTCCCTGGAGCACCATAGGAAGCCACACTGGTGGGGTCATATGGATATCTACTTGACATATGTTTCCCATGGCTATCATTTTTTGCTCTTAAATTTTCTATAAGAAAATGCCCCCAGGGAGTGTAAATTAGTTCAACCATTGTGGAAGACAGTGTGGCGATTCCTCAAGGATCTAGAACTAGAAATACCATTTGACCCAGCAATCCCATTACTGGGTATATACCCAAAGGATTATAAATCATGCTGCTATAAAGATACATGCACATGTATGTTTATTGCGGCACTATTCACAATATCAAAGACTTGGAACCAATCCAAATGTCCATCAATAATAGACTGGATAAAGAAAATGTGGCACATATACACCATTAAATACTATGCAGCCATAAAAAAGGATGAGTTCATGTCTTTTGCAGGGACATGGATGAAGCTGGAAGCCATCATTCTCAGCAAAATATCACAAGGACAGAAAACCAAACACCGCATGTTCTCACTCATAAGTGGGAGTTGAACAATGAGAACACATGGACACAGGGAGGGTAACATCACACACCGGGACCTGTTGGGGATGGGAGACTGGGGGAGGGATAGCGTTAGGAGAAATACCTAACTCTAAGTGTACCTAGGCAAACACCCTACATGGAGTCAGACTGTTACTGTGTCTATGTAGAAAAGGAAGACATAAGAAACTCCACTTTGATCTGTATTTTGAACAATTGTTTTGCCCTGAGATGCTGTTAATCTATAACTTTAGCCCCAACCCTGTGCTCACAGAAACATGTGCTGTATGGAATCAAGGTTTAAGGGATCTAGGGCTGTGCAGGATGTGCCTTGTTAACATTATGTTTACAGGCAGTACGCTTGGTAAAAGTCATTGCCATTCTCCATTCTCGATTAACCAGGGACACAATGCACTGTGGAAAGCCGCAGGCATCTCTGCCCAAGAAAGCCTGGGTATTGTCCAAGGTTTCCCCCCACTGAGACAGCCCGAGATATGGCCTCATGGGAAGTGAAAGACTTGACCGTCCAACCCAGCACCCATAATCTGTGCTGAGGAGGTTTGGTAAAAGAGGAAGGCCTCTTGCGGTTGAGATAGGAAGGCCTCCATCTCCTGCATGCCCCTGGGAAAGGAATATCTCTGTAAAGCCCGATCATATGAATTCGTTCTATTCTGATATAGGAGAAAACCACCCTGTGGCTGGAGGCGAGATATGCTGGCGGAAGTGCTGCTCTGTTACTCTTTGCTACACTGAGATGTTTGGGTGGAGAGAAGCATAAATCTGGCCTGCGTGCACGTCCAGGCATAGTACCTTCTTTGAACTTACTTGTGACACAGATTCCTTTGCTCACATGTTTTCTTGCTGACCTTCTCCCCACTATCACCCTGTTCTCCTGCCACATTCCCCTTGCTGAGATAGTGAAAATAATAATTAATAAATACTGAGGGAACTCAGAGACCGGTGCTGGTGCAGGTCCTCCGTATGCTGAGGGCTGGTGTCTGGGCCCACTGTTCTTTCTCTATACTTTGTCTCTGTGTCTTATTTCTTTTCTCAGTCTCTTGTCCCACCTGATGAGAAATACCCACAGATGTGGAGGGGCAGGCCACCCCTTCATATACCGACATGTATGCCTATGTAATGTTGTGCCCAAGTACCCTAGAACTTAAAGTATAATAATAACTAAAAAAAGATATACTTAAAAAAAAAGAAAAAGAAAAGAAAATGCCCCCAGGCCGGGCGTGGTGGCTCACACCTGTAATCCCAGCACTTTGGGAGTTCCAGGTGGGTGGATTGCTTAAGGTCAGGAGTTCCAGACCAGCCTGACCAACATGGTGAAACTCTGTCTCTACTAAAAATACAAAAACTAACTGGGCATGATGGTGGGTGCCTGTAATCCTAGCTACTCAGGAGGCTGAGGCAGGAGAATCACTTGAACCCAGGAGGGCAGAGGTTGCAGTGAGCGAGATCGTGCCATTGTACTCCAGCCTGGACAACAAAAGTGAAACTCCATCTCAAAAAAAAAAAAAAAAAAAGAAAAAGAAAAAGAAAATTCCTCCAGAATCCTGTTGGCTTAAAATCCTTTGTTCCAGGCTCCTTGATTTCATCAGTGTGATGACTTATGACTTCCAAGGTGGCTGGGACACATCTACAGTACACAATAGTCCCCTACACATAGAATCCAAGGATCAGGGTGAAATGCATTATTTCAACTGTGTAAGAAAGAAAAACCTCAAATCATATGCAGAGGGGAGATGGGGAAGGGATTGGGGAGAATCTTGGTTGTATATTAAGGCTTTCTCTTTGGGGAACAATTGCTAGACTTTGTTCATCAAATACAACAAACTGTAGGGAAAAGAGAGATCAGACTGTAACTGTGTCTACATAGAAAGAAGTAGACATAAGAGACTCCATTTTGTTCTGTACTAAGAAAAATTCTTCTGCCTTGAGATGCTGTTAATCTGTAACCCTACCCCCAACCCTGTGCTCGCAGAAACATGTACTGTGTGGACTCAAGTTTTAATGGATTTAGGGCTATGCAGGATGTGCTTTGTTAAACAAATGCTTGAAGGCAGCATGCTTGTTAAAAGTCATTACCACTCCCTAATCTCAAGCACCCAGGGACACAAAACACTGCAGAATGCCACAGGGACCTCTGCCTAGGAAAGCCAGGAATTGTCCAAGGTTTCTCCTCATGTGATAGTCTGAAATATGGCCTCGTGGGAAGGGAAAGACCTGACCGTCCCCCAGCCTGACACCCGTAAAGGGTCTGTGCTGAGGAGGATTAGTAAAAGAGGAAGGCCTCTTTGCAGTTGAGATAAGAGGAAGGCATCTGTCTCCAGCTCGTCCCTGGGCAATGGAATGTCTCGGTGTAAAACCCGATTGTATATTCCATCTACTGAGATAGGAGAAAACTGCCTTAGGGCTGGAGGTGAGACATGCTCGTGGCAATACTGCTCTTTAATGCATTGAGATGTTTATGTATGTGCACATCAAAGCACAGCACCTTTTTCTTTACCTTGTTTATGATACAGAGACATTTGTTCAAATGTTTTCCTGTTGACCCTCTCCCCACTATTATCCTATTGTCCTGCCACATCCCCCTCTCTGAGATGGTATAGATAATGATCAATAAATACTGAGGGAACTCAGAGACCGGTGCCGGAGTGGGTCCTCCGTATGCTGAGCGCTGGTCCCCTGGGCCCACTTTTCTTTCTCTATGCTTTGTCTTTGTGTCTCTCTCTTTTCTCAGTCTCTCATCCCACCCAATGGGAAACACCCACAGGTGTGGAGGGGCAGGCCACCCCTTCGCAAACACTGGTGATGAAATAATGTTGCCTTCTTCAGGACTATGCCATGATGTACTGGAGAGACAATGGGATCCTAACAGAGGAGCTCATCACAGGGCTCCCCACCTATGGGAGGACCTTCTGGCTCAGAAGCTCTGACACCTCAGGTAGAGCAGGGTCATCTCATCTGGTCCTTCTGCATGCTAGGCTGGATTCGGGACTTAACTGTGAGGTAACTGACATGGCTAATTCAGACTTCAGATGCGCTGGGGAAAATTCCTTCACTCTTCAATTCACCCTGTCATTCTTCTCTTGAGTTCCTATACCCTGGCTTCTCATTGTTCTGAGTATAAGCAGCTCAATGGCTGTGGAACAGTTTCACTTGGGAAAAAAAAATGTGAATTTCCTCTTTGGGCTTTGAAGCACACCATCATTCTTCTCACAGCCTCCAAGTAATACCAGATTCTACTATACCCATGTAAACAACCACAGAAGGATTTTAATAGGCTAGCCCAGGTATAATAAATAATTCAATCTTACAAGTAGAATTAATTGTGTTTACTTGAATTCTGTCCTGAAAATTCTGAGACCGATGGATGAATGATAAGCAGTGTTTGCTAAAAACTCAAGAGCAAACTTGACCACAGCACACGTAGCCATGCTTACCATTTCCCAAATAAACTGGGTATAGAATTAGAATTATACTTGTTTGTAGCCTGGTTTCATGGAAATTTATGTCTTCATTTTATGAGACAAAATCACTTTCTGGAAAGATATGTGAGCTTAATGTAGATTTCATAATGTCCTCTTTTCCACACCCTCCCATTTCTTCCTATTTTTTTCTCCTGTTTAAGTCCTTTCTCCTCCAATACACGGCATAGATCTGTGAAGTACTCAACATTCCCTTCTCCATTCTCCCATAGATCTGCACATTCTTAAGAGAAGCCACAAGTACATGGATTGAAGATCAAAAAGTCCCATATGCTTACAAAACACTGAGTGGATTGGTTATGATACCATTGAAAGCAATGGGTACAAAATACGAGCATCACTAAAAAATAACAATTCTGGCTTCAAATCCTACATTCATCAGAAGACCATTTTCCTAAGACATGTGATTTCAAGATTTTAAATATGACTAGAGAAAGGGTAGACCAACCTTATTATTACTTACTTTTTCTCCAAGACAGAGAAAATTATATAATTAAATATAATATTCAATAATACAATGTATAACATATAGCACAATATACCAAAATATACTAGAATTTTCTAATATGATTAAAGTTTCCCAATGTTTGTCCACTGTGAATCTCTACTAGTATATGTGATGATTTTAAGATTATATCATTACAAGATTTGTCGAAGACCATCACCTTTAATGACAATAATAAAAATAGCCCTTTATATTTTTACCTAAATGCTTTACTCTTAGAAACCAAGAATTTACAACCATTATCTTACTTGATTATACACAATCCAGTGTAGTAAAAAACACCCTCTCCATTTTACAGGTATATAAGCTGAGGATCATATATGCTCATAGACTAGTCCAAGGTCACATAGCTGGAAAAGAAAAGCAGTAATCGAATATGTGGTCTGGCTCACAGTCTAGGTTCTTTCTACTATGCCACTCTGTTTGTTCATTACAGAATCCGGGTCAGGAGAAAGGTGGCTGACAAGGAGGAAGGAAGGGGCCTTATAGTGCAGTGGTTAAGAGTTTAGGCTTTGGAATCAGTTATACCTTGTTCTAAATCTTCAGTCTGAGACTGGGTGAGTTCCAACAAATTTATGAAAGAATAATAACAGAATCTATATGGTAGTTGTGAAGTATTGTGAAGATTGAGTAATTAATGTAAAAATATAGCTTAACCTAATGCTATTTAATACTAGAATTAAATAAATAATAACTTTATTTATATTTACTACCCAAGAGTTTATTAAATAGGACAAGAAAACAAGAATAGAGCTGAGTCCATCAATTATGTCTTGAATCCACAAAGCACATACCCTTTTATAGAAGAAGAGCATTTATCTCCCTATTGTCACCTGTCAGCCCATACTCAGTTGTCTGCTTGTTGAATGGATGCCATCTGATTCTGGTCCAAGTACACTTTTTGTCCACAGGTGGACTTTCTCAAGGAGAACAATTTTGCTTGGTCCATGGTTTGGACCATTGATTTGGATGACTTCTCAAGGTCCTTCTGCAATGAGAGGAAATACCTGCTCATAAGCAAGCTGAAGTCACACCTGGTTCTGTCCTCAGGTGCATCATGACTAAGTCCAACATGCTGTTCTGAAGAAGATGCAGGTGAGGCTGCAAAGAACAGCAAAGACAAGAGAGGCCAGGGTGCACGGAGACAGCCAGGGAACTTCTAGGCCCTCACAGCTGAGAAAAGGGACACACTTACAGAAAGTGCCCTTTTAGAAATCTGCTTTTTAGTCATGGGACCAGCGCTAAGTTTGATAGCTAGAATTTGAATGCACTAGATACCCTAGACCTAGGCCTTGTTGCTCAGAAAAATTTAGGCCAGGAACTGGGTATCCTGAAAACCAGCTTGATATACAGACATGTCTTGTTTTATTGCACTTCACTTTATTGTGCTTTGCAGATATTGTGTTTTTCACAGATTGAAGGTTTGCAGCAACCCTGTGATAAGAAATTCTATCAATCAGTGCTGTTTTTCCAACAGCATGTGCTCATTTTGTGTCTCTATGTCACATTTTGGTAATTCTCACAATATTTCAAATGTTTTCACTACTATTATTTCTACTATGGTGATCTATGATTAGTGATCTTGAATGTTGTCATTCTAATTGTTTTGGGGCACAAGTAATAGCACTCATGTAAGACAATGAACTTAATCAATAAATGTATGTGTTCTGACTGCTTCACCGGCCGTTTCCCTATCTCTCTTCCTCTCCTGGAGCCTCCCTATTCTCTAAGACAGAACAAAATTGAAATTAGGCCAATTAATAACCCTATAATATCCTAAGTGTTCAAGTGACAGGAAAAGTTGCATATCTCTCACTTTAAATCAAAAGCTAAGCTTAGTGAGGAAGACATGTTGAAAGCCAAGATAGGCCAAAAGCTAGGCCATTTGTGCCAGTTAGCCGTGTTGTGAATGCGGAGGAAAAAGTTCTTGAAAGAAATTAAAAGTGCTACTCTAGTGAACACATGATTGATAAAAAAGTAAAACAGTCTTATTGCCATATGAAGGAAGTTTTAGTGGTCTAGATAGAAGATCAAACCAGCGATAACTTTCCCTTAAGCCAAAGCCTAATCCAGAGCCAGGCCCTAACTCTTCAATTCTATGAAGACTGGGAGGAGTGATGAAGCTAAAGAAAAAAAGTGTGAAGCTAGCAGAGGTTGGTTCATGAGGTTTAAAGAAAGAAGCCACCTCTACAACATGAAAGAGTAAGGTGAAGCAGCGAGTGTTGACATAGAAGCTGCAACAAGTTATCCAGGTGATGAAGTTAAGATCATTGGTAAAGGAGGCTACACTAAATAACAGATTTAGTTATTTATGTAGCTAAGGTGACAAGACATCCTTCTATTGGAAGAAGATGCTCATCTAGGACTTTTGTAACTAGAGAGGAGAAGTCAATGCCTGGCTTCAAAGCTTCAAAGGACAGGTTGACTCTCTTCTTAGGGGCTAATGCAGCTGGTGACTTTAAGTTGAAGCCAATGCTCATTAACCATTCTGAAAATCCTAGGTCCATTAATAATTATGTTCAAACTACTCTGCCTGTGGTGTATAAATGGAACAATAAGGCCTGGATGATAGCACATCTGTTTACAGTATGGCTTCCTGAATATTTTTAGACCACCATTGAGACCTATTGCTCAGAAAAAATTTCTTTTAAAATATTACTGGCCATTGACAATGCATCTAGTTACCAAAGGGCCTGGATGGAGATGTACAAAGAAATTATTGTTGTTTTCATGCCTGCTAACACAACATCTATTCTGCAGCAAATGGATCAATAGTAATTTTGACTTCCAAGTCTTATCATTTAAGGAAATACATTTTATAAGGCTATAGCTGCTGTACAGAGTGATTCCTCTGATTAATCTGGGAAAAGTAAATGGAAAACCTTCTGGAGAGGATTCACCATTCTAAGATACTATCAACTACCTGTGTGATTCAAAGGAAGATGTCAAAATATCAACATTAACAGAAGTTTGGAAGAAGTTGATTCCAACCCTCAAGGATGACTTTGATGTGTTCAAGACTTTTGTGGAGGAAGTCACTGCAGATGTGGTGGAAATAGCAAGAGAACTAGAATTAGAAGTGGAGCCTGAAGATGGGACTGAATTGCTGCAATCTCATGATAAAACGTGAACAAATGATGGGTTGCTTCTTATGGATGAGCAAAGAAAGTAGTTTCTTGAGATAAAATCTACTCTTGGTGAAAATGCTGTGAACATTGTTGAAATGACCACCAAGGATTTAGAATATTATATAAACTTAGTTGATAAAGTAGCAGCAGAGTTTGAGAGAACTGACTCCAATTTTGAGAGAACTGACTCCAATTTTGAGAGAAGTTCTACTGTGGGTGAAATGTTTTCAAGTAGCATTGCATACTACACAGAAATCTTTCATGAAAGGAAGTCAATTTCAATTTGATGTAGCAGACTTTATTGTTATCTTAAGAAACTGGTACAGCCACCCCAACCTTTAGCAACCACCATCAGTCAGCAGCCATCAACACTGAGGCAAGATGCTCCACCAGCAAAAAGATTATGGCTCACTGAAGGTGTAGATAGTTCTTAACATTTTTTAGCAATAAAATATTTTAAAATTAAGGTATGTACACTGTTTGAGACATAATGCTATTTCACACTTAATAGACTACAGTAGAGTGTAAACATAACTTTTATATGCACCAGGAAACCAAAAAACTTGTGTGACTCATTTTATTCCAACATTTGCTTTATTGTGGTGGCCTGGAACTGAGCCTGCAACATCTTTGAGGTATGCCTGTATATACTGGCATTTATCTCTGAGCTAGATCAATTCTCTCATTCATGGCAGTGCACCATTTCCTAATTTAGATGCATACATTTTGTTGTCTGGGTCTTGGTGAGGATGGCTAGAGGGACATCATAAAAAGGATCAGGGACAAACACTCAGGTGGCTGATGGGTCTCAACATATGAAGCAAGAAACTCCTGCCCTTCGTGGGCTTTGTGCATTCCTTGGATTAAGCATCCCTTGAGGCAGGTCTCAAAGTGGAGATAGAGAAGTGGAAGATGCTATCTGAGAGGTTCCTTAGGTCTCTAAGGAAATTAATATAATTGTTGATTTTTAGAACTGTAAAAACCTATGAGAGATTATAAAATGATTTGCTTGGCTGGGCGCGGTGGCTAATGCCTGTAATCCCAGCACTTTGGGAGGCCGAGGCATGTGGATCATGAGGTCAGGAGTTCAAGACCGGCCTGGCCAATATGGTGAAACCCCATCTCTACTACAGAACACAAAACATTAGCCGGGAGTGGTGGCACGCGCCTGTAGTCCTAGCTACTCAGGAGACTGAGGCAGGAGAATCGCTTGGACTCGGGAGGCAGAGGTTGCGGTGAGCCAAGATCGTGCCACTGCACTCCAGCCTGGGTGACAGGGTGAGACTCTGTCTCAAAAAAACAACAACAAAAAAATTATTTGCTCAAATTAAACAATGAGCCAGAAAATTTTAGTGGTTGAGAGCATTCTACTGGTAGAGGAAAATTAAATATAAAACTTCTGAATCACCGTGGAAGAGGAAAGAAGGGAAAAACAGTGCTGAAACGAAGCAAGGAAACATAGAGCACAAAAGACAAAGCATAACAAGATGACAAAAACCCAAATATATTACATATGACAGAAATACTGACAGATAAGCCTCCCTTATCGAAACCCAAATATTAATGAATCTCAACATAAAGTCCTTTCCTATCACTGTAGGGTTGGATTTGTTTCCCCTCTAGTGGAAGTAGAATGGAAGCCCAGGCTTGACATCCTGCTAGGACCCCAGAGGCCTTTGTTTCACTCCTCCCTGCTTTGGACATCTGTCCCCGTGCAGCATTCTTCCCAGCTAACAGCTTCCCTCCAGTTCTCTGAGAACAGAACTGATATAGGGGAATGTCCAGAGCTGCTTGTTTCTATGTTTAAAAGAGGTTAAGATGATGCTTTGAAATGTTTTTATTCTTTTAGAATGTATTCCACCAGCTGTCAACAGCTGGTATAACCGACCTGTGACACCCAGAAGTGAAGGCTTCTGTGCTAATATTGGCAGAGGCAGTGGCCGTGGTAGAGAAGGTGGCAGTGATGGGGGAAGTGATGGAGAAGGCGGCAGTGATGGGGGCAATAGGGGAGACAGAGCTTTCTGTAGTGGTAAAGCAGATGGCATTTATAGTAATCCTGAAGATAATAACAAGTTCTACTGGTGTGTGGAAGGCAATACCTTTCACCTCAAGTATGCCCAAGGTTGGAGCAGAACTGTAAGTGTTGCAACTGGCCTTAAACATACTCATAAAATCCTAGTGTCATAGATTCTGTTGTCTGCATGTCAAACTACATCCTCCAATATGTCATGTAGTCTACGTATTATATAAATCTGTCACTTTGGAAGCTTTACCCCACTAAAACTGCATTATAATAAAGCTTAACTCTATTAAGACCTAAAAATACTATAAACTCCTCGAACCAAGTCTAGATGTAAAATAAATATGGCACAGTATGTTTTAGTCTTCGTGTTCATTTGTACTTTATTACTTTTATATACAATGTAGCATTTAAAGTATCCTGAAGGTTAACTGAAGCTATATTAAAATTTTATCTTTCATCAAATCAGATTACTATTTTAGAGAGTTCCTTTCCCTGGGAAAAGCTTTGAGCGTCTCTGTACCAAACAGTGTGAAAGATGTTCTATCCCCACCTCCACCCCCATCAATATCCTCCAAAGGGACCTAAGAACTTGAAGCAGAAAAAAAAACATTAAATGCTAAATTGTCACCTCTGAAAAAATCTGCACATGTGGGTACAAAGGAGAAAAAGGAGGGAGGTGTACAGGAGAGGTGATAACAGTTAATCCTGACTTATCTCAAGTCATAAATACTTCTTGATAACAGAAATCATTAAGTCATCAGATTAAAAGAAGTGTATATATTAGGTATGTTCTTGCTGAGGTATCTTTATCATTATCTTAATATATCCTATGTGATTTCTCATAAAGACTTTTCTGTCCTTCACCATTATTATTTCAGAAGACCTTGGCCTTTAAGGAATTAGGCACCCCCAGCATCATATGACCAGGAGGCTTCACCTCTTGCTAGCCCTTTCCCCAGGTAACACTCATCAGGGGGTGGCCATGAGGGTTACAGTAGGCTCTCTTGCAGCCACTGGCAGCTTCTCAATCTTTGGTGTCCAGACACATGCAGGCTTATCACCTTTCTGGTAATTACGAAGAAGCCTAAGTGGGTACAAAAGGACCCTTTTATTAAAAGATTAAATCACATTTAGTGCCAATCCTGAACAAACTATATACTTGATTATTTCAGCTAGTGCTGGAAAGAAAGGGGTCTATCTCTCAGGCCTGAGTGTCTGAGTAAGTACTTTAAATGCAGCTGCTTACAAGTCAGTCTGGGGCTATAAATGTTATGATCTTTATAACCCCAGAATGACTTGTAAGGTTCTAGGGGGTCATTCAGATTGGAGGGCAGACCCAATCCCCTAGCTGCCCTGGGGAGTCCTCCTCTGACTTCAGGCCAGGCCCAAGGACTTAGTAGATAAGTTTATTTTGATTCCTGCCATATCCCCAGTGCTTACTGCTCTGCTCAACACATAGTAGGACCTCAGTATATATGTTGACTCACAGACTAAATGGATGATGTCATAGGAAAGGGGCAATTTTTTGGTTTTTGAGTTTTATGTCAATCTGGGAAAGTCAACCAAATCAAGACCTTCCCACTCCACACTGAGCAACACAATTGGGAGAGCTCCAATACATGTTTTAATCTGCCTTAAGTGTTTTCTGTATCTAGCAAGCCCAAATCCCATCCAAACCCTTGACATGTATAGGCTAACAGCCTCCTATGACCAGGGCTAGTGGTAGAATATATAAAATTGGCTCCTGGGAATTAGAACTAGAGAGCAGGGGCCCACAAATATTTCACTAAAATGAAATCACCCAACTCAGCACCCAACAGAAACCCACAGACCCAGACATGCACGTGTACACCACAAGTCAGTAGATGGAGATAGCACTGTGCACTAGTCTTTATGTTCTCATACAGCAGCTATAAGCCCCTGTCCCTCCCTGGGCTCCAGGCTGCCAGACAAGAGGGCCACAGTAACGTAGAAGAAGAAGAGCAGCTCTGTCCTCAGTCCTGGAGAGTCTGTGTATAAGAGGAGCACGTGAAGGTAGTTACAGCCGCTCAATTATAATACAGGCTTAGGTAGGCCACACGGTTCCGATGCTTTCTAAAGTCTTTGTCTGTGGACAGCTGCAATGAAAGAACGTTTTCTAGATCAATATTCTAATGAGAACCCTCTGCCTCTGGTCTTCCCAGTTATGCAAAAAAAAAAAAAAAAAAAACTGTACATTATAGAGGTGAATCCCAACTCCATAGTAATCTAGCCTTAGTGATTCTCCCAAAATTTGTATGTACATCTACCCTTTATCATCTTACTATAGTGTATACCATGCTAGGAATTATTTACTACTTAGTAAATCCCCAAGCAGTTGGTGGGCTTCTTGAAGTCAAGGACTATATGTTTAATTCTTGAGTTGTTGCCCATAGGCCCTAATGCAATAATGTTAATACATTTGGCATTTAATAAATAATTGTAGAATTAATGAAAAGTTCCACTAGGAAAGAAAAAAGCACCTCTGGAATTATGATAGCTAACAGATTGAACAATTACTATGTTATCAAGTACTGTGTTAAATGATTTTCCACATTTTCTTTATAACCTTATCGGATTGATTCTATTTTAATACCCATTTTACAGATTAAAAAACTGAGGCTTAGAAAAGTCAAAAGATTTGCTCAAGATTACACAAGTAAATACTGCAGCTAGTATTTGAATCCAGGCAGTTTTGTCCCCATAATCCATGCTCTTAGCTGAATTCTCTATGGCTCCTCAGTGATCTAGTACTCAAGGGGTATGTCGGAAAGAGCAATGTATTAGGAGTCACAAGATCCAGATTCCAGTAGTGAAACCTGCACAAATCACTTAATCCATCTGGGCCTCTATTGTGTAGGGATATTTCCTCTGTACCTACCACAAAAGTTATTTAAGGATCAAATAAGAAAATGTCACTTTTGTTTAGTCATATATACCTTTAAGAATCTAATGAAATAGTGTAATTCTCCAAAAAGTTCCTCAGATTCATATACACACAAAATTGTGCATATAATTTTTTGGGACCAAGGACTTCCTGAAGTTCATTCACAGACCCCTAATTAAGAGTCCCTAATACCTATGAAAGTACTAGATCGAATAAGAGTCTTCTACAGAAGTTCCAATCTTATTACCTCAGCTTTTAGGGTTCTTTTCTGTAGACATGGAACCTGAGCCCAGTCTGGAGATCCAAATTTCATTGGCCAGGCAATTTTTGGCGGTGGCTTCTTCTCTGGGTTGTATGCACCAGGGCTAGAAATAAAAATACAAGCATCATGTCTAATGAGTTAGTGATCATACACAAACTCCATCAGTACCAGAGCCGTCCCTGGACTAGGCCTAACCTCTTGGAAAAAGGCAACAGATTGATTAGCTTTTTAATTAAGCATGGGATTCCTTTACCTGTTAATGTATTTCGAGTTAGATGTTAGCGTTAAACATCTAACTTGACAATCTTGACATCCAGTTAGAGCACAGATCGACTCCAGATTAAAAGATATTTCTGTACCTCAGTATCTATAGCTGAGAGATGAGAAGGTCCTAGAAGCGGTGGGTGATGAAAGAGATCTAAAGCAGTGATGAATTAGTACTGCCCACAATTTAAAGTTGGTGATAAAAGTGCAGTGATAATCTATCTGCAATGTAGGCAAAGCAAAGCAAAGCAAAGCCAGTTAAATTTTCTTGACAATGGGGTCATTTAAAAATTGTCTTTGTTCATATACACTTTGTCTTTTGGTGTGGACTCTTTACTGTCAGGAAATAATGGACTGGACTTGGGGGTCAAGACTCAATGCTTCTACTTCCTTAATGCAACTTGAGAAAGTTACATCACTCTGTGATCCTTGGATTTCTCATCAATAAAAGAAAGTCCTTGATCTTTTGCCCTACAAGTCTATACATTCTGAATAGCTTCCTAAAGCATTGAGAATAAGCCTGTTGGCCTGCAAGGCCTATGTGCTCCAGCATGCCCTCCATTTCTGTCTCATTTCCTACTTGCTCACTACACTCTAGCCATGGCAGCATGCCTTTTTGTTCACGTCAAATTCCTTCCCAATTTATAGCCTTTGCACTTGCTGTTCCTTCTGCTGGGAATGCTCGGTCCCCAGATCTTCACAGGGCTGGCTCAGTCTTGTCATTTAGATCTCAGGTTAACTGTCATTTCTTCAACCCTTTCTAAAGTAGACTCCAGGCCATCACTCCCTATCACATTGTCATCCTGTTTTACCTTCTTTGTAGCCTGGACAACCTACTTCCTGGTTTGTCCATGACAGTCCCTACCTTATGGGTACTGTCTTGGTAGAATTATTAATAGGCCCCCTTTTACTCTCAGAAGTGTCATCGTTTGACTAACAAATTATATGGTCACTCTATCACTATTGATATTTTCTTGTGTATTTGCCTGTGCTCTGTCTGGACTCTAGAATGTAAGCCCCAAGAAATCAGGAGCCTTGTGTGATGGATTTAGTGCAAAAATCTATCGAACCTACAAAACTACCTGGCATGTTAATAAAAATTCATTGAATGAGTAACTATGATTCTACATTCTACAATGCCAGAAATCTGTGAGACAATTGATTAAATCTCTGAATGGTTCCTTATTTAACTGCGATGGTTTGGATGTCATCCCTTCTTTATGTGCTTCTTTTATTACGTACTTCTTTTCCTCCTATTGCTTTTTTTGTTGAAGTGCACCAAAAGGGAGGAGACATACCTGGGATAGTAAGTGTCCTTTGGGTAGTTCTTAAATCGAGGCACCAAGACATTAAATGGAGCAAAATTTTGTTTGTGTTTTTCCTGCTGAGGACTTACTTTCTGGTACCTGCCTGCATGAGGTGTCATTTCCTGTTTCCAAGAAAAAGATCATTATGTTACAGAGTGATATGTATATATATACACATAAAGCCTTCCAGGTAGAAAAAACAGAATCATCCTCTTTCTGTTCATAAATCAGCTATGGTTCAGCCACCTCAAGCTACAGAAATAAGTCTTCGGTAGGTAGAAAACCGAGATACGGGTGTGGTTCAGCTACCTAGTGATACGTAATATATAGGTTGTAGAAATAAATCTAGGATGGGTAGAGAACCAAGGCAACTTATCACGGCCACTATGCTTAACACCTCACTGAGAGATTTTTAGAGATAGTATCTCTGCTCCCTAAGCTCAAGTGTCAGGAAAATGTCGTCCAATAAGAGATTAGGATCCCCTACTGAACTTTAGACTTGCAACCCAATCACACAAAAGGGTGGAAAAGTTGGAATTTGTTATTTAACTGACAAGACAATATAATGTATATAAACACAAGCTTCGAATGTTTAACCTCAGGCATCTCAACACTAAAGCCCTGTGTTGGGACCATTTCTTCAGTAAATTGTTTTCCACTCTCCCCGGTACACTCACACGCATATTTGCAATGTTAATGCCCAAGCTTTTCAGATAGGCTTCTTAATAGCTTTTGCTTAAATGCCTACTTTTCTTTAATTTCAGGGCATATTCTTTTAGATCACCCCCCTCTTGCTCTCTGCCCTTTGCACTCCTGTGCAAATGCATGCAACAACGTGGATAACACTAAAATCCCAGCACATTACCTTCTGTATTGGCTTAAACCTCACAGCTGTTCTGGCTCCCAAAGTATATCCTTTTATACTGGTTGGGATCTTAGATAAGTCGTATGCCAAGCCATATCCCTTTGGGTGGTATATTAAAAAACAAACAAAAACACCAAAAAAAAAAAAAAAGAAAGAAAAAACAACGCATAGTCAGAGAACATCAGGGCCATCGAAATGGAGTGAGCTTAGTGTGTTCCCATCTGAACCTTCTCTGCAAGGGATTATTCTTTATTGTCTTGACTCCTTTGAGGTCAAGACCATAGAATTACACAAGTAATACAGGTAACTTTGTAGAGGGGTGTGGCTGGATACGTAGACTATAGGACATTGCCATATATTCAAATGCATCAGTCTTCGGAGCCCCACAGAGCTGAACTTACTCTAATGCAACTGTCAGCCTGAGGTTTGGAGGAATGGGAGGGTAACTGGCACTGGCTCAGAGGCCTTTGGAAGTGAGGAAGGAGTAGGGATTTTATGAAGCTAGGGCTTGCGTTTAATGGAGGTGCAAGGCGGGGAGCAATAATCCTTTAATCTCTGGCATTGGCTGAAACAGCTGCTTGCAGAAGAACAGAGCGCTTTCTTATGCTGGGACTCTGGAGATCTCAAGTCCCACAGAATTTTTTCTTTTACGAAACTTGGAAACTTGGCTATCCCTCAATAGCCGGGGAACTGAGGAGCATCTAAGGGGAGGTGAATACTCACATCTGAAAAATAACACCCAGGCCCTCTGTGGGGTGATCCCCTAAGAGGGACAAACTTGTTCCCAATCAAATTCGGGGGATGGAAGTGAGGAAAAAGTTTCCTCTGTTGACATGTTCCAAAAGGGTAGTTATCCGCAGCGTCTAAAATAAAGAGGAGAGGCTCCACGTGAGGGACGGCACCTGGGTCTACGTGAGCGCGTTCCGGGAGGGGAAGGTCGGGGAGACTGAGCAGAGGACAGGGCCCAACCGTGCGCTTACAAAACCACGCCAAACTCCTGGAGGGGGGCGAACTGCACTTCCTCCCACTTCGTCTTTCCCAGCTTCCCCACCCTTCCCCCTACCTGCCCTCTACTCTAGGCTTCTCGGCAGCCCTCCTCACCTGCTCTGCTGAAGCACATCGCGAGCTGCTAGGGCTAGCACTTGTGTACTGCGTTGCCAAGGAAACGAAGGCTAGTCCCGTGATTCCCAGCTGCGGAGCGCGGGGAGGGGGAGAGGGCCCGAGCGCGCCTGCGCGGCAAGTTGGGGCGTCCACCGAGCCACTACTGGGGCAGGAACCCGCACCTTGGAGCCCAAAGCCCAGGGGATTGTAAACTCAGTAGCTGGGCTGCGGGTAGAGGGTTTCCTGGATTCGCGGCTGTAGGGGCTGCAGGGTTGACGGGGCGGCAAATAGCTTTGGAAGCTGGGCCAAGAGGAATGCGCTGTTGTAGAGGGAAGGACAGTGAGGTTCAGAATGTCCCGAAGTCTGGGCCACCAGCAAGTAAGGTGAAAGTAGAAAGACAGCCGCTGCAGCGTACCGGGGTGGACTCCCTGGGCAACGCCCCAGCAGAGGAGTAGGGGGCGGAGTTGAGCTGACAGCTAGTTCCATATTAGGCCCTTAGACCATTTTTCCTTTTCCTCAAGCCCCTCCAATCAGGTTGCCCATTCTATCCCGGGGGGCCGTGGGGAGGGGGCGCGAGGTTTTAAAAGAACTGGAGGCCTTGCGTGGACCGGGTAGAATGCCACGGAATCAGAGAAGACTCTAATAGTTTTTTTTTTAGAAGTTGGGGCAGTCAAATTTCTAAGCCCCAGTTTTCTCATCTCTAAATTGGGAATAAAAATTCCTCTATATAGGATTGTTGAGAGGATCAAGATGACGGGATTAAAACAGTTCAGAACGTGGTACTTGGTGGGTGACATACGACAGGTTATTATCACTGAAGATAATAATAACCGAAGAAAAAAAGATCAGAGTGTGTTTTGTCTTTTTTGCCTTTGTCATGGATATTAACACTAGCTTGTTTTCACTCGATTTTTAGGATGGCTTTAGGAGTTGTCCAGGTGTTAGAGGTTAACAGAACACCCAGTGTGACTGGTCCATACTTTGACCCTTTACAGGTGATGACCCTGGAATCCACACATACTCCGCGTTAGGACAGCCTTCAGGGATGATTTTTATAGATCTAAGGTAGACTTTCCAAAAAAGGTGACAGTGACTCCCAGAGGGTGTTTTGGAAATTTGTGGAAGAATTTTTGCTTGTTAAAAATTGTTGGGGTGTTGTTCCTGGTCAACAGGCTAGGGAGGCTAGACATCCTACACTGCATTGCCCAGGCATACAGTGAGTTGTCCCATGTCCCACATGACATTCAAATATGTCCTGTTGGACTCTACAAAAATAATTAGTAGTAGTTATATACATTAACATTGTGAAGAAATTTATAGGAAATAATGCAGAAAGCCCAGTAATATAAAAGGTTGTTATGAGGAGCCAAGCTTAAATGGAATAAAGATAGGGTCTGAAAATTATTGTATAATTTACTCCAAGCATTTTGTCTACTTAAAATACAATTGCAATAATACTGATAGTAAATAAAATGTAAAGAAATGCAATCACCCATTACTTAGTGATGAGGATGTTTTCTAAGAAATGTGTCATTAGGCAACTTTGTTTTGCGAACGTCATAGACTATATTTAACACAAACCTAGATGGTATAGCCTACTACACACCTAGGCTTATAGTATGGCCTCTTACTCCTAGGCTACAAACCTGTACAGCACATTACCATATTGAATACTGTAGACAATTGTAACATGATATTAAGTATTTATGTATCTAAACTTACCTAAACATAGAAAAGGAACAGTAAAACTATGGTTTAAAATTAAAAATGGTACACCTGTATAGGGCTGCTCCATTGTAATTTTAGGGAGCCACCATTGTATATACAGTTCATCATTGATCAAAATGTCTTCATGTGGTGTATGACTGTATTGGTATGGATTTGATGATTTTTACTTCCATTAATAATTTAGGTAATATTAACATTTGTAGGTATTAATGTGCTTTTTGAAAATAATGTTTACATTATTTGTGACATGAAATGTATTTCGCAAAGTTTCTTGAAAATGTGGTAATCCATTCTTACTTTGGTAGACTGGTTTGCTTCAGACTAATTCTCCAGCTGAGAACAGGTGAATTGAATAAGTAAAATATATATGTTTGAAGATATCAAAGATATACCCAGAAAGAAAGAACATTCAGAACCAAAATCTCAGAGAGAAGAGAAGCCCAAAGTGGTGAGTTCAACCTTGGTGCTGCTGTTCCATTGGAACGCTTGCTAAATAAAAAGCTGGCTAAGAAGCAGAAGATTTGAGCAGAACTTTGGTTAGACAGCCTCTGAGAACTCGGAAACAAGATTTAGGTTGGCCATGGAGAAGGGGAAACTGGAAAACACAGTTTGAAGTTTAAGTCAGAACTTCAAAGAGATAAACCCTAGGAATAAGGGTAAACAAGAAATAGACCAGCTGTCAAAAAACCCTGAAGTTCAGCTTTACACCAATTCAGTTCCCAATTGCATTAAAGTGATCCACTTCTATCCTTATTGCATGTAATAAACAAAAGTAAGTATTTTCTGAAGATATCATCCAGAGACTCAACTAATTTTTACATTTTTTTCATGCAAAATGTTTGGCATTTGATATAAAACAAGAGCTTATAATAAAAGAGTAGAAACAGACCCACAGAAAAATCCAGATATCAGAGTCATTAAACATGGACTTTAAAATAACCATACTTGGTTTGAGATTTTGGAGAAAGCAACAGGACTGCAAGGTGAACATAGGGAAGCGAAAGAAAGCAAGGAAATAACATAAAGCAAATGCTTGACTTCTTAGGTAAGAGCCTAAAAGAAAAAGATCAGACTCTAAAAACAAAGTCAATAAAGATCCCAGTATACTCAAGGAAAGAGAAATTTCCCATCAATCTCTGTTCATATTGCCAATGTGATCAACATAACTTAACTGGGCCCATCTACATCCTGAGTGATGCAAAATTTATCAACTTTTCAGTAAAGCCAGACCGAACATCGTATAGTCAAAGACAGACTGTCTATATGTCATGTGTATCTCCTGTATAACCATCTGTGTAATGATAATAGGCTAATGCAGAATTTCAGGTAGCTCTAAGAATTGCCAAAAGGCCAGTTTTTGAATGATGACCATGCACAAAGGAACTCATGCAGGTGTCTGCTAGTACCAGGGAGTACTTAGACAAAGTTTTATAGTGTAGCCAGTTTTGATGAAGACCTTAAGAATTCAGTAGTTTCCATCATGCACATTTTATAGTATCAAGAGGATGCCAGATGTTTATGGAGACTGTTATAGCTTTATGAGACAGTTAATGGCTTTTCTCACTTGACTGTCTCTGAGGACATATAAGAATTATTATTATTCCAGGGAATTACTTGCTCTGTTGCAATGGTCTAATTTAATGAGGATAAGTAGATTCAATTTTTTGTATAATGTTTTAAATAGATTTGTCTCATTTTAAAATTATTGAATTAAATAATAATCAATTCAACACAGAGGAAAAGCTGATTACCATATTTAAGAAATTAAATGACAAGATGAATTTAGAAACAGTAAATGAATCAAATAAAATTGTAGAAGTAAAAAGTATTGTTGCTGAAAATAATAATTCAATGTATGGGTTTAACAGCAGATTAGAAAAGCTGAAAAAAGTGAATGAATGGACTTCCAGTTCCAAAATAGCAGCATAGAAGCAAACTGGCTTCACCCTTTGCCTTCTCTAGAAAACCAAAACCAGATATACAGCACTGGGATTATCACCAACAATATCCCAGAATTCAAATATGAAAACAGTTGCCAGGGCCACGAGAAGTGAAAAAATTCCAAGCAGACGGTAAGAGAATTGGACTTCCACATCTGTGGCACCTCTCCTGCCATTCTGCCCAGAACAAGCATGTGGAAAATTTTCCTCCAGTTCAGTTTCTACATTGGAAAAAGTGATACTGAGATGGACAACCAGTTTTCCCACTATCTTGGGTTTCCTTGCAGAAGATCTGCCCCTGCCTTAACCCACAGGAAGCATCACAGTGCCTGGGGGGAGAAATATACCTGAAAACAGGCAGAGGCAAAGGGAGGAGGCAGGATTACCTAACCAGCCCTGAAAACTCTGTAACTCAGCTAAAGGAGATGCCAAATCAGAGTGGCTGTTCAGCAGTGCAAAGCTGTAGGAAGTTCATCCCACAGGTCTCCTGGGCACAAACCCCTAGCTGGCCTTCTCACACTAAGAATTTATCTCAACAAGGGATATCTCAACAAGGGGTTCCACTTTTGGCTCCAAGGCTGATGCTCTTGCTAGGTCTCAGTTTGTGGAAAGAGAAAGGGACCAGGAAGGCAAGGCCTGAAAGTTGGACACATCATTTCCACTCATGTACAGAACTTAGACATGGCCACCTGGATACGGTATTCTTAGCTGGCAGTTTTTTTCTTTCAGCACTTTGAAAATGTCATTACACTTACTCCTAGCCTGTATAGTTTCCATTGAGGAATCTGTTGCTGGATGAATTGGGGATCCTTATATGTTATTTGCTTCTTTTCTCTTGCCGCTTTTAGGATCGTCTCTTTCTCCTTGACCTTTGAGAGTTTATTCCTTGGGGTAGTCTTATTTGAGTCATATCTATTTAATGTTGTCAGACCTTACTGTACATAGGTGTTTATATCGTTCTCAAGTTTCGGAAAGTTTTCTGTTATTATTTCTTTGAATGAGATTCTACCCCATGCTCATGCTCGACTCCCTCTTGAACACCAATAATTCTTAGATTGGGTCTTTTGAGGTAATTTTGTATATCTTGTAGGAAATTTTCTTTTTTTTTCATTAAAACATTATTTTATATCACCAAATATAAAATAAAGCTTTTCAAGTGAAACGAGAAATAAGTCCAAAGTAAATTAACATAGATCATTATATGATAAAAAGCTTCATGCAAATTGTCTGCACTGTTAACAAAGCTGCTTCAGAGTCATCCAATCAACAGACTCTTAGAATCACAGGCCTGACTACGCGGGATTAAACTTGAAGGAAATTTGCCATGCAACAGTATTAACTACTGATATATGAGAAGCTTCATATGTTGATACATTACCTGTAAGCCTCACAACAACCTTGAAAAGTAAAAATTGTTATCTCCCCCATTTTACAGATGAGGAAACTAAGGTTCAGGGAGACGGTGACTTGCGAAGTTCACACAGGCCACACAGAGCAAGATTTGGTGGGCCCGTATGATCCCAGGCCCACATTTGTCCACTCTTTTTTGCTACCTCTCCTTCTGGAACAAAGTTCCCTTTCTATATATCTGATATTTTCTCAATACTTTGACGCATTCAGATGATTAAAAGATTTTTTTTTTATTATTATACTTTAAGTTTTAGGGTACATGTGCACAATGTGCAGGTTAGTTACATATGTATACATGTGCCATGCTGGTGTGCTGCACCCACTAACTCGTCATCTAGCATTAGGTATATCTCCCAATGCTATCCCTCCCCCCTTCCCCCCACCCCACAACAGTCCCCAGAGTATGATGTTCCCCTTCCTGTGTCCATATGTTCTCATTGTTCAGTTCCCACCTATGAGTGAGAATATGCGGTGTTTGGTTTTTTGTTCTTGTGATAGTTTACTGAGAATGATGATTTCCAATTTCATCCATGTCCCTACAAAGGACATGAACTCATCATTTTTTATGGCTGCATAGTATTCCATGGTGTATATGTGCCACATTTTCTTAATCCAGTCTATCATTGTTGGACATTTGGGTTGGTTCCAAGTCTTTGCTATTGTGAATAATGTCGCAATAAACATACGTGTTCATGTGTCTTTATAGCAGCATGATTTATAGTCCTTTGGGTATATACCCAGTAATGGGATGGCTGGGTCAAATGGTATTTCTAGTTCTAGATCCCTGAGGGATCGCCACACTGACTTCCACAATGGTTGAACTAGTTTACAGTCCCACCAACAGTGTAAAAGTGTTCCTATTTCTCCACATCCTCTCTAGCACCTTGCTGTTTCCTGACTTTTTAATGATTGCCATTCTAACTGGTGTGAGATGGTATCTCACTGTGGTTTTGATTGCATTTCTCTGATGGCCAGTGATGGTGAGCATTTTTTCATGTGATTTTTGGCTGCATAAATGTCTTCTTTTGAGAAGTGTCTGTTCATGTCCTTCGCCCACTTTTTGATGGGGTTGTTTGTTTTTTTCTTGTAAATTTGTTTGCGTTCATTGTAGATTCTGGATATTAGCCCTTTGTCAGATGAGTAGGTTGCGAAAATTTTCTCCAATTTTGTGGGTTGCCTGTTCACTCTGATGGTAGTTTCTTTTGCTGTGCAGATGCTCTTTAGTTTAATTAGATCCCATTTGTCAATTTTGTCTTTTGTTGCCATTGCTTTTGGTGTTTTAGACATGAAGTCCTTGCCCATGCCTATGTCCTGAATGGTAATGCCTAGGTTTTCTTCTAGGGTTTTTATGGTTTTAGGTCTAACGTTTAAGTCTTTAATCCATCTTGAATTGATTTTTGTATAAGTTGTAAGGAAGGTATCCAGTTTCAGCTTTTTACATACAGCTAGCCAGTTTTCCCAGCACCATTTATTAAATAGGGAATCCTTTCCCCATTGCTTGTTTTTCTCAGGTTTGTCAAAGATCAGATAGTTGTAGATATGCGACGTTATTCCTGAGGGCTCTGTTCTGTTCCATTGATCTGTATCTCTGTTTTGGTACCAGTACCATGCTGTTTTGGTTACTGGAGCCTTGTAGTATAGTTTGAAGTCAGGTACTGTGATGCCTCCAGCTTTGTTCTTTTGGCTTAGGATTGACTTGGCGATGCGGGCTCTTTTTTGGTTCCATATGAACTTTAAAGTAGTTTTTTCCAATTCTGTAAAGAAAGTCATTGGTAGCTTGATGGGGATGGCATTGAATCTATAAATTACCTTGGGCAGTATGGCCATTTTCACGATATTGATTCTTCCTACCCATGAGCATGGAATGTTCTTCCAGTTGTTTGTATCCTCTTTAATTTCATTGAGCAGTGGTTTGTAGTTCTCCTTGAAGAGGTCCTTCACATCCCTTGTAAGGTGGATTCCTAGGTATTTTATTCTCTTTGAAGCAATTGTGAATGGGAATTCACTCATGATTTGGCTCTCTGTTTGTCTGTTATTGGTGTATAAGAATGCTTGTGATTTTTGCACATTGATTTTGTATCCTGAGACTTTGCTGAAGTTGCTTATCAGCTTAAGGAGATTTTGGGCTGAGACAATGGGGTTTTCTAGATATACAATCATGTCGTCTGCAAACAGGGACAATTTGACTTCCTCTTTTCCTAATTGAATACCCTTTATTTCCTTCTCCTGCCTAATTGCCCTGGCCAGAACTTCCAACACTATGTTGAATAGGAGTGGTGAGAGAGGGCATCCCTGTCTTGTGCCAGTTTTCAAAGGGAATGCTTCCAGTTTTTGCCCATTCAGTATGACATTGGCTGTGGGTTTGTCATAGATAGCTCTTATTATTTTGAGATACGTCCCATGAATACCTAATTTATTGAGAGTTTTTAGCATGAAGGGTTTTTGAATTTTGTCAAAGGCCTTTTCTGCATCTATTGAGATAATCATGTGGTTTTTGTCTTTGGTTCTGTTTATATGCTGGATTACATTTATTGATTTGAGTATATTGAACCAGCCTTGCATTCCAGGGATGATGCCCACTTGATCATGGTGGATAAGCTTTTTGATGTGCTGCTGGATTTGGTTTGCCAGTATTTTATTGAGGATTTTTGCATCAAATTTCATCAAGGATATTGGTCTAAAATTCTCTTTTTTGGTTGTGTCTCCGCCAGGCTTTGGTATCAGGATGATGCTGGCCTCATAAAATGAGTTAGGGAGGATTCCCTCTTTTTCTATTGATTGGAATAGTTTCAGAAGGAATGGTACCAGTTCCTCCTTGTACCTCTGGTAGAATTCGGCTGTGAATCCATCTGGTCCTGGACTCTTTTTGGTTGGTAAGCTATTGATTATTGCCACAATTTCAGCTCCTGTTATTGGTCCATTTAGAGATTCAACTTCTTCCTGGTTTAGTCTCGGGAGAGTGTATGTGTCGAGGAATTTATCGATTTCCTCTAGATTTTCTAGTTTATTTGTGTAGAGGTGTTTATAGTAATCTCTGATGGTAGTTTGTATTTCTGTGGGATCGGTGGTGATATCCCCTTTATCATTTTTTATTGTGTCTATTTGATTATGATTATTCTCTCTTTTTTTCTTTATTATTCTTGCTAGAGGTCTATCAATTTTGTTGATCCTTTCAAAAAACCAGCTCCTGGATTCATTGATTTTTTGAAGGGTTTTTTTGTGTCTCTATTTCCTTCAGTTCTGCTCTGATTTTAGTTATTTCTTGCCTTCTGCTAGCTTTTGAATGTGTTTGCTCTTGCTTTTCTAGTTCTTTTAATTGTGATGTTAGGGTGTCAATTTTGGATGTTTCCTTCTTTCTCTTGTTGGCATTTAGTGCTATAAATTTCCCTCTACACACTGCTTTGAATGTGTCCCAGAGATTCCGGTATGTTGTGTCTTTGTTCTCGTTGGTTTCAAAGAACATCTTTATTTCTGCCTTCATTTCGTTATGTACCCAGTAGTCATTCAGGAGCAGGTTGTTCAGTTTCCATGTAGTTGAGCGGCTTTGAGTGAGATTCTTAATCCTGAGTTCTAGTTTGATTGCACTGTGGTCTGAGAGATAGTTTGTTATAATTTCTGTTCTTTTACATTTGCTGAGGAGAGCTTTACTTCCAACTATGTGGTCAATTTTGGAATAGGTGTGGTGTGGTGCTGAAAAAAATGTATATTCTGTTGATTTGGTGTGGAGAGTTCTGTAGATGTCTATTAGGTCAGCTTGGTGCAGAGCTGAGTTCAATTCCTGGGTATCCTTGTTAACTTTCTGCCTCATTGATCTGTCTAATGCTGACAGTGGGGTGTTAAAGTCTCCCATTATTGTTGTGTGGGAGTCTAATTCTCTTTGTAGGTCACTCAGGACTTGCTTTATGAATCTGGGTGCTCCTGTATTGGGTGCATATGTATTTAGGATAGTTAGCTCTTCTTGTTGAATTGATCCCTTGACCATTATGTAACGGCCTTCTTTGTCTCTTGATCTTTGTTGGTTTAAAGTCTGTTTTATCAGAGACTAGGATTGCAACCCCTGCCTTTTTTTGTTTTCCATTGGCTTGGTAGATCTTCCTCCATCCTTTTATTTTGAGCCTATGTGTGTCTCTGCATGTGAGATGGGTTTCCTGAATACAGCACAGTGATGGGTCTTGACTCTTTATCCAATTTGCCAGTCTGTGTCTTTTAATTGGAGCATTTAGTCCATTTACATTTAAAGTTAATATTGTTATGTGTGAATTTGATCCTGTCATTATGATGTTAGCTGGCTATTTTGCACGTTAGTTGATGCAGTTTCTTCCTAGTCTCAATGGTCTTTACATTTTGGCATGATTTTGCAGTGGCTGGTACTGGTTGTTCCTTTCCATGTTTAGTGCTTCCTTCAAGAGCTCTTTTAGGGCAGGCCTGGTGGTGACAAAATCTCTCAGCATTTGCTTGTCTGTAAAGGATTTTATTTCTCCTTCATTTATGAAGCTTAGTTTGGCTGGATATGAAATTCTGGGTTGAAAATTCTTTTCTGTAAGAATGTTGAATATTGGCCCCCACTCTCTGCTGGCTTGTAGAGTTTCTGCTGAGAGATCTGCTGTTAGTCTGATGGGCTTCCCTTTGTGGGTAACCCGACCTTTCTCTCTGGCTGCCCTTAACATTTTTTCCGTCATTTCAACTTTGGTGAATCTGACAATTATGTGTCTTGGAGTTGCTCTTCTCTAGGAGTATCTTTGTGGTGTTCTCTGTATTTCCTGAATCTGAATGTTGGCCTGCCTTGCTAGATTGGGGAAGTTCTCCTGGATAATATCCTGCAGAGTGTTTTCCAACTTGGTTCCATTCTCCCCGTCACTTTCAGGTACACCAATCAGACGAAGATTCGGTCTTTTCACATAGTCCCATATTTCTTGGAGGCTTTGTTCATTTCTTTTTATTCTTTTTCTCTAAACGTCCCTTCTCACTTCATTTCATTCATTTCATCTTCCATTGCTGATACCCTTTCTTCTAGTTGATTGCATCGGCTCCTGAGTCTTCTGCATTCTTCATGTAGTTCTCGAGCCTTGGCTTTCAGCTCCATCAGCTCCTTTAAGCACTTCTCTGTATTGGTTATTCTAGTTATACATTCTTCTAAATTTTTTTCAAATTTTTTAACTTCTTTGCCTTTGGTTTGAATTTCCTCCTGTAGCTCGTAGTTTGATTGTCTGAAGCCTTCTTCTCTCAACTCGTCAAAGTCATTCTCCGTCCAGCTTTGTTCTATTGCTGGTGAGGAACTGCGTTCCTTTGGAGGAGGAGAGGTGCTCCGTTTTTTAGAGTTTCCAGTTTTTCTTCTCTGTTTTTTCCCCATCTTTGTGGTTTTATCTACTTATGTTCTTTGATGATGGTGATGTGCAGATGGGTTTTTGGTGTGGATGTCCTTTCTGTTTGTTAGTTTTCCTTCTAACAGACAGGACCCTCAGCTGCAGGTCTGTTGGAGTTTGCTAGAGGTCCACTCCAGACCCTGTTTGCCTAGGTATCAGCAGTGGTGTTTGCAGAACAGCGGTTTTTCATGAACCGCGAATGCTGCTGTCTGATCGTTCCTCTGGAAGTTTTGTCTCAGAGGAGTACCCGGCCGTGTAAGTGTCAGTCTGCCCCTACTGGGGGGTGCCTCCCAGTTAGGCTGCTCAGGGGTCAGGGGTCAGGGACCCACTTGAGGAGGCAGTCTGCCCATTCTCAGATCTCCAGCTGCGTGCTGGGAGAACCACTGCTCTCTTCAAAGCTGTCAGACAGGGACATTTAAGTCTGCAGAGGTTACTGCTGCCTTTTTGTTGGTCTGTGCCTTGCCCGCAGAGGTGGAGCCTACAGAGGCAGGCAGGCCTCCTTGAGCTGTGGTGGGCTCCACCCAGTTCGAGCTTCCGGACTGCTTTGTTTACCTAAGCAAGCCTGGGCAATGGCGGGTGCCCCTCCCCCAGCCTCGCTGCCCCCTTGCAGTTTGATGTCAGACTGCTGTGCTAGCAATCAGCGAGATTCCGTGGGCGTAGGACCCTCTGAGCCAGTGCTGGATATAATCTCCTGGTGCGCTGTTTTTTAAGCCCATCGGAAAAGCACAGTACTTGGGTGGGAGTGACCTGATTTTCCAGGTGCCATCTTTCACCCCTTTCTATGACTATGAAAGGGAACTCCCTGACCCCTTGCACTTCCTGAGTGAGGCAATGCCTTGCCCTGCTTCAGCTCATGCACAGTGTGCTGCACCCACTGACCTGTGCCCTCTGTCTGGCACTCCCTAGTGAGATGAACCCGGTACCTCAGATGGAAATGCAGAAATCACCCGTCTTCTGTGTCTCTCACTCTGGGAGCTGTAGACCGGAGCTGTTTCTATTCGGCCATCTTGACTCCTCTCTTGTAGGAAATTTTCTGTTTTTTATTCTTTTTCTTCTCTGTTTCTTTTTTTTTCTGTCTTTTTTTTTTTTTTTTTTTTTTTTTTGAGACAGAGACTCACTCTGTAACCCAGGCTGGAGTGCAATGACCCAATCTCAGCTCACTGCAACCTCCTCCTCCCATGTTCAAGTGATTTTCCTGCCTCAGCCTCCCAAGTAGTTGGAATTACAGGTGTGCACCACCACGCCCAGCTAATTTTTGTATTTTTGGTAGAGACAGGGTTTTGCCATGTTGGCCAGGCTGGTCTCAAACTCCTGAGCTCAAGTGATCTGCCAACCTCAGCCTTCCAATGTGCTGGGATTAACAGGCATGAGCCACCTTGCGTGACATCTGTTTATTTTCAAATAATCCATCTTTGACCTCACTGATTCTTTCCTTTCATTGATCCATTCTGCCGTTGAGAGCCTCTAATGAATCTTTCAATTCAGAAAATTATTTTCTCAATTCCATTTTAAAAATTTTTAAAAATTATCATTTAAATCTCTTTTTAAAATTTCTCTGATAAGTTTCTGAATTGCTTTTCTGTGTTATCTTAGAGATCACTGAGTTCCCTTAAAACTGCTATTTTGAATTTTTGGTCAGAGAACTCACATATCCTGTCTCAGTAGGGTCAGTTACTGGTTCCTTGCTTTGTCCATTTGGGGAGGTGATGGTTCCCTGTCTGCTTCTCTTTCTTGTGAATGTACATCTGTGTCTTGGCATTGAAGTATTATTTATTCCAGCCTTCTCTGTCTGGCTTGTTTGGTTTTTATTGGATATATTTACTAATAGATTCTTTACTGCTAGGTCACTGCCTCCTTTTGAGCTCCAGGTGGTGCCCTAAGCCCAGATTTGCCTCAGCTCTGGTAAATGATTGGAGCCCTGCCCTTCCTAAACTGTCACCACTTTTCTCTCTGAGATTTTGGCTTTTCATGTTCTTTCTTTCTTGGTATATCTTTGATATCGTTAAACATATATATTTTAGTTATTTCGTCCAGCCTTTTCTACCTGTTCTCAGCTGGAGAATTAGTCTGAAGCAAACCAGTTTACCGATGCAAGAAAGGATTACCATATTTTCAAGGTACTTTGTGAAATATGCTTTATGTCACTAATAATGTGAACATTGTTTTCAAAAAACACTGTGATTACCTACAAATATTAATATTACCTAAGCTATTAATGAAAGTAAAAATCATCAATTCTATACTAATATAGTCACATACCACATAAAGACATTTTGATCAACGATGGACTGTATATGCAATGAGAATGACAGACCAGGCCTTCCAGCTCAGAATTGCCTACTTCTGGTTATGAGGTTCTGAACATCAGCAAGAGGGCTGATTGCAGATGCCTGACATTTATTTCTGACACTCCCCAAAAGAAGACAGTACCAAGGCAATAAATAAACAGCTAAGATTTGACCAGAGTATCAGACAGAGTGCTATAGTACAGTGGGGGAGCAAAGATGCATCTGTGGTCATGGGAAGTCCAGGAGGGCAGAATGGAGACACCTTTCCTCTGCAGCCTCTCCTTCCCCACCTGAATCAAATCTGCTGGGAGTCAGGAGGGACTTCCTATTGTGGGGAAAAGGTAAGCAGAAGATTCCCACCAGTCACCACAAACACCTACAGTGCTTACAACAGGAGAATACCACAGTCCTCATGAGCCCTGAGCCCAGTTTGGAGATGTGCTGGGAAATCACATACCTGCATTGCCCCAGATTAGGAGCACAAGGATATACACCTCACCCCTCTATCAGCCAAGCTGCTGCAGCATGGAGCCATCTTGAGACCAGAGGTACTTCTGGAGTGCTTCCTCCTCTGGGGGCCAATAGCCACTGCACCTCTCCAGCACTGCGCTCCATCTTTATTCCACAAGCTTCCACTGGTGGTTGAATGTTGCAAGCCCAGCAGTGTGGAGCCCGATCTAGGATAGGCTGTGATGCTGGTCCTGCACAGCAGGGAAACCAATTCCCACTGCTTTCACCCCCAGCCAGGGGAATAGCCTGAAATTTCCATCCAGGGTGAACCTGCCTTCAAGCCAGCCAAACTTCTGTGCACCCTTCCCCAAACAGGAGAGACTCTCAAGCCTCTGAGCATCTGACATGCTCCCAGGCCAGTGGAGTGGCTATGGGCCTGCATCCAGGGCCTGAAAAACAGCCCTGAGATGCCCTACTCACTGCAGACAGGCCCTTGTCCTGTCCAGTGCCCCTGTGCCTACAATTAGAACTTGAGAAACAGCTCCACAGGTGGCACCTGGTACAAACGCCTCTGGGCTGGTGGAGCAAATATGTATCTATGCCCCAGGACTGAGAAATTCACAGGCCGCCCCTGGAGGGCAAGCCCCCAGGCCAGCTGAGCAGCTGTTTGCTCATGTTCTGGGCCTCAGAAACTATCCTGTGGGTCACCTCCTGCAGACACATCCCTAGATCAGCCAAGCAGCTATGCACCATTGTCCTAGGCCCAAGAAGCAGTCCCACAGGCCACCCTTCCAGACCAGCTGAGCAGCCCTGTGTCTGTGTCTCAGAAAAGCCCTGTGCATACCTCCAGACCAGCCAAGTAGACCTTGAACCTACATGCCAGACCTGAGAACCAGCCCCACAGATCACCTCAAGCAAAGATACTCCTAGGCCAGTTGAGCAGTCCTGTGCCTACGTCTCAGGCCTCTGAAACATCCCTGTGGTCTACTGTCTGCAGAAATGCCCCCAGGTCAGCCAAGTAGCTGTAGGTCTGTGTCCCAAGCCACAGAAATAGCTTTATAGGCCTCCCACTGCAGACTCATAACTAGACCAGCCAAGAAGCCATATGACCACAATCCAGGCCTGAGAAACAGCCTGATGGGCTACATATGACAAACATGGCCTTAGGGCAATGAAGCAGTCATAGAGCTGGGTCCCAGACAGACCTGAGAAACTGCTGTGGGTTGTCTCCAGAAGACACATCCTCAGACCAACCAAGAAGCCAAACAACTGCATAACAGCCCCACAGACTGCCCAGGCAGGCACACCTCCAAGTAACCACATGCCCATTCTACTAGCCAGAATAACAGCCATGTGGCTCCAATCCTGGTGAGCCAGACTCCAAGTTGGCCAACCCACCCTATGCACACACATGCCCCTGACCTGAAAAACAGCTTAGTGAGCCCACTCTGACAAAACTAAATAATCATTGCCACCAATTCTCTCAGCCTAAGCCACTGAGAAACTCTCAAATGCCATCATTGTGGTTTATAGCTGGTCACTACATGGAGAACACACTACTACTCCACCTAGAACAAGGCCAATGCACCCTCCCTGAACTGACATCCCAAGACCCATTCATATAAATAAGTCTTTATTTATGAAACCTACTGCATAACATTTGAAGAGATGACTTTCCTATCAGATGTGTAGAAATCAATGTAGGGACACATTAACACGACAAAGCAAGAAAACATGTCACCACCCCACACCAAAAAAAAAATTCTCCAGTAAAAGACCCCAATCACAAGGAAATATATGGAATGCCCCCCCCAAAAAAGAATTTAAAATAATAATATTAAGGAATCCTAGTGAGATACAAAGAATGCAGATAGAAAATTCAATGAAATAAGGAAAACAGTTCATGATTTGAATAAGAAATTTAACAAAGAGATATCATAAAAAAGAACCAAACAAATCCTAGAGCTGAATAATTCAATGAATGAAGTAAATATACAATTAAGAGATTCAACAACAGACTGGACTAAGTAGAAGAAACAATTTCTGAACTTAAAAGACATGTCCTTTGAAATAACACAGGCAGATTAAAAATAAAAGAAGAAAGAATTAGAAAGAATGAAGAAAGATTACAGGATTTATGGACATCATTAAGTCCATACTATGGGCATTGCAGAAGTGAAGAGAAAATGTGAGGGAAACATATTTAAATGAAATAATATCAAAAAACTTCCCAAGTCTAGGGAAAGAGACAGACATCCAGGTTCAGGAAGCTCAAAGAATGCTAAATTGATTCCACCCAAACAGGTCCTGAGGCACATTATATTCAAATTGTCAAAAGTAAAAGACAAAGAAAGAATTTTGAAAGCAGCAAGAGAAAAGTATCAAGTCACACACAAAGGAATGTCTATTCAACTATTAGATTAGTAGCAGATTTCTCAGCAGAAACCTTATAGGGCAGGAGAGAATGGGTTGATATTTTCAAAGTGCTTTGAGTTTTCAAAGTGAATAGAAAAAATTGCCAGTCAAGAATATTATTCCCAGTAAAGATATTTTTCAGAAATGGAGGAGAGGAGAAGAGGCCAGCTCATCTCCCATGGGTCCCCACAACTGCTCATCACCAGACAAGGAACCCCTGGCTTGGGCCCACAGCACAGACCCTCCATCCTGGGCTGATTGCACTGAGTGATTGCTGAACTGCATCTCTTTGGGGTGGAGCCCCCAGGAGACAAGCAAGTAACCCTTGGCCACAACCACTACTAAGATCTCTTCCTCTGCTGCCTCCATGGTGAGGAAGAAACATAAGCACTGAGATCACCCCAGAGCTGCAGTGGGCAACTCAGGAGTGCCAAGTCACAATCTATGGCCAGCACTGAAGTGGGAGAAGAACTCTGCAATTTCAGAGCATTGAAAAAGAAAATGCTGCAACTGTGCAGAAACATAGGAAGCTGCATAACCAAGCAAGAGTCTACTGACTGACCAATAAGCCTAAGTGCCACTTGCTGGATCACACCCCAAAGCTTCAACACCAAAAATACCTCACTAACGAGCCTCCCTCTGAAACCAGAGGCAAGAAGTCAGCTTCAAATAAAGGCCCCACACAAAGCCTCAGCCTGGTGAACACATCCAGAAAAGAAGTGTAGTGATTGTACTCAATCTACACTGCAGTTAAATGCACACCCACAGTCAGAGATGAGAAAGAACCAATGCAAGAACTCTAGTAACTCAGAAGGCCAGAGTGTGGTATATCCTCCAAATGACCATACCAGCTCTCCAACAAGAGTTTTTAACCAGGCTGAACTGGCTGGAATAACAGAAATAGAATTCAGAATATGGATAGGAACAAAGATTATCAAGATTCAGGAGGATAGCAAAACCCAATCCAGGAAAAATAAAAATCACAATAAAGCAATACAGGAGCTGAAGTACAAAATATCTGGTATAAAAAAGAACCTAATGGATCTGACAGATCCACAATACAAGAATTTCACAATGCAATCACAAATATTGACACCAGAATAAACCAAGCTGAGGAAAGAATCTCAGAATTTGAATACTGGTTCTCTGAAATAAGACAGTCAGACAAAAATAAAGAAAAAAATGAAAAGGAATGAACAAAACTTCTGAGAAATATGGGATTATGACTGGGTGTGGTGGCTCACACCTGTAATCTCAGCACTTTGGGAGGCTGAGGCGGGCTGATTACCTGAGGTCAGGAGTTCAAGACCAGCCTGGCCTATGTGGTGAAACCCTGTCTCTACTAAAAATACAAAATTAGCCAGGCATGGTGGTGCATGCCTGTAGTCCCAGCTACTCAGGAGGCTGAGGCAGGAGAATCACTTGAACCTGGGAGGTGGAGGTTGCAGTGAACCGAGATTGTGCCACTGCATTCCAGGCTGGGCAACAAGAGCAAAACTCCATCTCAAAAAAAAAAATTATATATATATATATATATATATATATATATATATATATATATGGGTTTATGTGAAGAGGACGAATTTATGAATCATTGGCATCCCTGAAAGGGAGGGGAAGAAAGCAAACAACTTGGAAAACATGTATCAGTATATCATCCATGAAAACTTCCCCAACCATGCTAGAGAGGCCAACAGTCAAATTCAGGAAATACAGAGAACTCCTGCAAGATTCTACACAAGAAGATCATCCCCAAGACACAATCATCAGATTTTCCAAGGTCCAGATGAAAGAAAGAATGTTAAAAGCAGCTAGAGAGAAAGGTCAGGTCACCTACAAAGGGTACTCCATGAGGCTAACAGGTGACCTCTCCGCTGAAACCCTGCAAGCCAGAAGAGATTGGAGGCCTATATTCAACACTTCTAAAGAAAAACAATATTCAACCAAGAATTTCATATCCAGCCAAATTAAGCTTCCTAAGTGAAGGAGAAATAAGATCCTTTTTAGATAAGTAAATGTTGAGAGAATTCATTACCAGGTCTGCCTTACAAGAGATCCTGAGAGGAGCACTAAATATAGAAAAGAAAGACCACTACTAGCTAACACAAAAACACACTTAAGCACACAGACCAGTGTAATTGTAAAGCAACTAAACAAACAAGGCAACATAATAACCAGCTAACAGCACAATGATAGGATCAAATCCACACATATTAATATGAACCTTGAATGTAACTGGGCTGAATGCCCCACTTAAAAGGCACAGAGAGGCAAGCTGGATAAAAAAGCAAGACCTAATGGTGTGCTGTCTTCAAGAGACTTATCTCACAAGTAATGACACTCATAGGCTGAAAATAGAGGGATGTAGGAAAATCCATCAAGTAAATGGAAAACAGAAAAAAGGAGGAGTTGCCTCTTAATTTCCAACAAAACAGATTTCAAACTCACAAAGATAAAAAAAGACAAAGAAGGGCATTACATAATGATAAAGGGTTCAATTCAATAAGAAGGCCTAACTTTCCTAAATATATATGCACCCAATACAGAAGCACACAGATTCATAAAGCAAGTTCTTAGCAACCTGCAAAAAGACATAGACTCCCACACAATAATATTGACAGACTTCAACAGTCCACTGACAGTATTAGACAGATCACTGAGGAAGAAAATTAACAAAGATATTCAGGACCTAAACTCAACATTGGACCCAATGGATCTGATAGACCTTTACAGAACTCTCTATCTAAAAACAACAGAATATACATTCTTTTCATTGCCACCTGGCACATACTCTAAAATCGACCACATAATTGGACATAAAATAATCCTCAACAAATGTAAAAGAACCAAAATCATACCAAACACACTCTTAAACCACAGCACAATAAAAATAGAAGTCAAGACTATGAAAATCGCTCAAAACTATACAATTACATGGAAATTAAACAATATGCTTCTGAATGACTTTTGGGTAAATCATGAAATTAAGGCAGAAATCAAGAAGTTCTTTGAAAATAATGAGAACAAAGATAACAACATACCAGAATCTCTGGGACCCAGCTAAAGTAGCGTTAAAAGGAAAATTCATAGCATTAAATGTCCACATCAGAACATTAGAAAGATCTCAAATTAACCTAACTTCACAACTAAAAGAATTAGAGAAGCAAGAACAAATCAACCCCAAAGCTTGCAGAAGATGAGAAATAACAAAAATCAGAGCTTAACTGAAGGAAATTAAGACAAAAAAAAATTCAAAAAATCAGTGAATCCAGGAGTTGGCTTTTGGAAAAAATAATAAAATAGGCCACTAGCTAGACTAATAGAGAAGAAAAGAGGGAGGATCCAAATGAATACAATTAGAAATGATAAGGGAATGTTACAACCGATCCCACAGAAATAAAAATAACCATCAGAAACTACTAAGAACACCTCTACACATAAAAACTAGACAACTTAGAAGAGATGGATAAATTCCTGGACACATACACCCTCCCAAGACTGAGCCAGGAAGAAATTAATTCCCTGAATAGGCCAATGACAAGCTCTGAAACTGAATCAGTAATACATAGCCTACAAATAAAAAAAAAGCCTGGGACCTGATAGATTCACAGCAGAATTCTACCAGAAGTACAAAGAAGAGCTGGGACCATTTTCCTACAGAAATGATTCCAAAAAATTGAGGAGGAGGGACTCCTCCCCAACCCATTCTATGAGGCCAACATCATCTTGGTACCAAAACCTGGCACAGACACAACAAGGAGAGATGGATATTCAAATGCAAAAGAATGAAACTGGACCTCTATCTCTCATCATATAAAAAAATCAACATAAGATTTATTAAGGATTTAAATGTAAGACTTGAAACTATAAAACTACTAGAAGAAAACATAGGGAAAACACTTCAGGACATTGGTCTAGGCAAAGACTTTATGGCTAAGACATCAAAAGCACAGATAATTAAAAAAATAGACAAATCGACTATATTAAACTAAAAAGCTTCTGTGCAGCAAATGAGGCAATCAATAGAGTGAAGAGATAACCTGTTGAATGGGAGAAAATATTTGCGAAGTATTCATAGACAGGGACTAATATCCACAATATACAAGGAAGTAAAACAACTCAAAAATAAAAAACAAATAAAATCTCACTAAAAATTGGACAAAAGGCATGAATAGGCAATTTTCAAAAGAAGACAAAGAAATGGCTAACGTGGATATGAAAAGAACTCAACATTACTAATCATCAGAAAAGTGCAAATTAAAACCACAATGAGATACCATCTTACCCCAATTAGAATGGCTATTATTAAAAAGACTAAAAGTAACAGATGGTGGTGAAGATGTGGAGAAAAGGGAACTCTTATATATTGTTGGCAGAAATGGAAATTATTATAACTACTATGGAAAACAGTATGGAAATTGCAAAAATCTAAAAATAGAACTACCATATGATCTAGCAGTATATCAAAGGGATACCTGCATTTGTGTGTTTATTGCAGCAGTATTCACAATTGTAAAGATATAAAACAAACAGATGAATGGATAGAGAAAATGTAGTATATATACCCAATGAAATACTATTTGGTTATAAAAAAAGAGTGAAATCACGTCACTTGTAGCAACATGGATAGAACCCGAGGTCATTATGTTAAGTGAAATAACCCAGACACAGAAAGACAATGTCACTTATATGTAGGAGCTAAAAAAGTCGATCTCATAAAGGTAGAGAATAGAGAGTAGAATGGTAGATACTAGAGGCTGGAAAGAGTGAGTGGGTGGTGGGGGATGAAGAGAGATAGGTTAACGGGTACAAACATACACTTAGATACAAGGTGTAAGTTCTGTCATTCAACAGCAGAGTGACTATGGTTATTGATAGCAAATTGTATATTTCAAAGTAACTGGAAGAGAGGACTTGAATTGTTCCTAATATATAGAAGTGACAAATACTCAAAGTACTGGACACCTCAAATACCCTGACTTGGTCATTACACATTCTATGCAAGTAACAATATCACATGTACCCCATAAATAGGTAAAATATAATGCATCAGTAAAAAAACAGCATGTTTACACTCTCTTCCTCTTTTCATTTCAATGGCTTGTAATTTGTCTAGGTATTATTCCTATTTCAACTAAAGCTATTTACCTTTTTCTGCTATCAGAAATTGGTAAATCTGGAGTGTTATTAGTTCTCCTAATACTGGTTTTTGTTCTGGTGTCCACTTATAACTCTATTCTTTTATTTTCCTAAACTGCTTGTATGAAAGGACTTCTGATCTCTTAATTCTGGACTAATTCATTATACAACATATGGTGCAAGAATCTGACTACTTCTTTGTCTCTAAAGTAGTTACATCTAAACATTTATGTACTGAAATCCATATTATTTTGTTAGAAATTATTTTTTCTCCTTTACTTTATAGTTAGGGCATTATACCAAGTTGTTTGTGAAATTATATGTAGTAGGTTATGTTATCCATGAATTAATTCTAATTTTAGGATAATAAATAGAGTGTTATAAAATAATCTACCACTCAAAGCAGGATTGAGAATCCCTGTCCAAGAGAATAGAGATCTCTATTCTGGAGAAGAGAGAAAGAGAGGAGGAAAATATAATTTCTACATACTATCTTCCAGACTTTCTTAAAACCTACATCTACCATCTGATGGTAGAGGAATGAATAAAGGCTTTGAAATTTCTCAGCACTGGCTTTCAATAAGTATTAGTCTGTCATTGACTAACTATGTGACCTTGTGGAAGTTACTTAAACTTCCTAAGCCTTGGTTTATCTATAAAATGGCATGAATCATTTCTTTCCTCCTAAGGATGCCATAAGAATTTCAGAGCTAACACAAGGACAAATCGTATACAGTGAGGGACTAACCTATATTTGGTATTTAACAAATATTAAGGCACTTCCACTTTACCACCTCCATGCCCAGGGCTGCAGCTGGCTCCAATGGTATCTTTGTGCAAATGAAGAAACAGTGCAGGTTTATTAAGATGGGAGCTGGCCCTTGCTGAAACAAATAATTTGGTGAGTGGAACACTCTCTCTGCCTCCATCCAGAATCAGAGAACTTGTGTAATCAGAGACCTTGTGAATATTCTACTTCTTTCCAGTTAGACTCCAATGCTAAAAGGATGAGTTTTCATACATCTACTAGAGTCCAAGAACATGATTACCATTACCAAAGTTCCAGATGTATGGCTGTCTGATCCATGATATGGTTTTGTTGCCTCTCAAGCTCCCAGGTAGAGAAGATAGCATGGACCTTCTGGATTCCTCAGTCGTTCTGGGCAAGAACAGGTCCTCAGGGGAACTTCCAGTAAGCCTGGATCTCTCATGTATTATTTCCATGAGTTGCCACTCTCACATGGGGACTTTAACCAAGAAAATGAAGGGTGTAACTAAGACTGGCTGCTAAGCAACAGCCCCACTCTGGAAGTCCCTCTTCAAGTCATTGTGACATTGATTTGTGCAAGGCAGCATTGTGGTTTAAAGAGAGCCAGAGAGGCCTAATTTTTGAGAATGAGGTCCACTAATTACCAGCTCTGTGATCCTTGGCAAGTTGCTTATCCTCACAAGGTCTTGATTTCCTCACCCTGAAACCTGGGGACAATACTCACTAAGTAGGAGATAACCTATATAAAGTACATTGCCTGATGCTTGAAATATTCAGCTTGTTTTTCTTTTCCCGTACAGCTAAATGTTTAATAAATCAGTACAGAAGGCATCAGGAGACACCAAATATGGTCAGGACACCGCACAGCAATGATTGGGATGCAAGTCATCTACAGGCTCACCACCATTTGTCCTTCCTGGTAGAGAATGGACAAGAGACTTTTATAAATTTATGTCCTGTTTTTTAGACTATAGTGGGAAGGCAGAGAATTTCTCTTGCATGTGACTCTTTTCAGTTGCCTTCAAATCAAAATAATACTTATTTTGAGGTGGCATATTCTGGTCTCTTACATTGTATTCAAACGGGTTGCTGCTACTTCTCTATTGTTATTAATCTTTTTATCATCTTCTTATTCCTCTTAGCACAGTCGGGGCATAACATGTTATCTTCTATGCCTGGGGATGGGAAATTGCAGGCAGGTAACAAGAAGAGAGAATTCATCCTCCTGTGAGTGGTAGGCACCCAGGACTGACCTGCATGAAACTGCAGGCCTACCCAACCCTTTGTGTCTGCTGAGAGAAGTCTGCCATGGACCACACACCACCTGACGTGAGGGGTCAGCTTGTTAATTCCTATCTCACTTCCTTTACCACATTCATTTATTAATTCACCAAGTATTTATTCTCTTATAATATGCCAGGCCTTGTTCTAGGCAGTGAGAATGTTGCAGTGAACAGAAATGCCTTTCCTCATGGAGGTTAATACTAGTGAGGGAGGTAGACGATAAAAAAGGTAAATACGTTAAATGAATGGTAGGTCAGGTAGTGACAAGTGTCAAGAAAGGGCAAAAGAAGCACAGCAGGCAGAGGCAGAGAAAGGGGGTTTCAAAATCAGGTTGAGTGGCCAGGAAAGACCTCACTGAGAAGGTGACTTCCAGGAAAAGCCTGAAGAAAGTGAGGGAAAGAGTCAAATGGAAATCTATGGAAAGTGTGTTCTAGCTTGTATGAAGGCCCTGAGGCAACACATGCCTGGAATACTTGAGAAACAGCAAGAAGATGACATAGTTGGAATGGAGTGAGTGAGAATTGTTGGAGGTGAGGTCAGAGTGGTCAGGGGAGCTAGCTCATGCTCACCGTCTTTTTGCACATAGTAGGTGCACAGTAAACATGCATTTGAATGACCAATTAATATGTAAAAATAGGAAGAAAAATGGAGGGGACACTACTTGTTTTGGCTGCAATAATTTCCCTGTTCTAGAAATGGTGGCAGAATTCATCTTTGTGGGAAAATAGTGGCATTGAAAAAGGTGCTAGTTTTGAAAACCACTTTGATTTAGCCACTGGACACTAAGTTGTTCAAAGATGCTCTTCCTCAAAGCCAACAGCTGATGTCATGTCATTTTTTCATTAACTCCAGAGCCCCACATCCCCATGTCCCCCCTCAGTGCTATTTACTTTAGTAGTGACCTAAATAGGAAACTCCTTTCAAAAGCCACCCCCAAAATTTCTATGCTCTATTTTACTCCAGATTTCATCATTCTTTGACTAGAAATATAACGACATTACTAGTGATACCCACTTTTACTGTCTCTTGCCTTCCTCTGCTCATTGAAGACACAAGTCCCCCACTTCTGTCTTCAATCTTCAAGGCATGTCACAAAGGTGCTCAGTCAATCCATTGGCTACCATCGCCATGAGTGCCATTTTCCTATATTCTTTAATCCTATTCCAGCCTCATCTCATCAATGTTGAATTTAGATCCTGTCATCAACCCCATCCCTATTATCACTTTCCAATGGCTTCACAGCCCACTTACAATAAAATACAAACTTCTAACCATGTTTCAAGCCCTTGAATGATCTGACCCCTGCCTATTTCTTCCCTGTGCCCACCATCTCATGGCCATACTGGGCTTCTTGTATCTAACACTCCATGTTCATTTCCACCTCAAGGACTTTGTACTTAGTCCCTCTGCCCAAAACACACTTTTCCCAGATCCCAAAACAGACAACTCTTTTTGACTGTCAAGGCCATCTTGTATAGGACCTCCTCAGAGAAGCCTTCTGGGATTGCTCCAAATAAAGTAGTCTCCTCTTTTGGTCACTTTCTATCACTGTTTTATTTTTCTCATTTGTTCATTTGCTTATTTATCATCTAACACTTCCACTAGCAAAATATAATCCCCATGAGAGTAGAGTATGTCTTATTTACCACTATGTCTTCAGTACCTAGAATATCACCTGACACATAATAATCAATAAATGGTGTGAGTTTATGAATGAATGATGTTGCCCAGAGAGTGGTGTGCACCTCATCACTGCCACCAGTGTTGTCATCTCCCATGAGAACAATGTGGTGTGTGTCAAGGGAGGCAAGTAAAACATAGTAGATAAGACTGTGAGCTCTGGGGCCAGTCCACCTGGCTATGTATCTGGCTCTGCAACTACCTAGCTGTGTGATTTGGGGCAGGTTAATTAATTCATCTCTACTTCAGTTTCCTGGAGTTAACGTTATCCACCTCATAAAGTTGCTAGGAAAACTAAATAGGAAAATACATGTAAAACACTTAGAACAGTTTGACACATAGTAAGAATGCCAGAAAAAAAGAAATGAGCCCTTATATTCTCATTACATTATTTAGGTTTCTTTCATTTGCATGTAAAAGAAGCAAACTTTAGTCAGCTTAAGCAGCAAAGAGGAATTTATTATGTAATTATAGGGATATTTCACAAAATCCATAGGCAAAAGTGCATCTGGGCCTCAGGAAGGAACTATAATCAAGAGCTAGAAAGCTATTTATCTGGCCAGGCGTGGTGTCTCATGCCTATAACCCCAGCACTTTGGGAGGCCAAGGTGGGTGGATCACTTGAGGTCAGGAGTTTGAGACCAGCCTGACCAACATGGTGAAACCTCGTCTCTACTAAAAATACAAAAATTAGCTGGACATGGTGGCACGTGCCTGTAATCCCAGATACTTGGAAGGCTGAGGCAGGAGAATCACTTGAACCCGGGAGGCCGAGGTTGCAGTGAGCCGAGATCATGCCACTGCACTGCAGCCTGCTGATAGAGCGAGACTTCATCTCAATAAAAAAAAAAAAAAAAGAAGAAGAAGAAGAAGAAGAAGAAAGCCGTCTATCAGTAAATGTTCTCTCTCATCTCACATCCTGGCTTTTGTCTGTAGCTCAGCTCTGCATGTAGGACAACTTTTCCTTCCCCCTAGTCCCTCGCTACAGCTCCTGAGCTTACATATTGCAGACCCACCCACACGAGTGATGACAGGCAATTCCTTGTTCCGAGCTGCAAATTCTGAGGTGTGATAATCTTATTGGCCCTCTTGAGCCTGATGTCTATCCCAGTCTATCAGCCAAGCCATGGGAGGGGGTATGCATACAAGCACAGCAGCTGGTGGCCACCACTACGATTCCAATGGTAGGTGTCATCTCCTGAGAAAGGGAGCCTGGCTGGCCCATGGGCTAGGCAGAAACCCTAAATGGAGTCTACTGCACAAATCTTCCCGAAGCTGCCAGTCCACTTCAGTAGAAGTGGAGAGGATGTCCCAGTCTTCCACTCCTTGAGCAAGCCAGGCAGCACTGCTTATGTCCCCCAGTCTTACAGAAGCACTTCAGCTCCTTCCTGAGGAAAATTGCCTGGTGACAGACCTATCCTCTTCATATCCTCATCCCTCCCATGCACCAAACATTCAGACATTTCCTCCTTACAGCTTCCAACCTTCATGCAGATGAACACAGGCAGATAGAAGACTGTGGCGCTGTTAGCTCCACCACTTCCTCTCACACTCTACTCCACCACTCCACCCCCATGCATAGCCCCTATTTTCATATCTGGAAGAGGTTTCCACCCAAATCACTTAAAAGCAAGGACAGTCATGTTTTGACTGCTGATTTTATTGCAGGACTTTAGGTAGGGGCAACATGTCCTAAGCAAAAGAGACTGGAACTCTAGGGAATATAGACCAGGTCAGGTTTATGCCCAGTTGCAGCAATCACAGCTGGTGTCGAAGACAAGCCCGGCCTGGCAGTTCTGCTGGTACGTGACTCCATTCACGCAGTGCCAGAAGGCATTTCTGTTATTTGCCACGGGGTAGAGGCCGTTGGCTCTGACAGCACAGAATCCACTGCCTCCCGAGCTGCCTCCAGAGCTGCTACTCCCGCTCCCGTTCCCGCTGCCACTGGGAGCAGCAGTTATTGGCTCAATGGGCTGAGCTGGAGCCGTGCAACCTGAAACATACAGCAGTAAGAGCAGACTAGTGGGCTTGGGAGAGGCTCTAAGCTTCACCTAGAGGTGAAGAGAACTGTGGGAGTGGAAGTGTGGAGGTGGGGTGCAGTTGGCTCTGGATCCCTGCAACTGAGAAGAGAAAGTAGCTCCATATTCAGGAGATAAATAAAGCTATTGTGTCAAGCCAGCCTGGCTTTTAATTGTAAAAAAAGGTTGCTCTTTCCTTATAACATCTAAATCATTCAAAAAAAAATTTACTAACCACCAAATGTATGCAAAACACTTTTCTAGAATCTGGGCATAAATGGTGAACAAATAAATTCTAGGAAAAATCTGGAAAAAATTTAGAGAATTGATACATCCCCTGAATCACTGATTAGAGATATGTGAGCATTGGTGAGGGTTTCTTAAATCTCCCCAGGTGGGCTGAGAAAGATTTTGAATAAGGGATTCATAGAGAAGCAGATACTTATATTGATGTTAGTATAATTTCTTGAGGCTCTTCCACACCCTTAAGACTTAGCAGACTTAGAACACCCACCCAGTTAGGCCTGGCTTCCCATAAGTGCACAATGTTCCTGACATGGCCGTTCAAGGGTAAAACCTGTCTCTCATCTGGGCAAGAGCGGTGAGGTGAAGTGGAAAGAGGATCCCTGGGCAAGGGGGAGGTGGGAAGACATCAGGGTTGCTTTTTGAGTTGGAGAAGGGGTATTTATACACCTGGGCATTCCCCCTCAGTCACTTACTTGCACTCTGCAGGCCGAGGGCCTTCTTCAGGGTGGAGATTAGGGGAAACTTGCCCTGGTTGCAGAAAGTGCCAGTGAAGTCATCCAGATCAATGGCCCAGACCATGGCGCCTCCAAATTTGTTGTGCTTAAGCCATTGAGCCTGTTTAAAGAAAGAGGATAACAGGAATCACTTGCTTTCCTGGGACTCAGGGCTGGGACCTCAGCACATTTAAGGGACTGATCTTACCTTAATATCGAAGCTCTTGATGTTGTCATAGCCAACCCACACATTGCCCTGATAGGCATAAGGCACTTCCTGAGGGGCATCCCATCCCTGAGTGGCTCCATTTTTCAGGAAGGTACAGATCTTTCAAAAGTCAAGAGATTCAAATCTATTAAATGTTACTCCCATTAAAGAAAAACATGTTTCAAATTTTTCTTCTTTCATGTCTCCAGTTGGGGTTTTGCTCAATTTCTAGTTACAGGTTTTTATTTGTAGTAAAGAGGATCAAGTTGCTTGTCAAATGATTTTGGGAACCCACAGTAATATGAGAGGTATATTTATTTTATTACCTGTGTGCTAATATAAATTACATTTAAAAGGTAGTCTGTTGTGTGAAGGGATATTATGCATTGTTAAATGCTATTCATTTGGATTATGTAAATGAATGCTATTTAAACACTTTAAGCAGCTGTGTTTAAAGCATTTAGGTAGGAGACAGAATGAACATTCAAGATTTCAGCAGATTCTAGCCCTAAGGCACAGTGCACGGAATTCACAGAGCACTTTTCAGTCCAATCTACATACCTCGTAGTAAGCCCAGATCCCAGACTCCTTGGCATAGGGCCCAGCAGGACCAGCACCAGAGGTGGGGGCACCAATTCCAGTGTTGGAGGGGTTGCTCAGGATGAAGTTGTGTCCATAGGTAGGGAATCCAACGATGAGCTTCTCAGCTGGTGCTCCATTGTCCTTCCAGTAGTTCATGACATAATCCTGCAATGTCAGTGGGTTAGTTACATGGCCCAACCAGCTGAGGACCCAGTACTTAGTTATATTAGTCCCCTATTCCGACAGGTAAAACTCTATGCTGTTAATTCCAGATGGATTAGTATTTTTTTCAAAACATTTTGGTGAAGTTGTAGTTAATGAAATACGATCAACTTGAGGACAGTTGTTTAAGTGAGACACTTGCAGAATTTATGTTTACTTTGTGTCCCAGTCTCTGTGTGAAATTAAATGAGAATATTTAATTAATTATGGCAGCCTAATTTCCCATTTGAGAAAACCACTAAACTTATGATGCCTTTTGTGCCTGAATCTCTATGTGATTTTCATCATCATCTCTGGTCTGCTCTTGCATCTGTACAGGGACTCACCACATTGAGGTAGGCGTTGCTGCCGGTGTCAGTCGGGTATTTGTAGAGGGGGCTGTTCTCTCCAGTGTAGCCCTCCCAGGAGCCATGGAGGTCGTAGGTCATGACATGGATGTAGTCCAGGTACCTGAGGTGGGGTGGAGGATTTAAAATCATTCTGATGGTCATTTCCCACACCTATGCAGGCACAGGACACCACTTCTAAAGTCTCCTAAACAAGGTCCCTGAATAGCAAGCCAGACCAAGGACAAGTCTAGTGTGCCCGAGTGACACCTCCAGGAGTTTGAAGATAAGGCACATCACTCACTGTGACAGTTGGGGGATCTCATAGCCAGACTGGATATTGGAGATGCCAGCAGCTACTGCAGCAGTGACCATCAGCCTGGGCTTGTTGATCTGCTTGGCCTCCTGCTCAAAAGCTTCACGCATTTCCTACAGAATAATAAGGCATAATAGGACATCTATGATGCTGATTTTAGCTCCTTAAATAATACTAATAAACATATGTCTGTATAATGCTTCTCTCTCTTAAATTGCTTTCACATATTTTATTTTACTTTAGTCTCTCAACAACCAAATAAAGTAGATCGGATAGATAATATTATTGAATTTTCTGGCTATCTAATATGCATAAGAGTTAGGACACTTCACCAAAGTCCCACACTGAGTTAGTAGGTAGGTCATGACCAAAACCCAGGTCCCAGATGACCATCAGGGCTCCATTGTATCTCTATACTTTGAAGCTCTAGTTGCAGTGATACCCTACATCCAGCAGTATAGAAATTTGTTTCATAAAGTAGATGAACTACTTTATAGGACTGACATCCCATCAAATAAAATGGTGTATTGGCCAATAAGGAAGGTGGTAACAGCTAGATGATAGGTTCCCATTCAATACTAGAGATTAATCCACCTGTATCTGTGCGACTGTAATCTCATTTGGAGTACTGGGTTTAGTTCTTATAATTGCACTATTAGGGTGCGCCAGAGTATGTTCCAGTGAAGGCTGGCTCTGAAAATTGTCATGCGGTTATTGATTGAAGGCATTAAGATATTTAACTGGAATAAGAGAAATTATAGGCAAGGTATTTACAGCTGTCTTAAGACATTAAGCCCATATATTGCAAAAGATGCAGTCTTATTCTCTGTTGCTTCAGCAGGAAGAACTAGAAACAATGACCAGAAGTTATAAATTATGACTAGAGGCATGTTCCAGCCAAGAAAGAGATATTCCTTTATGATCATTAGGGCAATTCAACAAGTAAGTAAATTGACTTTTCACCTATTACTTAACATTGAAACTATTCAGAGGCTGGGTGACGATCTGTTACATAGAATGGAATAGCAAACAATCTGTCTTGGGAGACAGTAAGTCTAAAAACCAAGTATATCAAGCTTTTTTGTCCTGAACTCCAGATTGATATTTATCTGATGCCTACTGGGCACTCTGTTAGGATGCTCTACAGATACCTCATACTCATCAAGTTCAAGGTCAATTCTTCTTCTTTCAAATCTACACTTCTTCCTGTATTTACCATCTTAGTTAATAGCATTAAAATCAAACCCATCCTCAAAGTCAGAAAATTGGAGGTCCTCTCCATTTCCTATTTCCAGTTGATCTCCAAATCCTATTGATTCTATCCTCTTGATATCTCTTATATACATCCTCTTCTTCCCTCAGTGTTAGAGCCTTTGTTGGGGCCCTGATCATTTCTTGCTTGATTTACTGCAATAACCTCCTAATTCTATCCATGACTTCTCATCTCCTTCTAATTTATCCTCTATGGTAAAAGCCAGCTCTCTACTATTTAAAATTCTTCAAAACAGTCCCATTGTGTCAAAGGTAAAGTGCAAATTCCTGAACATAATATAAAAGTTCTCACATTATCTGGTTCTTCATGCAACTTCACAGCCATTATCACCCACTTGCTCACACTTATCTGTATATCATTTGTGCCATTCCCATCCTCACTTAATTGGTTAACACCAGTTTCTTTCAAGACTGAGCCCAAGCATCACTTTCTCTAGGAAACACTTTCTGATCCTGCCCCAGAGCAGAATTAGTTACCCTCTTTCCTTGTTACTTTTGTACTCTGCAGACCTCTAACATGGCATTTATCACAATGCATTGCCATTGTTCATATTCTTTCAGTCTTCCACCTCAGAAGAAGTTCTTCAAAGCCAAGGATAGTGTCTTATTCTTATATTTAGCCTGACAATGTCTGCCACAGAATATGTACTCAGTAATAACGGGCAGCCTAGTGTAATGCTTAGAAGCAATGGACTCTGTGGCCAAACTGCAGAGGAAGTTATGATTCCTACTAGTTGTGTGATCTTGGGCAAGTTGCTTAAATCCTCTCTGTACTTTAGTTTCCTCATCTGTAAAATAAAGATTATAACACTTATAGTATGTATGCCATAGAGTAAATATGAAGATGAAATGAGTTATGGTTCTTAAAACAACATGTAGAGCAGTGCCTGGCACAGAGCTCACATGTTGCTTTGTTGTTGCCATTAAATGTTTGTTTAATGAACGCACGATATATAAGACTCTTTGCAATGCTAATATTCTATCAGTTTAAATTCAAGTTTTGTTTTACCCTAGAGCCACCCAATTCTCCTCGGAAAGAAAGACTTTGAATCTTTTTGGGCTAAAGACTGGGACTTCCTTCCCCACCTGCACCAGGACAGTGAAGAGATGCTTGTCCTGAGGAGGGCTCCCACGAGAGCCAGGGTACTCCCAGTCAAAGTCCAGCCCGTCAAACTCATACTGGCGCAGGAATTTGATGACTGAGGTGATGAAAGTCTGGCGGTTCTCAGGAGTAGAAACCATGGCAGTGAAACTGAGGGAGACCCAAAGAAGGCAGGGTGAGACCTTGGTGGTCCCAACACCTTGGAGTAAAATCAAGCTCTCAATTCCTGCCTCAGAGCCCTTCATCAGGACCCACAGCCCAGAGTAAAGCATGTTCTTGGTTTTCTCCTCTCCTTCCTTTGTAATCACTACTCTTCCCAGCCATGGTATCTTAACATTCCCTTTATTCTGTTATCCCCCCAACTCTGCTCTTTCTCCCAAGTTGCCCTTGTTTCTTTGGATACCTGGCAAACCCAGCACACTGTGTTCCCTCCCCAAACATGTACCCTCCAAGAAGTCCTCTTGTTTATTTGTGTGATTTTCTCATTCCTCCCCCCACCAGAAGATAAATAGAGGGAAGCATTATAACACTGTCCTCAGGGTTTGTACTCTTGAAATACTTTAAGAAGAGGTTGTTTGGGAACCTCAGTAAGTAAACCTCTGTGGATAGGGCCCCCAAATGTCCACCAAATTAAATGTATGAAATAAATTGTGTTCCACTTAATAATGAGGTTCTGGTGTAGCAATATATTTAATTCATATATTTGTTTATGTACATCCTCAATACCCTGTCTTAGATTGTGAAGTCTAAAGGGACAGTGATCACATGGGGCTAACTTGTTTTCCATAGCAAACGAACAACATGCTCTCCATAGAAGACTTACGGGGCAGTCCCGAAGTTCCAGCCTCCAATGGCCAGGAGAGTTTTCAGCTGGCTGTTCCTGTAAAACAAAGGATAGAAACAGATAAACTTCAAAAGTCAGGACTCCCTCCATTTAAAATACATTGCTTTAGTGTTGGATCTGGTCAGATATTTTTGTTTTGCCTTTTGTAGAACAATTTTCCTCCCCTACTGAAAACTTCCTTTATAAAAATTCTTTGTGTTGTTCCTGTCATGAATGCACTCAGGGTTCCCTAGGGAAATCTAAATTTTGAAACTGGGCTTTAAAAAATATTGTGTGTTGGCAGTATCTTTGATTGTGTAAGTTTAAAAAACATGAATAGCTAATATAATATTCTATTCTATCAGATAAAATGGTAAATGTTGCTTGAGCTTAATTACATTTTTAGCCTCTGTAATGTTAAAATAAATTAATTGGCTTGAAATTATACACATTCTCTTGAATAGAGATTCCCAAACATTAACATACATAATAATTAAGTGCAAGGGTTGTGGGAGGACAACATGAAAAATCTGGGTTTATCGCCCCTTCCCCTGAGATTCCAATTCGGTTGGATTGCAGTAGGGACTAACACTTACTCAGGTACCTCACATGATTTTGAGGCAAGTAGTCAATGGAGCACACTTCAAGAAACACTGCCGTAAAGGAGTTTATTTACTCTTAGTCATTGTAACTTAAATTCTAGTAGCTGTATTCACGATAATGCCATTACTGATAGTAGCAATCACCTGTAGCTTTCCTTCTCTTAAATATGACTAAACTGAACAAAGTCAACTCAGAATGGATTAAAGATCTAAATTTATGACCTCAAATTGTAAAACTACTGAAAGAAAACCTTAAAAAAAAGCTCCAAGAGCTACAGCAAGAATTTTTTGGATATGACTGGAAAGTGCAGCAACAAAAGCAAAAATAGACAAATGGGATTACATCAGGCTAAAAAGCTTTTGCATGACAAAGGAAACAGAGTGAAGAGACTACCTATGGAATGGGAGAAAATAGTTGGAAACCATATGTCAAGTAAGGAGTTAGTTAGTATCAAAAATATATAGGAAATTTATACAACTCAGTAGTAAGAAACCAAATAACCTGATTAAAAAATGGGCCAAGGACTTGAAAAGACATTTCTCAAAAGAAGACATACCAATGGTCAACAAGTGTATAAAAAATGCTCAACATCACTAATCATCAGAGAAATACATATCAAAATCAAATGAGATACCACTCAATCCGCTTAGAATGGCTGTTATCAAAAAGATGAAAGGTAAGTGTTGGAAAAGACATGGAAAAAAAAGGAACTCTTGCCCACTGTTGGTGGGAATGAACATTAGTATACCCATTATGGAAAATAGTATAGATGTTCCTCAAAAAATCAAAGAAATAACTACCATATGATCCAGCAGTTACACTACTGGGTTTACATCCAAAGGAAATGAAATCAGTGTGTTGAAGAGATATCTGAATTTCCATGTTCATTGCAGCACTATTCACAGTAGCTAAGATGTGGAATCAATCTAAGTGCCCCTCAATGGATGAATGGACAAAGAAAATGTGGTCTTTATATACAATGAATACTATTAAGTCTTAAAAAAGAGGCAGAAATCCTGTCATTTGCAGCAATATGGATAAACCTGGAGGATATTATGTTAAGTGAGATAAACCAGGCACAGAAAGACATATACCACATGATCTCACTTATAAGTGGAATCTAAAAGAAGTTGAACTCATAGAAGTATATAGTAGAATGGTCGTTAGCAGAGGCTGGGGGTGGTGTGGGGATGGGGGTTGGGGGGCATGTTGGTCAAAGGATACAAAATTTCAGTTAGAAATGAGGAATAAGTTGCAGAGGTCTATTGTACAACATGGTTACTATTGTTAGTAACAATATATTGTATTTTGAAAATTGCAAACAGTACATTTTAAGTGTTCTCACCACAAAAAACATTAAGTATTTGTGGAAATGCATATGTTGATAGTTCGATTGAGCCATTCCGCACCGTATACATATTTCAAAACATTACATTGTCCATAGTAAACACATACAATTTTTGTCAGTTATAAAAGAAAAATGAAATGCAGAGTCTTGGTCCCCATCTCAGATCCATGGATCTGAACTACATTTTAAGAAGCATTAATGTTTGGGAAGTACTGAAAAAGGGGATGCCAAATTAAATATCTCCCTCATCCTACTTATTTTTCAGGCCATTGAAAGCTTGGTAGAGAGTCACATCATTCCATTCGATGGTGGTGATCTCGTTGTTCTGCCTCCCAGCAAAGGCGTAGATCAGGTGGGTACAGAGGCAGGGGTCGATGTTGTCAGGCATGAAGCGCCCCAGGCCTGGCCGGTACTGGGCCCAGTTGGTGAAGTAGCATGTCAGCTGGTAGGCAGAGCCTGTGTGTAGTCAGCAGGAGGGACAATGGCCTGGTTTAGGATCCACTGAAGTGTGCTGTGAGTTTTGGCCTTGCCTCTGTTTCCCTCCCTGTGCCTCAGATGCCTGATCTCTGTGTGGAGGTAATTAGTATGAACACTCTTGCAAATGCATCCTAAGATTCTAACTCAGAACTGGTCACTAACTTGGAGTTGTTTATTTTTAACTTTCACAGACTCATTTTGGGATTTTGGATAAGCCTAGCTAGCAGCCTTCTAAGAAAAGATGCCCATAGTCCTATGAAGCCCAGTGAGTACCAGTTTATAATTCAGATGGTCATGCTGAAGAGGATAGCAGTGACAGCCAATCCAAAACACTAGATTACTCCCAAATCAAACCCATCTGTCTGTGAAGCAAACAGCGGCTCTCTTTCCATAGTATGGTTTATCTCGTATATATACATTCAATGATAAAACATGGAGTCCATGACTTACCGAGCTGCAAATTCAGTATAAGGACAAGACCTGGATAGAAAGAAAAAGCATGTACTTTGAACCGATTGTCTGTACCCCGTAGAATCTAATTCTGAAGGATTGATTGCCTTCCAATTTGCCATAAATTGTTACAACCTCAGTGAGATTTGGTGGTGATTCCAAAGGCTTTTCAGTGAATACAACAGTAGATCTACCTTTCCCCACCTTTATCAAAAATGACCGTGGTACCTTCGTCTCACACCTTTCTTGTCACAAATAAATGTTCCTGAATGCTGAGTCCGAAGTTTACTATCTATGGAAGATGTACTTACTGAAATCACCAACTGATCACTGTAGTCAATGATGACACATCCATTCGTTCTTCCCCTACCTGAGTGATAGAACACAGCCTTCCAACAGATAAGGCATCTGCTAAATCAGAGAATTCAGTATCTTCTGGCCTTTAGTGGTTTTTTGGAATGACTTTCAGGAGGCCTTATATGAGGAGAGAAGAGCTAGGAACTATGGGGTGAGACTCCAGATACCTTTCCCTGACTTCTACAAAGCAATTCTTCTACTCTGATTGTTTTATAAATTGAGCTTGAGGTTTCATTTGGAAAAGGTTCTGAAGCTTAAACAGTTTGCAAATCCCAGCTCTAGAGCAACTAATAAATTCTTGGTATGACTTGTCTCTAAACAACTTACTGAATCAACCTCTTTGAATAATTTAATTTCTAACATGTTTATGGTACATCATCAACTCAGTAGGATAATAGGGGAGTAAATAGAGAAATAATTCTGAAAACAGCAGAACAAAGACAACTTGCATAACTCTATCTCAGTTCCTACTGATTTTCTTCCCCAGAAAAGCTAGTCCAAGGACACAAGCAAATAAATAAACATTATTCCAATTAAAATGAGATGGCGTAGGAAGAAGAGTAAAGAAAAATGAATGGCTGAACAAAAGATGAAAGAGTAAGACTAGCACTAGGAGAAAGTATGCTTTTCCTTTAGGACCAGGTCCATGGGATTAACAAAAGCAGAAATGTTACCAGAGTCAGTTGAAGTTAAGAGAACAAGAGGCAGACTGATTTGTATATAACAAGATTCATTTGAAATTTGAAATGATGAAAGAAGAATGGAAAAGTATAGGGATGTAGTATGAAGACCACTTCATGATTTTCAGAGCCTGTGAGAGAAAAAGAAACTAGATAAGATGAAGGGTCAATCTCTGATTACAAACCCACCTGTGAGGAGAATAAGCTTTGTCATGGTTGCAGTCAGCACCAGTCCCGCAGAGCTTTTTATATGTTCTGATTCTGTGGTTATCACAAAGGCTTCTAAATAGAGAACAATTTGACCCAGATGTGTATGTAGTTAATCAGTAAATCAACGGACCTTCTCTTCTACAAACACCCTCCCAAGACCTTCAACCTACACCCTCCCACCACCAGCATCACCACCTTCTCTGCCCAACAAGGACAGAACAATGTCATGGCTCCTAACAGGGTGGTGGAGACCATCACCATGGAAAACACCAGTTTAATAGCTTTTTTGGCAGTTCCAAGGGCTGATAAGCAACTGTTTAGATACTGTGGTCAGATTTTCTATTGTGGACATTTTGTGTCTGGCATCAAAGCAAGTCTTTATGGAAAAATAAATAAAAAGAAACTTTGGAAGTTATTAGCTGTTCTTAAACCTTTTTTTCCTCATGGAATTATTCATATGTAATTTGTACAATCAGTGCCTAAGAAATCTTCCTTCTTTAGGTGCTACTCTCTCAATATTCTACTCACACATGTTCTTTGGAATGGCTTCAAGTCATGACTAAATGATAATTTTATCTAAGAATGTTTGGATCTCAAAATGTCCCCTATAAAGGTCACCAAGAACTCTCTAGTGTTCTGTAGTTTCAAATTACATCCCCTAAAAACTGCGTTGCTAATGGATAGAAATAATATAGATGATATTGAAATGAGTCTCTTCATAGAAATATTTGCAACTTGACCGTTTCTGGAACTTTGTATTTAAATTAACTCCAATCTACCCCTTCCAAACATAATTCACTACCATTGTTCTATAATACATTTCTCTTTTGGCCAAAGGACTATTCTTTGCCCTCAAACATGCCTTGCATGTCTTTGCTCAAGGTATCCCTCCACTCCTTGCCTGTAATGTCTTGCCTGCAGTGTCTCCTTATCCTCACTGCCTATCCCAATCTTAGCAGTTCTTCAAAGTCCAACTCAGATCTTTTCTATCTTAATGCTCTCTCCTTCTTTTGATTTACTTTATGTACTCTAGCACATATTTTCTGTATTGCTTATATGATGCTGTCTTGTGACAATACCAGGAATGCAGTTGGCGGGAATATGGGTGATCATTATGGGATTTCAGCACCTTAGCAGAGTTCTTGTGAGTCCAGACAGGTTTATCCATTTATCACATTTGGAAACTAAATTGTATCCATTCTTCCTGTGATTGGTAGGTTAAGTGTTTTGTTCTACTCTCAGAACCAGAGAAAGTCTAATAGAAGTGCTGCCAGGAAAAATTTTTATTTTATTTTAGTTCCAGGGTGCATGTGCAAGGTGTGCAGGTTTGTTACATAGGTAAACATGTGCCATGGTGGTTTGCTGTCCCTATTAACCCATCACCTAAATATTAAGCCCAGCATGCGTTAGCTATTTTTCCTGATGCTTTCCCTCGTGCCACCCCCACTGACAGGCCCTAGTGTGTGTTGTTCAGGGAACATTTCAATTGTGAAAATAATCATATCAACAAACACTACAAGTGCCTACTATGTGCCAGAGACTGTATTTGGTGCTTATATCACTTAGGCTTTAATTTTGTAAGCAATCAAAACCAACTCTAAGAAGCACAAATCAATATATTTGAAAGACATGAAGAAACTCACAGAATCAAAAAGAATACAGAACCTGCCTCTAATACAATAGAAACCAAGTCTTTCTATGGGGAGGGGTGTGGGAGGAAGGCTTAGGAGAAATAAACTCCAATTTTATTTTCCATCTATGAATGACAAGAATTAAATCCTGGGGAAAAAGCATATTGTTGTATGACACCAGACCCTCAATTAGGGAAAGGGCAGGGCACTTGGATTTACATTTTCACAAGGACTGGTCACAAAATGAAATTCTAAAAGAATAAAAAGTAAAGCTGAGTGACTAAAAAAAATGACTATCATCAGAGGGCTTGACTTTATTGTTTCTTTTACCCTATAAAGAGGATTATTACTATCACACCAATTTTGCTGATGAGAAAATTAATCAGCTATTAAACACCAGATCCAGATCCCTGTGTTAAGTACGCAAGCTTTTGGCCCAAGTTAAACTGAGTGAGGCATTTTCCCAAGGTAGTCAAGAGAATACAGTTGAGCCAAAGAGAATGTCAAATCAAAGTCAAGGATTTGCAAAAACAAACAGCAAAGCCAGTAGCTCCAGGTTTATCGTATTCAGGACTATAGGGTGTAGCTACCATTTATAGCTAGTGAGGTATTTTCTATTGAATTTGGCATCCCCAGTTCTAAATAAATGACATGACCTACAGATTAAACATTTCTTTTTAATAGCTCCTTAAGAGCCCCAGCAAACTTGCATCCCATCTGAGCACTTGGTTATTGGAAAGAATTACTGCGTTTATGAGTCATAGAATGAATAGTTTTAAACTGTGACCATGTGTATCCTTTTACATTATTGTTTTCAATAACCTTGTATTATTTTTAGTTTCTTTAATTGTAAAATCTACCATACACATGAGTTTAGGTATACATTTTAAGAAAAATATGGCCAAGCCTGGTGGCTCACACCTGTAATCCCAGCACTTTGGGAGGCCAAGGCGGGTGGATCACCTGAGGTCAGGAGTTTGAGACCAGCTGGGTCAACATGGTGAAACCCCGTCTCTACTAAAAATACAAAAATTAGCTGGGTGTGGTGGCAGGTGCCTGTAATCTCAGCTACTTGGGAGGCTAAGGCAGGAGAATTGCTGGAACCCGGGAGGCGGAGGTTGCAGTGAGCTGAGATAGTGCCATTGCACTCCAGCTCAGGTGACGACAGCGAGAATCCATCTCAAGAAAAAAAAAAAAAAAGTAAAAATGAAAACCTTTTCTCCATCACCTAACTTAAAAAATAACATTAACTTTGACTATTACCCTACATACTTCTCCCCAGTTAAATGCTCCTCATTCCCCTGGAGTAACCACTATTCTGAGTTTTGAACTATTTTCTTACTTCATTTATAGTATTATCACATATGTCTGTTTCCCCAAATGATACATTCATTAGTTTTATATTCACTTATTATAATCACTTTATTATATTAGTTTCAACATATTCATTAGTCTTGACTTTATAGAAATGAAATAATACCATATGCATTCTTCTATTTCTTGCATTTTTAGCTCAGCATTGTTTTTGAGATTTATCCACTTGGTACAAGTAGCAGCTGTTCACTTATTTTCATAGCTCTATGGTATTCCATTATACAAATATGCTGTGATTTACTTATCCTTTTTATGTGTAACAACATATGCTTTATTTTCAGTATTTTTCTTCTACATGCTGCTATATAAGCGTTCCTGTACACATGTCTCTTGGTACTCATTTACAACAGTTTTTCCAGTGTTTACACCTAGGAATGGAATTGCCCAGTGAAATAACACATGCATATTAAAATTTACTATTTAGCTAGAAAGTTTCTTCCAAAGTAGTTATATCAATTTACACTACCAACAGCAACGTATGAGAATTCCTATCACTCCACATCTTTGCCAAAACTGAATCATCAGACTAAAATTGCCAAAACTTAATCATCAGACTAAAATTTGTGTCATTAAGGTGAGTAGTTTTAGTTTATATCTATCAAATTACTGATGTGGTTGAGCATTTTTGACATTTATTGGCTGTTTTTGTTTCCTTTTCTGTGAAATGCCTGCTTGTATCTTTTGCCCATTTTTCTATTGTGCTGCCCACAAGTTTATTAATTTTTATAGCCATGCTTTATATATTCTGGATTGTAATTATTTTTCAGTTACGTGCATTGAACATATCTTTTCCAACTTTATGGGTTATTTTTTCACTCTCTTTATGGTGCCTTATAATGAAAATAAATTCTTAATTTTAATAAAGTCAAATGCACACCACTTGTTCTTTATAGTTTGATTTTTTGGAATCTTATTTGAAAAATTTCTCCCTACTCTGAGAATGTAAATATCCTTTATATTTTCTTCTAAAATTTTAAATGTCACCTTTAAATTTGAGCTCTTAATTTATCAAATTTATCTTTTGTGTGTAGTGCATAGACTTGATCCAATTTCATTTTTTCCATGTGGGTAACTACTTGCCCCAGCATAATTTTAATAACCCATCTTTTCCACGCTAATTTGAAATGCCATTTCTACCACTCCTCAGACCTGTCATAGCTAATGGTATCCCACCCTCCAACTCACACACACTGTTTATCATCTTCAGGAATGCCTTAGTTTTCTTGGCCTTTTACGCTTTCATTTTAGTTTTATCATAAAAATCCCATAAGAAACCCCATTGGAATTTTGATTGGAATTACATGGAATAACATTGGAAAAAATGAAAATCTTCATGATTTTAAGGTTTTCCATGAAAATGGGTTGCCTGTCAAGTTATTTACATCTTTGAAAGTGTCTGTTAATAAAGTTTCATAACTTTCTCCATAGTAGTCTTTCACATCTTAAGAAATTACAGATCTTTTATATATTTTGTCTCTGTTATAGATGGTACCATTTTAAACTGCATCTTCTATTTATTACTTGTTTCTATAAATGCAATTAATCTTTATATAAAAACTTTAATTCCAGCAATATCACTAAACATGATTATTAGCTTAAATACTTTTCTACGCATTTTTTGGTTTCTATGTCATCTGAGAATAATGGCAGCTTTCTTTCTTCTTTTCCAATATGCTTAGCTTAAAGGAGAATCACATAAAAGGAAAATGAGGAACGAATTCTGAGAAGATGGCAAAGTAGAAAGCACCAGGAATCTGTCTCCCTTCCTAGACAAAAATTTTACTGGCAGAATTTGTCTGATGCAACTACTTTGGAACTCTAGAGTCTATTAAAGGCTTGCAACTTCAGAAGAAAGCTTCGTAGGTAAATTGAAGTTAATTTTAGTCAATTTCAGTTCTTAGCACAGTAGCAGATATTCTTCCCCCACCACTAAGCCCCAAGGCAGGCAGCTGTGCATGTGTTCCAGGAGCAGCTTATACAGAGCTTGTGGGAGCCAGGGTGGGCAAAAAAGGACTATGTCCTTCAACTATCAGAGATCTGTGCTCTTATCACTGATTGCTGCTTCTGATTACAAAGGTGCAGACAAAGAGGTAGGCAGTCATTGTTCTTGCACCTCCCCCCATTGTTGCAAGCTACTTCCCCTCTGGATGAAGTAACATTTGGGCAATGTAAAGGGTTGGCACCATTCTTATCTTTCCTTTATTTTTCTCTTTCCAACATTTGGAAGCCAGACATCAAACACTAGGACATTAAAAAACAACTGTATATACTGGGAGAATTAGAAAGTCACTGCATATGCCCAAGGAAAGGCTCAGAAAAGACCTGTGAAGATCTTAAGTTTATATTTCAGGCTTATTCTCAGCACAGAGATACCTTACAACAAAAACAACAAAACAAAACCCCAAACCAAAGCCAAGTGCAGTGACCTGTAATCCCAGCTACTGTGGAGGCTGAGCTGGGAGGAGATTTGAACTCAGTAGTTTGAGGCCAGCCTGAGCAACACAGAAAGATCACATCTCTAAAAAATAAAAAATACAAAAAAGACAAGAAACCAAAACAGTAACAAAAAACCCCCAGCAAATTCTGGGGAAAGGGGAGAATCTGCTTTTCAGAGATACCACATTATTAGATTCAAATGTCCAGTTTTTAACCAAAAATCACAAGGCATACAAAGGAACAAGAAAGTATAGCTCATTCAAACGAAAAAAATAAATCAACAGAAATGTCTCTGAAAAAGACCTGATGGCAAATATGCTAGGCAAAGACTTTAGAACAACTGTCTTGAATATGCTCTAAAAAAAGGATGTAGAGAATGAAGAAAATGATGTATGAACAAAATGTAAATTTCAATAATAAGATTTTTAAAAATTTGGACAAAAACAGAAAATAAATTCTGGAGCTAAAAAGTAATATAACTGAAATGGAAAACTTACTAGAAAGGTTCAAGGGCAGATTTGCACTGACAGGAGAAAGAATTGGTAAACATGAAGATAGGAGAGTGAAAATTATTAAGTTTGAGGAACAGAAAGAAAACAAATTGAAGAACACTGAAGAGAGCCTAAAGGACATGTGAAAAGCCATCAAGTGGACCAACATATACATTGTGGGAATTCAAGAAAAATAAAAGAGAAAGAAAGGAGCAGACAGAATATTTTAAAAGATAATGGCCTAACACTTCCCAAATTTGATGAAAGACATGTATATAGACATCCAAGAACTCAGCGAACTCCAAGTAAGATGAACTCAAAGAAATCCACGCAAGACACAATATAATCAAATTTTAAAGGACAAAGGCAAAGAGAGTCTTGAAATCATCAAAAGAGAAGCAACTGGCCACATACAAGGGATCTTCAATAAAATTATCAGCAGATCTCTCATCAGAAACTTTAGAGGCCAGAAGGCAGTTGGCAGATAGATTCAAAGTTCTAAAAGAAAAAAAGTGTCAACCAAAAATCTTTTTTCTGGCAAAACTATCCTTCAAAACAAGGGATAACATGAGACATTTCTAGATAAACAAAAGCTGATGTAGTTTGTTACCAATAGACCTGTCCTGCAGGAAATACTCAAGGGAGTCCTATAGGATGAAATAAACAGACACTAGACAGCAACTTGCTGCCATATGAATAAACAAAGTTCTCAGTAAAAGTAAACACATGGGCAATTATAAAAGCTAGTATTATTGTAACAATGGCTTGTAACTCCACTTTTTGTTCTCCACATAATTTAAGAGACAAATGCATTTCAAAGAATCATTAGTTTACATTTTGGAACACACAATGTATAAAGATAGTATTTTATGCCATCAACAACTGAAAGGGGTAGGGAATGGGGCTGTAAAAGAGCAGAGTTTTTTTAAGTTATTGCAGTTAAACCTGTGTAAATTCAAATTAGAATGTTATAACCTTAGGATATTAAATGTAATCCCCATTGTAACCAATGGGGAAGAAAATAGCTATATATGTGTGTGTATTCATATGTGTGTGTATATATATGTGTGTATGTATATATGTATATGTGTGTATACATGTGTATAGATGTATATGTGTGTGTGTGTATAAGGAAACGAGAAAGAAATGTAAACATTTCACTACGAACAATCAACTAACCACAAAGAAAGACAATAATGCCAGAAATGAGTGACAAAAAAGCTAAAAGGCATATAGGAAACAAATAATTAAAATGACAGAAATAATTCCCTCTTTATCAGTAATTACTCTAAATATAAATATATTAATGCTTCAATCAAAATACTGAGATTGGCAGAATCAATTAAAACACATGATCCAACCATACGCTGTCTACAAGAGACTCATTTTAGATTTAAAGACATAAATAGTTTGAAAGAGAAAGGATGGAGACAGGTATTCCATGCAAATAGTAACCAAACGAGAGCAGGAGTTGCTATATTAGTAACAGACAAAATAGATTATAAATTAAAAAATGTACAAGAGACAAAGCAGGACATTATATATTAATACAAGGTTTAATACAGCAAGAATCGAACAATTACAAACATTTATGTACCTAATGACACACTATAAAAATATATGAAGCAAAAACTGACAGAATTAAAGGAAGAAATAGATAGTTCGACAATAAATGATAGTTGGAAACTTCAATAGCCCGTTCTCAGTAATGAATACAACAACCACACGGAAGATAAGTGAGGAAATAGAGGACCTAAACAACATAATAAACCAACTAGATGTAAGAGATATATACAGAATACTCTACCTAACAAAAACAGCATTTACATTCTTCCCAAGCGCACACGGGACATTTTTCAGTATAGACTATATATTAGGTCACAAATTAAGTCTCAACAGATTTAAAAATATAGAGATCATACAAAGTATCTTCTCCAACCACAAAGGACGTGAAGTTAGAAATTGATAATAGAAGTGAAACTGTAGAAGCCACCAATTTGTGGAAACTAAACAACACACTCTTAATAATAGATTAAAGAAGTAGTCATAAGGGAAATTTAAAAATACTTAGAAATGAATGAAAATAAAAACATAACATAGCAAAACTTATGGGATACTGTGAAGGCACTACTAAGTGAGAACTTTATAACTCTAAATATTCACACTGAAAAACAAGAAAAATGTCAAATTGACAATCTAATTACACCTAAGGAGCTAGAAAAAGAAACACAAATTAAACCCAAAGGTAGCAGAAAGAAGGAAATAATAAAGACTGGCGCTCAGATAAATGAAATAGAGAATAGTAAAACAATAGAGAAAATCAATAAAATAAAAAGTTCTTTGAGAAGATAAAACATTTCAACAAACTTTTAGCTAGATAAACTAAGAAAAAAGAGAGGAGACTCAAATTACTAAAATCAGAAATAAAAATGGGGACATTACTACTGACTATAAAAAATAAAAAGGATTATGAGGCTTTTTTTTAAATTTTACTTTAAGTTCTAGGGTACATGTGCACAACGTGCAGGTTTGTTACATAGCTATACATATGCCATGTTGGTTTGCTGCACCCAATAACTTGTCATTTACATTAGGTATTTCTCCTGATGCTATCCCTCCCCCAATCCCCCACCCCGCAACAGGCCCTGGTGTGTGATATTCCCTGCCCTACGTCCAAGTGTTTTCATTGTTCAATTTACACCTATGAGTAAGAACATGCGGTATATGGTTTTCTGTCCTTGTGATAGTTTGCTGAGAATGATGGTTTCCAGCTTCAGCTTCATCCATGTCCCTGCAAAGGACAGGAACTCATCTTTTTTTTTTTTTTTTTTTTTGGAGAGAGAGTCTTGCTTTGTTGCCCAGGCTGCTGGAGTGCAGTGGCACTATCTCGGCTCACTGCAAGCTCTGCCTCCCAGGTTCATGCCATTCCCTGGCCTCAGCCTCCCGAGTAGCTGGGACTATAGGTGCCTGCCACCACGCCTGGCTAATTTTTTTTTGTATTTTAAGTAGAGACGGGGTTTCACTGTGTTAGCCAGGATGGTCTTGATCTCCTGACCTCGTGATCTGCCCACCTCGGCCTCCCAAAGTGCTGTGATTACAGGTGTGAGCCACCGCACCCGGCCCAACTCATCCTTTTTTATGGCTGCATAGCATTTCATGGTGTATATGTGCCATATTTTCTTTATTCAGTCTATCATTGATGGACATTTGGGTTGATTCCAAGTCTTTGCTATTGTGAATAGTGCCGCAATAAACATATGTGTGCATGTATCTTTATACTAGCATGATTTATAATCCTTTGGGTATATACCCAGTAATGGGATCGCTGGGTCAAATGGTATTTCTAGTTCTAGATCCTTGAGGAATTACCATACTGTCTTCCACAATGGTTGAACTAATTTACACTTCCACCAACAGTGTAAAAGTGTTCCTACTTCTCCATGTCCTCTCCAGCATCTGTTGTTTCCTGACTTTTTAATGATCTCCATTCTAACTGGCATGAGATAGTATCTCAGTGTGTTTTGGTTTGCATTTCTCTGATGACTAGTGATGATGAGCATTTTTTCACATGTCTGTTGGCTGCATAAATGTCTTCTTTTGAGAAGTGTCTGTTCATATCCTTTGCCCACTTTTTGATGGGGTTGTTTGTTTTTTTCTTGTAAATTTGTTTAAGTTCTTTGTAGATTCTGGTATTAGCCCTTTGTCAGATGGGTAGATTGCAAAAATTTCCTCCCATTCTGTAGGTTGCCCTTTCACTCTGATAGTAGTTTCTTTTGCCGTGCAGAAGCTCTTTAGTTTAATTAGATCCCATTGGTCTATTTTGGCTTTTGTTGGCATTCCTTTGGTGTTTTAGTCATGAAGTCCTTGCCCATGCCTATGTCCTGAATGGTATTGCCTAGGTTTTCCTCTAGGGTTTTTATGGTTTTAAGTCTAATATTTACGTCTTTAATCTGTCTTGAATAAATTTTTGTGTAAGGTGTAAGGAAGAGATCCAGGTTCAGCTTCCTACATATGGCTAGCCAGTTATCCCAGCACCATTTTTTAAATAGGGAATCCTTTCACCATTTCTTGTTTTTGTCAGGTTTGTCAAAGATCAGATGGTTGTAGATGTGTGGTGTTATTTCTGAGGCCTCTATTCTGTTCCATTGGTCTATATATCTGTTTTGGTAACAGTACCATGCTGTTTTGGTTACTGTAGCCTTGTAGTATAGTTTGAAGTCAAGTAGCATGATGCCTCCAGCTTTCTTCTTTTTCCTTAGGATTGACTTGGCAATGTGGGCTCTTTTTTGGTTCCATATGAACTTTAAAGTAGTTTTTTCCAATTCTGTAAAGAAAGTCATTGGTAGCTGGATGGGGATGGCATTGAATCTATAAATTACCTTGGGTAGTATGGCCATTTTCACGATATTAATTCTTCCTATCCATGAGCATGGAATGTTCTTCCATTTGTTTGTGTCCTCTTTAATTTCATTGAGCAGTGCTTTGTAGTTCTCCTTGAAGAGGTCCTTCACATCTCTTGTAAGTTGAGTTCCTAGGTATTTTATTCTCTTTGTAGTGATTGTACATAGGAGTTCACTCATGATTTGGCTCTCTGTTTGTCTGTTATTGGTGTATAGGAATGCTTGTGATTTTTGCACTTTGATTTTGTATCCTGAGACTTTGTTGAAGTTGATCGTCAGCTTAAGGAGATTTTGGGCTGAGATGACGGGGTTTTCTAAATATACAATCATGTCATTTGCAAACAGGGACAATTTGACTTCCTAATTGAATACCCTTTATTTCTTTCTCTTGCCTGATTGCCCTGGCCAGAACTTCAAACACTATGTTGAATAGGAGTAGTGAGAGAGGGCATCCCTGTCTTATGCCAGTTTTCAAAGGGAATGCTTCCAGTTTTTGCCCATTCAGTGTGATATTGGCTGTGGGTTTGTCATAAATAGTTCTTATTATTTTGAGATACATTCCATCAATACCTAGTTTATTGAGAGTTTTTAGCATGAAGGGCTGTTGAATTTTGTGGAAGGCCTTTTCTGCATCTATTGAGATAATCATATGGTTTTTGTCATTGGTTCTGTTTATGGGATGGATTATGTTTACTGATTTGCATATGTTTAACCAGCCTTGCATCCCAGGGATGAAGCCAACTTGATCGTGGTGGATAAGCTTTTTGATATGCTGCCAGATTTGGTTTGCCAGTATTTTATTGAGGATTTTTGCATCAATGGTCATCAGGGATATTGGTCTAAAATTCTCTTTTTTTGTGGTGTGTCTGCCAGGCTTTGGTATCAGGATGATGTTGGCCCCATAAAATGAGTTAGGGAGGATTCCCTCTTTTTCTATTGATTGGAATGGTTTCAGAAGGAATGGTACCAGCTACTCTTTGTACATCTGGTAGAATTCGGCTGTGAATCCATCTGGTCTTGGCCTTTTTCTGGTTGGTAGGCTCTTAATTATTGCCTCAACTTCAGAGCCTGTTATTGATCTATTCAGAGATTCCACTTCTTCCTGGTTTAGTCTTGGGAGGATGTATGTGTCCAGGAATTTATCCATTTATTCTAGATTTTCTGGTTTATTTGTGTAGAGGTGTTTATAATATTCTCTGATGGTAGTTTGTATTTCTGTGGGATCGGTGGTGATATCCCCTTTATCATTTTTTATTGCATCTATTTGATTCTTCTTTCTTTTCTTCTTTGTAAGTCTTGCTAGCAGTCTATCAATTTTGTTGATCTTTTCAAAAAAGCATCTCTTGGATTCACTGATTTTTTGAGGGGTTTTTTGTGTCTCTGTCTCTTTCAGTTCTGCTCTGATCTTAGTTATTTCTCACCTTCTGCTAGCTTTTGAATGCGTTTTCTCTTGCTTCTCTAGTTCTTTTAATTGTGATGTTAGGGTGTTGATTTTAGATCTTTCCTGCTTTCTCTTGTGGGCATTTAGTGCTATAAATTTCCCTCTACACACTGCTTTAACTGGAGATTCTGGCACGTTGTGTCTCTGTTCTTACTGGTTTCAAAGAACATCTTTATATCTGCCTTCATCTCGTTATTTACCCAGTAGTCATTCAGGAGCAGGTTGTTCACTTTCCATGTAGTGGTGCGGTTTTGAGTGAGTTTCTTAATCCTGAGTTCTAATTTGATTGCGCTGTGGTCTTAGAGACAGTTTGTTGTGATTTCTGTTCTTTTACATTTGCTGAGGAGTGCTTTTCTTCCAACTATGTGGTCAATTTTGGAATAAGTGTGATGTGGTGCTGAGAAGAATGTATATTCTGTTGATTTGGGGTGGAGAGTTCTGCAGATGTCTATTAGGTCTGCTTAGTGCAGAGCTGAGTTCAAGTCCTGGATATCCTTGTTAACCTTCTGTCTCATTGATATGTCTAATATTGGCAGTGGGTTGTTAAAGTCTCCCATTATTATTGTGTGGGAGTCTAAGTCTCCTTGTAGGTCTCTAAGGACTTGCTTTATGAATCTGAGTGCTTCTGTATTGGGTGCATATATATTTAGGATAGTTAGCTCTTCCTGTTGAATTGATCCCTTTACCATTATGTAATGGCCTTCTTTGTCTCTTTTGATTTTTGCTGGTTTAAAGTCTGTTTCATCAGAGACTAGGATTACAACCCCTGCTTGTTTTTTTTTTTTTTTTTTTTTTTTGCTTTCCATTTGCTTGGTAGATCTTCCTCCATCTCTTTATTTTGAGCCTATGTATGTCTTTGTACATGAGATGGGTCTCCTGATTACAGCACACTGATGGACCTTGACTCTTTATCCAATTTGCCAGTCTGTGTCTTTTAATTGGGGCAGTTAGCCCATTTACATTTAATGTTAGTATGTTATGTGTGAATTTGATGCTGTCATTACGATGTTAGCTGGTTATTTTGTCCGTTAATTGATGCAGTTTCTTCATAGCATCAATGGTCTTTACAATTGGGCATGTTTTTGTAGTGGCTGGTACCAGTTGTTCCTTTCTATGTTTAGTGCTTCCTTCAGGAGCTCTTGTAAGGCAGGCCTGGTGGTGACAAAATCTCTCAGCATTTGCTTGTCTGTGAAGGATTTTATTTCTCCTTCACTTATGAAGCTTAGTTTGACTGGATATGAAATTCTGGGTTGAAAATTCTTTTATTTAAGAATGTTGAATATTAGCCCTCACTCTCTTCTGGCTTGTAGAGTTTCTGCAGAGAGATCCGCTGTTAGTCCAATGGGTTTTCCTTTGTGGGTAACCCGACCTTTCTCTCTGGCTGCCCTTAACATTTTTTCCTTCATTTCAACCTTGGTGAATCTGACTATTATGCGTCTTGGGATTGCTCTTCTCTAGGAGGATCTTTGTGGTGTTCTCTGTATTTCCTGAATTTGAATGTTGGCCTACCTTGCTAGGTTGCGGAAGTTCTCCTGGATAATATCCTGCAGAGTGTTTTCCAACATGGTTCCATTCTCCCTGTCACTTTCAGGTACACCAATCAAATGTAGATTTGGTCTTTTCACATGGTCCCATATTTCTTGGAGGCTTTGTTTGTTTCATTTTACTCTTTTTTCTGTAAACTTCTCTTCTAGGTTTATTTCATTAATTTGATCTTCAATCACGGATACCCTTTCTTCCATTTGATCAAATCAGCTACTGAAGCTTGTGCATGCATCACGAAGTTCTCGTGCCATGGTTTTCCGTTCTGTCAGTTCATTTAAGTTCTTCTCTACACTGTTTATTCTGGTTAGCCATTCGTCTAACCTTTTTTCAAAATTGTTAGCTTCCTTGTGATGGGTTCAAACATGCTCATTTAGCTTGGATAAGTTTGTTATTATCGACCTTCTGAAGCCTACTTCTGTCAACTCATCAAACATATTCTCCGTCCAGCTTTGTTCCGTTGCTGGCAAGTAGATGCGATCCTTTGGAGGATAAGAGGTGCTCTGGATTTTAGAATTTTCAGCTTTTCTGCTCTGTTTTATCCCCATCTTTGTGGTTTTATCTACCTTTGGTCTTTGATGTTGGTGACCTACAGATGGGGTTTTGGTGTGGATTCCCTTTTTGTTGATGTGGAAGCTATTCCTTTTGTTTGTTAGTTTTCCTTCTAACAGTCAGGTCCCTCAGCTGCAGGTCTGTTGGAGTTTGCTGGAGGTCCACTCCAGACCCTGTTTGCCTGGGTATTACCAGTGGAGGCTGCGGAACAGCAAATATTATAGAACAGCAAATATTGCTGCCTGATCCTTCCTCTGGAAGCTTCGTCCCACCTGTATGAGGTGTCAGTCAGCCCCTACTGGGATGTGTCTCCGAGTTAGGCTACACAGGGGTCAGGGACCCACTTGAGGAGGCAGTCTGTTCATTCTCAGTGCTCAAACACTGTGCTGGGAGATCCACTGCTCTCTTCAGAGCTGTCAGACAGGAATGTTTAAGTCTGCGGAAGTTTCTGCTGCCTTTTGTTCAGCTATGCCCTGCCCCCAGAGGTGGAGTCTATAGAGGCAGCCAGCCTTGCTGAGCTGTGATGGGCTCCGTCATGTTTGAGCTTCCCAGCCTCTTTGTATACCTACTGAAGCCTCAGCAATGGTGGATGCCCCTCCTCCTGCCAGGCTGCTGCCTCACAGGTCAATCTCAGACTGCTGCGCTAGCAGTGAGCAAGGCTCCATGAGCATGGGACCCACTGAGCCAGGTGCGGGATATAATCTCCTGGTCTACCATTTGCTAATACCTTTGGAAAAGCACAGTATTTGGGTGGGAGTGTCCCGATTTTCCAGGTACAGTCTGCCATGGCTTCCCTTGGCTAGGAAAGGGAAATCCTCCAGTGCCTTGCACTTCCTGGGTGAGGTGATGCCCCACCCTGCTTTGGCTCACCCTCCGTGGGCTGCACCCACTGTCCAACCAGTCCCAATGAGATGAACCCGGTACCTCAGCTGAAAATGCAGAAATCACCTGTCTTCTAACCAGTCCCAATGAGATGAACCCGGTACCTCAGCTGAAAATGCAGAAATCACCTGTCTTCTGCGTTGATCACACTGGGAGCTGCAGACGGGAGCTGTTCCTCTTTGGCCATCTTGCCTAATTCTCAGTGGTTGGATTATGAGGCTTTTATGAACAATTGTATGCCAATAAATTAGATAATCCAAATGAAATGAACAAATTTCTAGAAACAAGAAACCTAACAAAGCTAAATCATGAAAAGATAGAAAATTAGAATAGACTTATAACCACTAAGGAGATTTAATTAGTAACCAAAAATCTTACACTGGGCATGATGGCTCATGCCTGTAATCCCAGCACTTTGGGAGGCCCAGGTAGGAGAATCACTTGAGCCTGGGAAGTTGAGGCTGCAGTGAGCTGTGATTGTGCCACTGCATTCCAGCCTGGGTGACAGAGTGAGATCCTGTCTCAGAAAAATCATAAAATGCAATAAGTTTCCAACAAAGAAAAGCTGTAGACCAGATGACTTGAGAGGTTAATCCACCAAACATTAGTGACAAATGAACACCAATTCTTTTCAAACTTTTCCAAAAAAATGAAGAGGAGAAAACACTTTCTGACTCATTCTATATGTCCAGCATTACTGTAATATCAAAGCCAGATAAACATACAGGTAAACTACAGACCAAAATCCCTTATAAACACTGATGCAAAAATCCTCAACAAAATACTATTAAACTGAATTTAACAGGATGTTAAGGGATTATATACTGTGTTCACGAGGGATTTATTCATTGAATGCAAGAAATGATTTAACTTATGAAAACCAATGAATGTAATACACCACATTAAAAGAATGAAGAAAAAAATGGCATAATCATCTCAATTGATGCAGAAAAAGTATTTGCCAAAAGTTAATACCCTCTCATAATAAAAACAAACTAGAAATAGAAGCAAACTACCTCAATATAATAAAAGCTATGTTTGAAAAACCCACAGCAAATATCATACTCAATGGTGAAAGACTGAAAGCTTTTCTTCTAAGATCAGCAACAAGATAAGAATGCTTCTTTTGCCACTTCTATTCAACATAGTCTTAACCAGAACATTTGGGCAAAAATAAGACATAAAAGGCATCCAATTTGGGAAGGAAGTGGTAAAATTGTCCCTGCAGATGTGGTCTTATATAGGAAAAACCCTAAAGATTCCACACCAAAAATTTTGTCAGAGCTAAAAAATGAATTCAGCAAAATAACAGGTTACAAAGTCAACACAAAAATCAATTGCATTTTTATAAACTAACAAAGAGAATAAAAAAAGAAAAATTATAAAAATAATTTCATTTACAATAGCATCAAAAAGAATAAAATACTTAGAAATTAACTTAATGAAGTGAAAGACTTGTACAATGAAAACTATAGCCTGCTGTTCAAATAAAGAAAATGTGAATAAATGGAAACATGCCCCATGTTCATGAGTTGGAAGACTCAATATTGTTAAAATGTCTATACTACCCAAATGATGTACAGATTCAATGCAATCCCTATCGAAATCCCAGTGATGTTTTCTTTGTTGTCATTGTTTTTTGAGACAGGGTCTCACTCTGTCACCCAGGCTCGAGTGCAGTGGCATGATCATAGCTCACTGCATCCTTGACTTCCTGGGCTCGAGCAATCCTCCCACCTCAGCCTCCTGATTAGCTGGGACCACAGTCATGTGCCACCATGCCTGGCTAATTTTTTTGTATTTTTTATAGGAACAGGGTTTTGCCATGTTGCCCAAGCTGGTCTCAAACTCCTGAGCTCAAGAAATCTGCCCACCTTGGCCTCTCAAAGCACTGGAGTTATAAGCATGAGCCACCACATCTGGCCCCATTGATGTTTTTGGGCCATTTTCTAACATCATAGGCAAAATTAACTCAAAATAGATCAATGGCCTAAATGTAAGATGTAAAAGTATAAAATTCTTAGAAGAAAACATAGGGCAAACAGTTCATAACATTGGACTTCCAATGATTTGTTGGATATGACACCTAAATCACAGACAACAAAAGAATACAATGCACAAATTGGACTTCATGAATATTTTAAATGTTTGTATATCAAAAGACAATGCAAACAGAGTAAAAGTGCAACTCACGGAATGGTAGAAAATATTTGCAAAGAGTTTATCTGATAAGAGATATTCAGAATATAGAGAGAACTTCTAAAATTCAATGACACACACACACACAACCAAACAACTTGATTCAAAATGGACAAAGGACTTGAATATCTATTTCTTCAAAGAAGATATTGAAATGGCCAATAAACACATAAAAAGATGCTTAATGCCATTAATCATTAAGGAAATGCCTATCAAATCTACAATGAGACATCACCTCATATCCACTAGGATGGCTACTATCAAAAAACAGAAAATAATAAGTGTTAACAAGGATGTGGAAAAATTGGAGCAGTTGTGCCCTGTTGGTGGGAATGTAAAACGGTACAGCTGCTATGGAAAACAGTATGGAAGTTCCTAAAAAAATCATACATAGAATTACCATATGATCCAGCAATTCCGCTTCTAGGTATACCCAAAATAACTTAAAGCTTGGTGTCAAAGAAATATTTGTACTTCCATGTTCACAGTAACATTACTCACCATAGCTAAAACATGCAAGCAACTCAAGTGTCCTTCAGTGAATGAATGGATAACAAAACTGTTATATATACATACAATAAAGTATTATTCAGCCTTTAAAAGGAAATTCTGACTTGCTACAACATGGATGAATCTTGAGACATTATACTCAATGAAAAAAGCCAGTCCAAAAAGACAGATAATATATGATTTTTCTGTTTATGTGAGATACTTAGAATAGTCAAAATCATGGAGACAGAAAGTAGAATAGTGGTTTCCTGGAGCTGGGGGAGGGGGAAATGGGGACTTACAGGTTAATGAGTATAGAGCTGGAGTTTTACATGATGAAAAGAATTATGGAGATGGAAAGGAGAGATGGCTCAAGAACATTATGAATGTATTTAGTACCACCGAACTGTACACTTAAAATATTTAAGTTGGTAATTTGTTTTGGTCTATTTTACCACAAGAAAAACATTTTTAAAACATGGAAAAAAAGATAACGGAGACTGGCCCATGCAGTCAATGTAAGTGAGAATGCCAGTTTATTCACATACAAAGAGGGTAAGACTGTTAGAATAACCAATGCCAGTCAATTGCAGAGAGCATTCTCCCACATCTGTCCAGCACAAAGGTTGCCATATGACAGAACAGAATATCAGCATGGTCTCTAGAATCGCTAACTTATATTTCAATTTTTGTTCTCCTTCTTTCTAGATATGTGACATTAGACAAGTTATTTCACCTGTGAACCTCAATTTCCTCATGTATTACATATGGATAATACTAGTTGTTGTCTTATAGGGTTGTTGTGAGAATTAAATGAGATAACCTACCTAGCACTGGGCCTAGCACATGTTAGTTATTTAATAAATTTTAGTTAATGTTATTTTTCCCAATCTGAAGACCTCAAGTCCTTGGATAGCTGAGGAGTAATTATAGGGGAAAGGGGAGTTTGCACACAAAACATTGTGTGTGAATTAAATACCTTACATGTTTCAAATATAAATTTATTACAATTACTATTTTTAAGATTTAATTTAATTCTATTTTATTTTAAGTTCCGTGATACATGTGCAGGACGTGCAGGTTTCTTACATAGGTAAACATGTGCCATGGTGGCTTGCTGCACCTATCAACCCATCACCTAGGTATGAAGCCCCACATGCTTTAGCTCTTTATCCTGATGCTTTCCCTACCCCCACCCCCCCCCGACAGGCCCCAGTGTGTGTTGCTCCCCTCCCTGTGTCTATGTATTCTCATTATTACAATTATTTTTAAAATATAGATGTTTAAATAAAATACTAATTCATTTGGAAATTCCAGTTGCATTTTGCTATATATTTTTCCCCCCTTTTTAAAAAAAATTTTACTTTAAGTTCCAGGATACAAGTGCAGAATGTGTAGGTTTGTTACATAGGTATACGTGTGCCATGATGGTTTGCTGCACCTATCAACCCGTCATCTAGGTTTTAATCCCCACATGCATTAGGTATTTGTCCTAATGCTCTCCCCCCCTTGCCCCCAACCCCTCAGCTGGCTCCAGTGTTTCTTGTTCCCTTCCCGGTGTCCATGTGTTCTCATTGTTCCAACTCCATCTTATGAGTGAGAACATCCAGTGTTTAGTTTTCTGTTTCTGTGTTAGTTTGCTGAGGATGATAGCTTCCAGCTTCATCCATGTCCCTGCAAAGACATGATCTCATTCCTGTTTATGGCTGCATAGTATTCCGTGATGTATATGTACCACATTTTCTTTATCCAGTCTATCATTGATGGGCATTTGAGTTGGTTCCATGTCTTTGCTATTGTAAATAGTGCTGCAATAACCATACGTGTGCATGTGTCTTTATAGTAGAATGATTTATATCCCTTTGGGTATAAAATGATCTGTGTGAGAGATGTGTGAGGGGAGGAGAAAAGACACACACACAATACCTTTAAGGGTAAACAACCTTTATCTCACATAAATGGCAATGCAGATGTAATAAGCAAACGATATAATAAACAACTTGATATAATAAGCAAATTGATATAACAATCAAATTGCAATGGGAAAGGGAGAAGGGAAAAGATATATATATATTTACACTCACCAGACTATGGAGGATTCACCACCAGACTGGAAAGCAACAGCCTGGGCTCCAGAGTCGGCCACCTGTTCGTGCACAGACGAGGAGGTTTCATGAAGCTTTGGCACCGTCTGGGACTCTAGCTGTTTTTGTAACGAGTTGTTTGGCATGAGGCCCAGTAACAAGGGCCCTTCACAACTAGGTTCAAGGAACATAAAAAGGTCAGCTTGTTTTTTGAGACTGTCTATTTTTTTCAATAACTAACATATAGGACTAGATTGAAATAGAGATTTTTCCAAAACAGTGCTGGATGAACGCCTCAAGGGGCTCACACAACCTGTTCCGGGACTTGGTGACCATTGTTTGTGTCCATGTTCAGTTGAGTTCAAATTTAATATTTAACTTTTCCTCCACATTTGGCCTCAATCTGATACTCAATTGCAGGAAAATACCCTTACAGATACATGGGGAAGGGATATTTGATATAGTTTACAGATACAGGTTAAGTACAGCAGAATTAAAAGCACAATTAATAAAAACCACACCCAACATGGCTTTGTGAGTAATATTGTGAGAATTGTTAGGGCTATACACAGAACATTCAGTATGCAGTAAGGTGCAAAACCCTCCTTGGGCTGAGGTAAGCGTATCTAATGCCATTTGATTTTGTAACACAACAGTACGCAGCTGAGCAAATTCATCTGATAACAACTTAAGTCCAGTGTCCGACTCTGGAGCCTAGGCTGTTGCTTCCCAGTCTGGTGGGGAATCCTCCTTTCAAAAAGCAAAAGTTAGCTTCCTGTTGGGCTTTGCTGGAAACAGAACACCTCTGCTTCAACCATGATGTCTTTATGAAGCCTGAAATTCCTATTATGACTTGGGTCATGAGTTCCCCCAAAACTCACTGGATATTTTTTTCCATAGACAAAGATAGGGACCATCATCAATTTTATCATGTTTAACCCTTTATATAGAAGCAGTAATCACATAGACTTTCTAAGACGGAGCTATAGTGGGAGTCTACCCAGAAGTTCGGTTAGTTCAATCAGCCTATTTCAGATTATCTTCTTCACTTGTTATGAGGGAACTAACCTCATAAGTCACATACTTTGTCTTTCCTTCCCTTTGCACCCATTTAACTGGAGCTCATAACACCCTAATAACATGACAACCTGTGCCATCTTGAACTGATCCTATCAGTCATAGGAAGAGGGTCAGAGGATGGAATTTGTTTGATCCTGCTTGGATAAGACCATATATAAATCATTTCACATTCACCAAAGTTTTCAAATTGTAATTTCATTCAAGATGCTGAGTCAAGTTCCCCTCGGTCTGCCTCCTTAGAGCTAATTCTTCCAAGGCCAATAATAACAATCATGGAATGCTAGGCTCGATGATCTTAACTACGCAGTATCACTTTTATCACTCTGTATCTTCAGGAATTTAGTGGACTAGTCCCCATGACTGCCATACGAATCTTTGAAAGCGATGGGATCATCTGAGAAACACTTTTTAAATCCCAAGTCCCTTGGTTCACTTCTAGAAGGCCATGGTAGGTGCCCCTAGTCTGACATCCAGCTCTCTACACCAGTTGTCAAGTGATTCAGGGTGAGTAGCCAAGCAGCATGCACACTGGGCTTTCTGGAATAGTACTTCTGGGTAAAAAGTCAGAGACAGAAGCGATGGCAGATGAGTGATCCTCTGGTGTTTATTTTATTCTCAGGCAGCATACAACAATCTAACATAGCACATATCTAGCTCTGAGAAAGAGGCTCTGGGCTTTGGATGTTGGGACTTTTAAGCTTCTTAACAAAACTCTTCTTTAGTGAGATTAGGATATGGGATCTAATAGCAGTATGATATAGCAGAACCTTGGCTTTCAGTCTTATCTACTACCTTAGCATTCATCTGTTGGGAGAACACTTGGCTTTCTTCTGGTGTAATCCAACCCCGTGATTATGCACAACTGCTTGGTGTAAACTTGGCTGAAGTTCTCATTCACCATGGTCAGCTCTCTGCCAGGATGGATTGCATTAGGACCTAGGCTATAGATTATAGCTGGTTTCCAGAGGCAACAGGCCAACTTTCTTTTCCAGGAGGCCGCCTGCAGGTCTGTTAACTCAGGCAAGTTAAATCTTACCTCTCAACTGTTTTATAGGAGAAATTGACAAAAACCATCATAATCAAGGTATAACCTTGTTAAGTTATTGAACTTCAAGAATAAATCATGAATTCTTCAGGCACTCACAGGAAAAAAATCAAATAACTTTAAAAGTGTGGATTAAAGAAAGGGTAGTGATTATCCACTGTCTTCAAACATCCCTACAACAATATTCAATGCCAGGACACAGTGGAGCAATGCCTACTATCTAAGGCTAAGTTCACCTGGAAGTAGCTCATGTGAGAGTAATTTGGGAGTGGAATGCAAAGAATAAGTAAGAGACAGGGGAGTGAAACAGGGAAGAAGGGAGGGCCAATAAAATCATGCTTTTATCATATTAGCCACTGGTAGAAACAACTAAATGCTCTATCCCTTTGGAACGGTGTTAAAAGTCTTACAAAATGTGCTTCTAGAACATCAGGGGAGGAAAGGTGGAAACATTACGTTTCCCTGATGTTTGTAAGTGACAGTAACCCCTCTGCATGTCTAGATTGTACCTGCTTGAGTGGAAACCTGTATCTCAGAAGCCCTAGGAAGGGTAGCAAGAAGTACACAACACAGATCTGAGGTAAGATTCCATAACGCCATGAAGACCATTAAGGCTTATGCAGAATTGGTGGCTGTAGCTTCAACTGGAATTAAAAGGTAAGGCAGAGATGATTTGAAATAATGTTAAGAAGTTTTGTCTACACCTGAAGAGTTCTGAGGAAAAGAAAGTACAAGCCTATCGTATTATACTCTACCAAGTATAATATTCTTGAAGTATACTTTTCAAGAACCGAGGAGACAGGCAGATATTCTCACGTATAAAAGAACTTAAGGCCTGTGGCAGCCACAGAACTACTTGAAAAAACTGTTCAACTACAAAACATCCAAACCTGAAAAAGTAAATGAAAGAGCCATAGGAAAAACACTAGCTCAATATTCAATGCCAGAATAAAAAGCAGTAATATTTACAAAATTTTGAGTAAAAGAGTGAGCCAATATCTATGTCCAAAAAGTTACCAATCAAGTATAAAGGCAACAGTCAGGCACTTTCATACATGCAAGAAAATGGAAGATACTCCAAGTCCTTCTTGGCAAACAAAAACAAAACAAACAACAAGATAATTAAAGAAATGAATATTGGATAAGCTGTAGTGTAAGTATAGGGGATGAATATTGCATTGATTTAAATATAGGACTTCAGTTCTGTTATAAAACAAAGTGATATTAAAAATTTGGGGCTGGATGTGGTGGCTCATGCCTGTAATCCCAGCACTTTAGGAGGCTGAGGCTAGAGAATTGCTTGAGTCCAGGAGGTCGAGGGTGCACTGAGCCATGTTCGTGCCTTTGTACTCCAGCGTGGGGAACAGAATGAGACCTTGTCCCAAAAATAAAAATTTTTAAGTTAAAAAAATTTTTTGACTCTGTGAAAATAATAATAAAAATAAGAAAGTGAGAGGTATGGAAAGAATGTTAGATTTTTATCTCCCATATCTCTAAATAAGTAAATGTGGGTTTGAAAACATAAATTCAGCTTCTGTTTTCCATAATCTTTTATTCTTAATCCCATTTTTTGCTTCCCTTTAACACATATAAGACAGGTTTTTGTATCCTTACTGTCTTCAATTCTTACCTTTCCATTCTCTCTGAAACCTACTGCACTCAGGCATTTGCCACCAAGATGTTTACCAACCCCACTTCTGTCAAGTTTGTCAATGATCTACAGGTTGTTAAACATAATGGTCAATTCTCAGACTTCATCTGACCTGACCTAAGTAGTATTTGACAAACTTGATCGCTTTCTCCTCCTTAATATGGTTCTTTCCTTGGCTTTCAGGATACTTGACACTTGGTTTTCCTTCTACCTCACTTAGCCCTCCTTTTTTGGTCTTCATTACTTGTTCCTACTCTTCTCTCCAGCCTCCCTCTGAATGCTGAAATGCTCAGGGCTTAGTCCTTGAATGCTTTCCTTTCTCTGTCTCCCTTAATGATCTCATCTAATCTATTGACTTTAAATACCAACTACCTCTAAAAATGTTATGTCCAACTATAAATACCAACTACCTCTAAAAATGTTATGTCCAACTATCTACTCCACATCTCCAATTAGAAACCCAATAACAATCTTAAATTCAACATGTCCAAAGTTGAACTTCTGCTCTTCCTTCATAATCTACTCTACTTTTAGCTTTCTCCATTTCAGTTGATGATAATTTCATATTTGCAATTTCTTAAGCCAAAATGTTGAAATTATCCTTGGCTCCCCTTTTTGTCTCCCACGTTCTACATGCAACCCATAAAGAAACCTGCTGGCTTAACAAATCTTAAGAATACAGCTGAAATTCAATCACCTCTGACCACTTCTACTGCTACTACTTTGTTCTGAGCCTGCACCTCTCCCCTGAATCACTGCAATAGCCTCCTAATTGTGCATTCTCAGCCAAAAGGGCAAATCAATCACTTTAAAATGACATTTGCTTATGGGTCATTGTTATCTGAGTCTTACATTCTTGGGCTCCCCAGCCTTCATCTGAATACATGTTTTGAGAATGAAGGGACCATGTATTTTCCTTTAATCCCCCTGCTTCCGCTACCCAACATCCAGGACTAGCAGTGCATGCTGCAGGCTTGGGTGCTGGTGGAGCAACTGTATATCATTGGGAAATAGGGATCAATTACATCTAAGATCCTACAGTAAAGAAGCAGAAGCGATTGTACAGTAATGCTCAACCTTTTATTGCACAACAACTTCTGAGGCTGGGTGAGGTGATATCTGAAAAATGTTATCACCAGCTGCAGCAGGAGCAGAAGGTATCAAAGACACCACCAGGCTGGCAGTGCTGAGTGAAAGTCTTTCCATTCACACAACTGTAGGAGGCATTCTTGTCAGTGGGGTCAGGGTACAGGCCACTGGCCCTGTCAGCACAGAATCCACTACCTCTGGGGCTGCCCCCAGAGCTCCTGCCAGAGCGGCCCCCAGAGCTACGACTGTGGCTGACACCGCATGTGATGTTTGCCTCGGCAATGGGAGCAATGGGTTGGGCTGGAGCTTTGCAACCTGAGAAGAAAAAAGAAAACAAATCCTGAACCTCCTTGCTTTTAGCCAGTGATACCTGATGTGTGAGAGCTAGTACCTGGATTTTGTTCTTGGCTCCTCCTTCTATGTCTCCACATATTTCAGTCTTCTGATCTGATATATCCTTCCTGCTCCACTCACCCCTTTGCTTACCAACTCCTTCCTCATCCTTCAAGTCACAGTGCATTTTTTCCTCCTTACATCTTACTGATTGAAATTTTTCATTATCATGAACTCACAAGAAGGTTACTTATTCTTTTAGGGGGCACAGTATCACATAATATCTTCTGTATTGTTGTCTAGCTTTGCAGTTTTTGTAAATCCAATTTCTCTCACTAGATTGTAAATTTCCATAGAGTAGATATGGATATTTATGCATTTAGATCACCTGTGGTACCTACAGAGCACTGTATATGTAATAGATGTTCAATAAATTTCTTGTGAAATGAATGAAGGAAGGAAGAAATGGTGAAGAGCCCTGTTTGTTCTTCCCACCATTAATCAATTGTTACCAGATAGGAATGGACAATGTCAGACAATTACTTGTGCAACAGCTCCATGACTTCCAAGGAACCTTTGGAATTTCTCTTAAGTCTGAGGCTTAGTGTCCCTTCTCACTCCCTAACTCACTTGTACTCTGCAGGCCCAGAGCATCCTTCAGGGTGGTGATCAGAGGGAATTTTCCTTGGTTGCAGAAAGTGCCTGTGAAATCATCCAGGTCAATGGCCCAGACCATGGCACCTCCAAAGTTGTTCTTCTTTAGCCAATCTGCCTGTGGTAATTAGAAAGGAAGTCAGTTATGTACAGACACCAAGGCTGAGCTGTGGCTCCAGGGCTATAATGGGAACATGCTCACAGGCAACAACAACCCATAGAACACAGTCTACCTTGATTTGGAAACTCTTGGTGTTATCGTATCCAAGCCACTCATTTCCTTTGTAGGCATAGGGAACATCCTCAGAAGCCTCCCATACTTCAGTAGCTCCATTCTTCAGGAAGGTACAGATCTAACAGAATATAAGGTACAGGTCAAGAGGTAGGCAGTGTCCTTGTGGTGGCAGAGGTAAAAGGACATGGGGAAGGGGAAGTAGAGGAGTGTTGCATAAAAACTCCTTGAAAATGAAGGTCTATTGCTTTACCAGCAAATTTCTTAGTTATTTGGGATTCTGTTTGTTTACTCCTTTTGAGTAATTTATTTTCAATGTGGGGAGAAACTCTTAAATCAAGGAATACCCTGGCAGTCAGAAGTGTCTACAGATTGATATACTCTCACTAATGGTAGCCTACTTTCCTACACTCTCTGTGTTTGGAATCTAGCCTCAAAGGGACCTAGTGAAGGCCCAATTAAAGTGGTGCAACAGGAGGGTTTATCTTGCCTCCCTTCTAGATAGCCACAAACATCCACTTTCAGCTCCAATCCAAGAACTGTTGCATATTGCTCATATTATTAGCTACATGGACCAAGAGAAAGCCACATTTCCTCTAACATTTCTGAGTGTATACCTCATAGTAGGCCCAGAACCCAGACTGCCTGGTATAGGGTCCAGCAGGGCCAGGACCAGTGGTAGGGGCATCAATTCCATGGTTGGAGGGGTTGCTCAGAAGGAAGGAGTGTCCATAGGCTGGGAATCCAACATGAGCTTCTCAGCTGGGGCCCTGTTGTCCTTCCAGTAGTTCATGACATAATCCTGCAATGGCAGTGGGTTAGCTAGAGTTCTCACCCACAGCTGATGGCCTAGTGATTAATTATTAGCTAAACTTTTTTTGATTTGGTTGTGCCCACTGTACAAAGTACTTGCAACATATTTTAGAGCATCACTGACATATATCTGTTAAAGTGATAGGTCTAATTCTCAACTAAATTCTTTTAATAACAAGCAGGCTTTACATATACCCTTTGGATAAAAAAAATATGATAGAAGAGCAGAGATTTTAAAATGATATTCCTGGTATGATTCATTAGTTAATGTCCGAAATTCTATATGATATACATAGGCAAGGGATTAGAACAGTAGAAAATGGGTAAGGCAAAAGGGAAACAGCAAAAGGGGGAAGGTGGAAAAAGCCTTTTATAATTTATTGAAATAGGAGCAGTGGCATATCATTTTCTTTTATTAAAAAACAATGCACTTGTTATTAATCTTCTTTCATATTAGGTAAAATTATCAGTATGGTGTTAATAAATAGGCAAGTTTTTTAGTAAATGAGAATATTTAATTGATTATGGCAGCCTAATTTCTCATTTGAGAAAACCACTAAACTTATGATGCCTTTTGTGCCTGAATCTCTATGTGATTTTCATCATCATCTCTGGTCTGCTCTTGCATCTGTACAGGGACTCACCACATTGAGGTAGGCGTTGCTGCCGGTGTCAGTCGGGTATTTGTAGAGGGGGCTGTTCTCTCCAGTGTAGCCCTCCCAGGAGCCATGGAGGTCATAGGTCATGACATGGATGTAGTCCGGGTACCTGAGGTGGGGTAGAGGATTTAAAATCATTCTGATGGTCATTTCCCATACCTGTGCGGGCACAAGGCACCACTTCCATAGCCTCCTAAACAAGGTCCCTGAATAGCAAGACAGACCAAAGACAAGTCTAGTCTGCCTGAGTGATACCTCCAGGGGTTTGAAGATAAGGCACATCACTCACTGTGACAGTTGGGGGATCTCATAGCCAGACTGGATGTTGGAGATGCCAGCAGCTACTGCAGCAGTGACCATCAGCCTGGGCTTATTAATGTGCTTGGCCTCCTGCTCAAAAGCTTCACGCATTTCCTGTACAGGAGCAGGAGAAAGTCTGTGAATAGTAACTTTAAGTTTACTTTCATGAGGTTCATGACACTGAATTAAATTAACCTCTTCCATCCTTCCATTCATTCCTCAGCATCCTTACTGGAATAGGATTTTCAGGTCCTTCACCCCAAATAAAATTCTAGGAAACTAGGTTTAAGGTCCCAGTGATCTTTCATATGAGATGGGTGTATGCTTTCCAGTGAAAATGATCTGGAACTTAGCTCACCTGCACCAGGACAGTGAAGAGATGCTTGTCCTGAGGAGGGCTCACACGAGAGCCGGGGTACTCCCAGTCAAAGTCCAGCCCGTCAAACTCATACTGGCGCAGGAATTTGATGACTGAGTTGATGAAAGTCTGGTGGTTCTCAGGAGTGGAAACCATGGCAGTGAAACTGAGGGAGACCCAAAGAAGGCAGGGTGAGACCTTGGTGGTCCCAACACCTTAGAGTAAAATCAACCTAGGAAGTCATCACCAAAAAGAACTTACGGAGCAGTGCCAAAGTTCCAGCCACCAATAGCCAAGAGAGTTTTCAGTTGACTATTTCTGAGGGAAAAGAAACAAAGTGTTTTACCAGAACAAATGAAAAGAAAGGGAAGCCATTTCAACATTTAGCTGCAATAGTGAGCAAGAAGCCAGGAAAGTGTCATGCAGCCTCTCATCCTGGTTTATCTTTGTTCTTATCCTTATTTCCTACTTATGAATGTTGGAGTAGGTGACTATGATTGGTATGTTTCAATGTCTCCACAGTTTTTTTTTTAAATATACTTTAAGTTCCAGGGTACATGTGCACAATGTGCAGGTTTGTTACATAGGTATACATGTGCCATGTTGGTTTGCTGTACCCCAATGTCTCCACAGTTCCAATTATTTCCCTAGGAGTGAATCTCCTGACCAAGGAGACTGAATGCTTTATCAATGCCAGCTTTGGATTGCTTCTAAGTGGAAGATTGTTCTCAACTGAGTCCACCAGTAGTTGGACTTATAAGCTTCCCTTGGCAACTGAGCTGGGCTTTAGTTAGCAGCTAGCTTCTGTGAGCCAGCCATTCCCCTTAAAATTAGAGTCATTCTTGCACTTGAAATAATAAGAAAGCTGAATTTACCTGCTTGTTGGCCTGTTTGGAATTTCAGCCTGAAGTCTGCTGTGGAAGATCTTGTTTAAACTGTCCTTAAAGGTTAAAAGATTTGAAACTCAGGTTTTCCGTCATTTACTTGTTTTTCAGGCCATTGAAAGCTTGGTAGAGAGTCATGTCATCCCATTCGATGGTGGTGATCTCGTTGTTCTGCATTCCAGCAAAGGCGTAGATCAAGTGGGTACAGAGGCAGGGGTCGATGTCATCAGGCTTGAAGCACCCCAGGCCTGGCTGGTTCTGGGCCCAGTTGGTGAAGTAACATGTCAGCTGGTAGGCAGAGCCTGTTACCCAGAGAAAGAAGGTGAGAGACAAGCTCCCTAGTGAGTCACAGATTTCTTTAAAAACCACAGATTTCCAAATGATTTCCCTATTTGAAGTCTCAAAGGAAAGGGGAAAAGTCAATGTAAGAACTTTATGTTGCAGCAAACCTATAATTATATAATTTGCAGGCAATAATGAGCAGGCAATTCAGGGCTGAAGATATCTCTTAGAGATAGCTCTGTTCCTCCAAGAGAGAATTAAATAACCTTAGAAACCAGTGCCTTTAGCTGAAATAGAATTTTAAAGCTTAGTGAACTATGATTTAGATGTATTCTAGCTCCCTTATGTGGCAGCTTACGTACCAAGCATTGCTCTGAGAAATTTACTTATATTTACTCATGAATCCTCACCAAAACCCTTTGAGAGAGGTATTATTATTTTCTCATTTTAACCCATTTGGAAACTGAGACACAGAAAGGATGATAGTATAAGCCTATTTAGCCCTTTTGGATATCTCCCTGAGTAATTCCACCCAGGGGGAAATGAGTCTTCCACCAAGAGACAAGGGCCCTGGCTACTGGTTCAGATTCTGCCATGAACTCTCTGTATTACCTAGGTCAGGTCATATGTCTTATCTCTGCCCTGGTTAACTGGTCTGTGAGATGGAGTGGTAATGCCTTTCCTGTACACCTCTCAAAGAAGAGTTGTTTTAAAACTCAGTAAGATGACAGATTTTAAAATGTTTTAAGAGCAGAGGACACTGTGTAGCTGCCTCACCGCATTAGTTTTTATTGTTAGCACGTATTCTTTAAGACTGCCATCTAGTTGGTTTCTGCTTTGGGATTTTTAGGCCAATGGTATCAATCCTTTAAACTTGGTTAGGGAATTTCAAACTCTGTAGAGAGTAGTTAATATTCTTTGTCTGATGTGGAAGGACACAGGGCAGTACTGAGTTTCCAAATTATGAATAAGCAAAAGAGGAACAATATAGTGGTTCATCCCAAGAAATATACCTACCTATTTCAGCTGTCAGCACAAGGAGCAGACCTTAAAGCAACAGAGAGAATAATGAACTGGAGGAATGTGAGTAGAGTAGCCTTTATACATTAGTCACCTCACTTAAGCAGTAGGAAGCTTTTTCTATTTTTCATTCTCTTAAGATCCTCTGTAGATGACCAACCTACTGAGGCTGGCAAAGCCTTTGGATTTGTCCTGGAAACCCACTCCCCTCTATTTCCATTCAAAAGACCATTAAAGTACCATGAGCCTTTGAGGCTTGGTGAAGGGAGGGGGACAGCAGGGCAGTGAGAAACCTATCACCAGGCAATTTGGGGCTGTCCCCCTGTTCAGTACATCCCCATACTTTTGCCGAAAGCAAAAATCTCAGTTGATCTGGTTTAAATTTGAAGGTAAAAGAGTTTTAAAGGGGCAGAAAAACAAGATGGAGAGAGTCATTCAGAGGTACAGAGATGAGACGATCTCTTACCAGTGAGAAGGGTGAGCTTGGCCATGTTGCCTCAGTGGTAGTGTCCCTCATCCAACCTGCCATTTATACCCTCTTTGCCCTCTCTTGTGCCTTATCAGATTCTCCTTTATCAAGATTGCCTCTAAAGTAAGTGTTGATATTGGCAGTGCTCACAAAGCTCAAGCCCATTTAAGAACCCATTATTGACAGGGAAACAATACTATCTTGATTTCGTTTCACAAGAAGAAAAGATTGGGCTCAAGCCCGGGAACCACACTAATAAGCTCCATTATGGAGTAGCTTATATAATTCAAAATGGCTTATGTATAGTGGGCTATATTCTCCATTTGGATAGTGAAGCAACTGATTGGCTATTTCACGCACTCTTTGTCAGATGGAAGCATTGAGTAACTTTGCATTCATTTATTCTTTGCAGTCATTCATTCACTCATTGTAAGAACAAAGTTTCCTCCTTAAGCAAAGTCTATAGAGGGTCATTACCTACTCTGTCTTTTTGACCCCAAATTCATTACCTCTTTTCCTTCTGTTGATTTTTCTACTCCTATTTCTCCTACCCTTTCCCAGCCCTCTACCCCTGAAGTGGCCTTCACTTGGTTCTTCTCTTCTCAGGAAGCTCCTTTCCTTTGTGATACTTCCTCGGATTCAGCCTGCCCCAGGGCCCCCGGTGTAACATACCTGACCACAGACCCTGTGTGGCTGACACTTTCCAGGTGGTTCTTTCCCCTAAGCCAGCACCTCTTCCTGTTGCCCACATTTCCGTGTGTGGTTCCAAAGTTCTCTTGATCACCCAGGCTCTCACCACTATAGTTTTTGTGATTCATACATTTCTTCTACTCTCCAAAACCCATTGGTCACTGAAATCTATAGTCCTCTTCTCTTTGGTCTTAGAGTTCCCCTTCTCCTTGGAATCATCAATTCCATTCCCCGCCACCACTTCTGTCAGAGTTCAGCACTGTGACAGTGCACTGTAGCTCCCTTCTTTTTCTTCTAGATCTTTTCTGTATATGGCTCCAAATCCCTGGAGTTGGGGGGCAGAGTTTAACAGCTCCTTATTGCCTCATAGAGTTCTTTCTCCTTCGCCTGTCATCGACTCTGCAATCTTGCCTCAATTTAACTTTCCGCCTTGCCTTCTGCTAGCCTCTCAATATAAATCTTGCATATTAAGTTATACTGTTCTCCACACTCAAAAATGGTCTCATCTTCACCCTCCTGCTGAGGCCATTCCCTCTGTCTAGAATATAGAATATTGTCCTCCTGTACCCACCTCCCACTCCATTAAAGGCCCACCTCAGTGGCTTTCCCCCATGACCCCTTCCCCAATCATCACACCTGGAAGTGACTACCTTCCTCACCTCTACTTCTCTGGTATTTTGTTTGTACCATTTGGAAAACTCACTACTTCTTTTTATGAACCATTGGTAGGGAAGAAATGTGGAACCAGTGGAAAAAGCCACACATATTGGAGTTCAAATTCTTTCTACCATTGAGGTTCAAATTCTTTCCATTGTTCATTTGGTTTGAGAAATTGGGACAGTTCCTTAATCTCAGTTTCCTAATTTGTAAAATTGGGATACAAATGCCTACTTTGCATGGCAGTTGTAAGCATTAAATGAAATATTTGTAAAGAATCAGGTGCATAATAAACACTCCACAAATAATAATCATTATAGACTATTTGCACATGTGCCTTATCTTCTGTTTAAAAATTCCTTAAGAATACCAGTCCTCCAAAAAAACCCAATACTACTCAAACCCATGTTAATTCCCATGTTGTACCTAAAGTCTATTTCCTATGCAAAATAGGGCTTCTAAATAAACATTCACTGAGCACCAAATAAATTAATTTTAGTAGCAGTAATTGTTGTATTTTACACATGAAAAAGCAGGCTGGCACAAGGGCATCTTTTGGGTAAAAAATCTTCTGATATTTTTAAACCTACATCCTACAGAAGGATGTGTAGACATGCTGCCTACCTTAACGCAAGTGCTAGGAATTGCAAGATGGATTTTAGTTAGGCCTTTTTGCAGTTTGAGAAAGATTGCTGTAAAGCTCATAGCCATAAGACAGAGGCACTGAGGCACTGTGTACGTTAGGAGCACCTGCAGGAAGGTAAGTGGTTTCATTCATCTTGTACTCCAGCTTTCCCAGATCACCACTGTTTTCTCCTGTGCCTCCCTAGTTGTGTTTTAGAATGCTTAAAGCCTTCCTTGTTCTTAAAAGTAAAATAGGCCAGGCGCAGTGGCTCATGCCTATAATCCCAGCACTTTGGGAGGCCGAGGCGGGTGGATCACCTGAGGTCAGGAGTTCAAGACCAGCCTGGCCAACATGGTGAAATCCCGTCTCTACCGAAAATACAAAAATTAGCTGGGTGTGATGGCTCATGCCTGTAGTCCCAACTACTTGGGAGGCTGAGGCATGAGAATCACTTGAACCCAGGAGGCAGAGGTTGCAGTGAGCTGAGATAACGCCACTGCACTCCAGTCTGGGTGACAGAGTGAGACTCGGTCTCAAAAAAAAAAAAAAAAAAAAGTAAAATAGGTGAGCTAGGGAGTGCTAGCAATATAGCATAGGTAGTTCTTTGCTGGTGGCTGTGGGTCCTAGATTCAGTCCTACCTTAGATATGTTTTGGGTTCTCAACCTGTAGTATGGCATCAAGGTCCTGACCCTGAATTTACTCCTGGATCTTAAGGCTTTCAGGTGAGTTCAAGGAAATTCACAATTGTTTGTGCTACTTCACTAATGGAACTGATTTCTTTGAAAGCCTACCAACCTTATTGTGTGGGCTCCTGGAAAGCTCACAGAGGGCTATTAACATTCCTTTATTCTGGAATCAGGCTAAGATTCCAGAGCGGTGCCGCCTATATCTCTGAAGGAACTTGAAGGACTAAATATTACAGCAGTGGCAGAAGCAGATGTGAGGGTGGGAAATACAGCCTTTAACCCAAGTCTGAGGTAATGAATGAGAAAGCATCCTGGACTTGAAAGTCAGGAAATGCCTAGTGTGCACTCTCCCACTAACATGCTGTGGCTTTGGGAAAGTTACTTAAATATACCAGAAATATACCAGTAGTTACATTAAATATAAATGGGCTAAATACTCCATTTATTAGTCAAAGATTACTGATGTGTTTTCTTTTTTAAAAATATTCAAGTAAATGCTACTTTTAAGAAAAATATGACAGTGACACAGCAAGATTAAAATAAAAGGATGGAAAAAGTATGCTATGCAATCACTAACCAAAAGAAAGTAGGTATAGCTATATTGATATCAGACAAAGTAGATTTTAAAACAAGAAGCATTCCTAGAGATAAAGACATTTTATAACAATAAGTGTCAATCTAACAGGGAGATATAAAAACTCTTAATCTCTATGTACTCATGAACATAGCTACAAAATATGGAAAGCAAAAATTGCCAGAACTAAAAGGAGAAAAGACCAGTCTACAATCATAGTAGGAGACTTCTAATACCTCTCACAGTAACAGAACAAAGAAAAAAGTCAGTAAGTGTCTAGACCTGAGCATGTTATTAATATTTGGCCTAATTGACATATATAAACATTACACAAAAATTTACACAATATACACTTTTACACAGTCATATTCTTTTCAAGTGCATATGAAGGAATGATGGGGGAGGGGCTCTTGTTTCTAGAGCACTCTCATCAGTTAAAGCACATATAGAGGAGAAATACTCTAATAAAGAGATAGAGTCTGGCAGATGGTACTCATGGTGTGAACACATGAAAGCTGAGAGTGTTGATTTGCATATGGGAAATCAGGTAGGAGATATTAAAAGAAGGTATCCTTCCAGTAAAAGATGAGTCACAAGCTAGAAGGAAGAAAGAGAAGAGGTGCAATTCCCATCCCCTACAGGGAATCCCCTATAGGGGATCTTATAGTTAGATGGTGTAGTTTGCAGTAAACACCTTGGGAATGCACCTACATCAACCTATTTATTAATTAATGTTTATTCATTTATTTAATAATTACCTACTGAATGCCTATATTGTGTCAGGTACCTTGTGAGTGCTTGGCTATACAAGTAAACAAGACACAGGGCTTACCATCACTGGTGCAGATAGATAAGTAAATAAAAACTTATGACCTAGTGAGTCAAACATTACAAGGCAAGTTAGCCCATAATAACTACTACAGCAAGTGAAAAGGAACCCAGCCTAAGGAGTGGACAGCCAGGCATCTGGATTTTAGGATTCCCAAGGAAATTGTTAGAGGCAGAGGGAGAAAGTCAAGGAGACACTTTTAGAGAAGATTGTTTTTATAATATTTAGCATTTAGCATTGAGATACAGCAAAGATAATGGAGAGACAGGGGAGTGAGGCAAGCCCAGCAAAATGATAATGCAAAAATTCACCACTAAAAAGAATAAAATACTTCTGATATGCTGATGAGATGAAAGAGTGTCTGAGAAAGTAAAAGAAAGTGATGCACAAAAGAGTAGTATGCTTCTGAGTATATAAAATATAAGAAACAGGAAATTTTCTCATATAAAATATAAGAAAATGGATTATTCTAGAAAATGGGATGCAGGACAAGTGTGGACAATTGTAAAAATAGTCACAGTGCTTTTTAGCGCCTTGTATCAGGAGTTGCTTAGCTCACCCCTTGAATCTGGGCTAGCCTTGTTATTTGCTTTGACTAATAGGACACAGCTAGAGTAACATTGTGTGAGTTCTAAACCTAGTTCTGAAGAGGCCATGAGGCTTTTGCTCATACTCTTGGAAAGCTGTTATTGTCATGTGACCAGAGTTAGCCTGAGGGACAATGAGAAACATGTGGCCAGTCACTCCCAATGGCCTCAGCTGACAGCCAGGCAACCCCCAGAAGCAGAGCCCACTAGTTGACTGCCAGCCAACCACAAATGCATGAGTAAGCCCAGCCGCCAAGACCAGAAGTACTTGGCTCATCCCAGCCCAAACTGCTGGCCCACAGAATTGTGAGCTAAATAAATTGTTGCTGTTTTGATTTTACCTTATTTTTAATTTTCTGAAATTATGGTTAAAAAACACAATAAAAATGTACACTCTCAACCATATTTAAGTGTACAGTAGTGTTAGCTATAATCATATTGTTGTGTAACAGATCTCTAGGACTTTTTCTAACAACTAACTCTTTCGGTTTTTGTTTTGCAAAACGGAAACTCCGTACCCATCAAATGACTCCCAATTTTCCTCCACTCCCCAACTCCTGGCAACCACTATTCTACTTTCTGTTTCTATTATACTGACTAGTCTAGATCTCTCATAAAAGTGGAATCATACACTGTTGTCTTTTCATGACTGGCTTATTTCATTCAGGATGATGTCCTCAAGGTTTATCCATATAGTAGCGTGTTAAATTGTTGCCACTTTAAACCATTATATTTTGGGGTAGTTTCTTACACAACAAGGCTTAACTAACACAAAAGGGTGATCTCCAAGGGTCTGATTGATTACGTCTGGGGTGAGGACTTCACCAGTATCTGGTGAAAATACTAGTCTAGCTATTAGTTGAGGGAAAAGCTAGAGAAAAGACTTACAATGCAAGCCTTGAGCCATACAACAGATATATGAAGCAAAGTAAGGCCTATGAGCTTTATCTTCTACTCCAGTTCCCTAAACTCTCCTTCAGAATTGTATTAATGGGGGTTGTGTTTATGATGAAAAGCGTTCTTTGAGTGTGTTGGAGAAATACTGTATATAAGATGCCTCTCTTAGAAAATCATAATTCACATTACATTGAGAGTTCTAAGTCCTCCGTTCTTAACTGGCATATCCCAAATACATTTAATCCATAAAAATTTTTCCCCAAAATCTCAGGTTACCCTGCAGAACACAAGACGAAGGAATATAGTAGGCAGTGCTTTCCAAATTATTAAACTATGAAACCCTTTTGTCATATATAGTATATATATTGATATCTTAGAGTATATAGTTCAAGAAACATTGCAGCTCTGTCCAATAGAAAAATAATGGGAGCCACATATGGAACTCTAAATTTTTTAAAAAGCCACATCTAGAAAAGTAAAAAGAAACAAGTGAAACTAATGTAATAATATATTTTATTTAATCTAGTATACCTAATATATATCATTTCAACATGTGATCAATATAAAAATTACTGAGATAGTTTACTTTTTTCCCCTCTAGAAAATATTCAAAATCTGGCGTGCATTTCCAACTTATAATACATCTTAGTTTGGACTATTCGCATTTCAAGTGCTCAGTAGCCACCTGTGACTAATGACTACCATATTGTACAACATCGCTCTAGAGAGATCAGTAGAAAGCTGAAACCTGCCTTTTATATAAGCGTCCCATAGGTTTGCTTTGATTGATTGCATTTTTTTTAACTTTTAAGTCCCGGGATACATATGCAAGATGTGCAGGTTTGTTACATAGACAAACATGTTTCATAGGGGTTTGTTATACAGATTATTTCATCACCCAGGTATTAAACCTAGTATCCATTAATTATTTTTCCTGATCCTCTACCTCCCACTCTCCAGCCTCTGATAGGTCCCAGTGTGTGTTGTTTCCCTCTATGTGTCCATGTGTTCTCATCATTTAGCCCCCATTTGTAAGTGAGAATATGTAGTAGGTATTTGGTTTTCTATTCATGTGTTAGTTTGCTAAGGATAATGGCCTCCAACTCCATCCACGTCCCTGCAAAGGACATGATCTCATTCTCTTTTTTTTTTCTTTTTTTTTTTTTTTTGAGATGGAGGCTCGCTCTGTCGCCCAGACTGGAGTGCAGTGGCGTGATCTCAGCTCACTGCAAGCTCCGCCTCCTGGGTTCATGCCATTCTCCTGCTTCAGCCTCCCCAGTAGCTGGGACTACATGTGCCTGCCACCATGCCCAGCTAATTTTTTGTATTTTTAGTAGAGATGAGGTTTCACTGTGTTAGCCAGGGTGGTCTCGATCTCTTGAACTCGTGATCCACCTGCCTCGGCCTCCCAAAGTGCTGGGATTACAGGCATGAGCCACCGCACCTGGCCGATCTCATTCTTTTTTTATGGCTGCATAGTATTCTATGGTGTATATGTACCACATTTTCTTTATCCAGCCTAACATTGGTGGGCATTTTGGCTGATTCCATGTCTTTGCTATTGTGAGTAGTGCTGCAATGAACATAGGCATGCATGTGTCTTTATAAGAGAATGATTTATGTTCCTTGGGGTATAATACCTGGTAATGGGATTGCTGGGTCAAATATTATTTCTGTCTTTAGGTCTTAGGAATCACCATGCTGTCTTCCACAATGATTAAACTAATTTACACTCCCACCAACAGTGTGTAACTGTTCCTTATTCTCCACAACCTCACTAACATCTGTCATTTTTTGACTTTTTAATAATAGACATTCTGACTGGTATGAGATGGTATCTCATTGTGATTTTTATTCGCATTTCTCTAATGATCAGTGATGTTGAGCTTTTTTCATATGATTGTTGGCTGCATGTTATGTCTTCTTTTGAGAAATTTCTATTCATGTCCATTACCCACTTTTTAATGGTTTTTTAATAGGGTTGTGTGTTTCTTTCTTGTAAATTAGTTTAAGTTCCTTATAGATGCTGGATATTACACCTTTGTCAGATGTATAGCTTGCAAAACTTTTCTCCCATTCTGTAGGTTGTCTGTTTACTCTGTCGACAGTTTATTTTGCTGTGCAGAAGCTCTTTAGTTTTCTTAGATTCCATTTGTCAATTTTTGCTTTTGCTGCAATTGCTTTGGCATCTTCGTCTTGAAAGATTGATTGCGTTTTGGACTTAAGCCCTCCCTTTCTTTTAAGGGATGCTATAGGGAGCATTCATATGTAAAAATAGGCCTTTGTGTTTACTGTGAGGATGTTGATCCTTGGATTATGCAGTGTTCTGGCAATAAAAATCCTGGAGGGAAGTATATTTCTGGTCTTTCAATCTAAAATAGTTTGCCTTGTTGGTTTGCTCTGATTTTCTGCACATTATAAATTGTGTAATTAATTTTGTTTCTAATTTTTCACTGGTCTACCAGAAATATAAAACCAAATTTGTGGCCCACACACAGCATGAGTATAGGATAGCATTTCCCAAAAAACAGGTTTAGTTTGTTACTAGCTTGCAAAAAGCTAGGGTTATTTGAAACATTTTGTGAAATGCTGCTGCAGCTGATGGAACTGGTCACATCCAAAGGATTACTCTGATAGCGATTTTTTGAAAAAACAACAGAGTAATGGAGTGAGGAACTAGAGGTAGAACAAGAGAGCAGCAAGTGTCATTGGGGTGGGGGTGGGGGACAATGGGCAAGTCTGGGCATCTGGTCTCACAGACTTGCCCACCTCCGATCTGGACACAAAGAGCTTCTCAGTCGGGAGATTTAAAGACTCCCGGTGTCGCTCATCTGGAGACGGTGGTGACTGCCCCGCTTCTGTCCCTGACCAGACAGTGGTGGCCTGTACTGGCTGGAGAGAAGAGAACCCTAGTGGCCAATGCCAAGTCGTCTTAGGAATCAGGGCCACGCGGGTGCCAGCGCCACCGAAGGTCTGCACTTTCCTCGTGAGTTTCCCGCGGCAGGTGGGGCGCTCCCTCCAGCTCCCTCCAGCCAGCTTCGTGCCTTGGGGGATCCTGTGCAGTATTTCACTTGGAATCTGGCCAGCATTTGTTTTCCTCGGCAGTTCAGGCCACCTAAAAAATGTTGAATGCCCCTCCAGAGTTTTTGAAAAACGTCGGCTACCTTTAGCTTTGAGTGGGTAAATGAAAGGTGCAGGTAGCCATAAGAATTGTGAATTGCAGAAGGCCTTTTTCTTAGACACTTCAAACTCGCTGCTACCTCCAGAGTGTGCCTTACTCCATCCAGGGACATGGATGAAGATCCGCTTCCTTGCCCCGCCCCACCTTGTCGCACCTCGCCGGTTCCTTCAGTGCCGGCAAGAGGGAGACCGATGACCTTTCATTGCCCTAAGTGGAGATTTTGGCGCCTCCGCGCCGTCACATCAGCTCAGTGCTATTCCTACCGGACATCCCCTGGCGAGGGGTCGGAGCGACCAAGGACAGGCTCTCGCTGGCACTCAGGTTGGGTTCTCTCTGGCTGGGGTCGTCACACACGGGAGGAATAGGCTGTTGCGGCCCCGCGCGGGGCTACCCTCACCTTGTCGGATCCTTCCCGCAGGCTGTGTGGGTGTGAGGTGGCTCCCGGTCCGCCTTACCCTAGGCCACCCGGGACTCACCGGTGGGTCACCGCTTGGGGGCGATGCTCCATCCATCAGTAGAGAGGGCCGGGGGCGCAGCGGGGGCGGCCAGGCAGCCAGGGGCGGCGTCATGGATGGGGTGCTTTGAAGAGAGGGAATCCTGAAACTTGTGGTGGTGCCACCTGACCTGCTCCACCCAACTTTCCCTGGGTCCTAAGGTCCAAACGCTGGCGCCTGGGCAGGAATGAGAGGTGGCCTCGAGTTGCGGTTGGGCCAAAGGACAGCAGAGTGTGCGCTAAGATCCTGGACGCCGGAGCCAGACAGCCAACTTTGAAATGCATTTTTGAGCTATTTGACCTTGGTCAAATCTCTTAGTGTCTCCGTCAGTTTCCTCGCCTGGAAAGTGGCCATGTAAGAACCATGACTACCGCATAGGGTCGTTATGAAGATTCCCATGTTCACAGAGTGCTCAGGACAGGGCTTGCTCAGAGTACTGTTGTTACATAAGTAAAGCGGCAGGAAGGAGGTTGGGGAGAAGACTGGGAGAATACCAAGGATGACTCCAGCCTATCTTCCTCCCTGGACTAGCCAGGGCAATAAGATAAGGAGCCATCAGGGTGTGGGGATTCTGAAGATGAAGATAATCCAGACACATATACAAAGAGCTAAAGTGCAAACCGCAAGCATCACAGGGGAATCGAGAAACCCTTGTCCAGATCCACTTGAATGGCCATGAAATATATGCAAAGTATGTCAGATTCACAAGAAATTAAATTCACGTTCTCTTTTTGTCATTAGTTTACAAAATGGCTGGGCTAGCACTTGGTGCACATATGGGTTTTCCTTTTCTGCTGATTGTTTATGAGAACATTCAATGAATAATGGAATGTCCACTCAGCAATTCTAGTCTCTTCATGTGATTCATCATCCAAAGCCAGACACACTGGAGGGTGAAAGGGGGCATTAAAATTATGAAATCTTTGAAATATTTATTTTTGATTGAAAAAGTGTTTTATTGTACTAATGGACTTATAAAACAAAATAAGTAGTTCTTTAAAAATAACTACAAAATAGTTCTATTAAAACTATTTCCAAAAATATAGTTTCTAAAATGTAAAAATAAACATCTGTACAGTAAATAAAACTGTAGAATTCTGAATAATTATTCATGCTACATATTCACAAACTTTAATTCGTTTCTTGGCCTTATTTCTAATATTGTGCCACTGGCATTTTTCTGAAGAATAGAGTTTTTTCAATTTGATTTTATTAATTAAATTTTTAAATAATATTGCCTGCAATCTTCTTCAAAGTTAATTTTTATGGTTAATCAATTTAAAAACGCTGGTACCTCCCATTTTATCTTACTAGGGCTGCCATAACAAGTACCTCAGACTGAGAGGCTTAAACAACAGAAACTTATTTCCTCACAATTCTGAGGGCTAGAAGTCCATGATTAGAGTTGGTTTCTTCTGAAGGCGTCTGTCCTTGGCTTATAGACAACCACCTTCTCCACGCGTCTTCACAAAGTCTTCCCTAGGTGTGTGTCTGTGTCTTAACATCCTCTTCTTATAAAGACACCAATCGTACTGGATTAAGGACCACCAAAATGACCTCATATTACCTCACTTATCTCTTTAAAAGCCATATCTCCAAATACAGTCACACTGTGGTAGTGGAGGTTGACACTTCAACATATAAATTTTGGAGGGACATAATTCAGCCCATAATACCTTCTACTGATTGTCTTTGTAGATCAGAAAATTTTTAACTCAAAAACTTTAATCGAGAAAAAATATCTCTACAGATGCTCAGAGCAAGTTCTGTCAAATGTAGGGTATTCTCAGTTCTATTTTTTCCATTAAAATGTTGAAATATTTCAACTCAAATGTTTCACAGGTGCTCTGTTTGCCTCCGTCCAGAGCTCCTTGCTTCAACAAACATCTTTACAAGAGGAAACTTGTCAAGTAAGTTATCTCTATGACTCTTTGAAATGTCTCACCAGATTTAGATGTTGCAAGATCATAGGTCTCTTAAGTTTCTTTCCAATCTAATATAGCAAAAAATGTATCTGATTAAAAATAATATCTTATAAAATAGTTGCTCCATGAAAAGATTCTTCCCAAAAATTGAAACATTATAAATTGCAATTATAGAATTTGTATATTGTATAGCATTAGAGCACTCCTTATTTGATTCGTTCTTGCCTCTTTCAAAGTTTCACTATTTGCAACATTCTTTGTTCAATATCAACTTACTAAAATGTCCTAAGTTTAGAGCATCTTGGAGCTTCATTTGCTGAATACTTTGATGAAAAAATGTATAACTGCTCATTTGAGATGAAGGCAGAGCAAGATGGCCAAATAGAAGCCTCCACTGATTTTCCTCCCTGCAGGAACACTAAATTTAACAACTCTCTAAACAAAAAAATGCCTTTATAAGAACCATAAAATCAGGTGAGTGATCACTGTATTGGGTTTTATCTTCATGTCAAGAAGAGGATAGGAAAGACAGTCTTGAATTGCCAACACCACCCTTCCTGCATCCCCTGGCAGTGGCTACATGGTGCGGAGATGGAATCTGTGCACGTGGAGGAAGAACACAGTGATTGTAGGACTTTGCACTGGAACTTAGTGCCAACACTGGACAGAACTTAGCTGGCACCCATGAAGGGGACATTTATTTAGACAAGCCCCAGCCAGAGGGGAATCGCCCACCCCAGTGATTGTAGCTTCAGTTCAGCAAACCTTGCCACCATGGGCTAAAGTTCTCTGGGGTCCTAAAAAACTGGAAAGGCAGTTTGGGCCACAAGGACTGCAACTTCTAGGCAAGTTCTGGTGCTGTGCTGGGCTCAGAGCCAGTGAACTTAAGGGACATGTGATCTAGTGAGACACCAGCCAGGGCAGCTAAGGGTATACTTGCATTACCCCTCCCCTAACCCTAGGCAGTGCAGCTCAAAGCTCGGAAAGAGACTCCTTTTCTCTGCTTGAGGAGAGGGGAGGAAGAATAAGGAGGACTTTGTCTTGCAACTTGAATACCAGCTCAGCCACAGTAGAAGAGATCACAAGGCAGAGTTCTGAGACCCCCTTTCCAGCTCTAGCTCCCAGATAACATTTCTAGACACACCCTGAGCCAGAAGGGAGCCTGCTGACTTGAAGGGAAGGACCCAGGCCTGGGAGAATTCATTACCCACTGACTGAAGAGCCCCTGGGCCCTAAATAATTGGCAGTGGTACCCAGGCAAGTACTCATTGTGGGCCTTTTGTGAGACTGAGGGCCATGCTGAATTTAGGTGTGTCCCAGCACATTCCCAGCTGTTATGGCTACAAAGAAAGAGGGCCTTTCTGCTTAAGAAAATCAGAGGGAGTAATAAACAGAACTTTGTCTTGCAGGTTAGGTACCAGCTCAGCTGCAATAGGCTAGAGCACCAGGAAGGCTCTTGGGGTTACCAATTCTAGGCCTTAGCTCTTGGATGGCATTTCTGGACCTCCCCAGGGCCATAGAGGATCCCACTGCTCTGAAGGGTGAATCTCAGAGTGAAGCATTCATCACAAGCTGACTGAAGAGCCCTAGGGCCTTAAGTGAACATCAGTGGAAGCCTGGCAGTATTCCCAATAAGCCAGTGGTGATGGTGGCCATGGGGAGAGACTCCTCTGCCCATGAAAAGGGGAAGAGAGGGAAGGATTTGTCTTGTGGCTTGGGTGTCAGTTAAACTACAGCAGAACAGAGCATCAGGTAGATTTCTAAGATTTCTGACTCCAGGCTCTGGCTACCAGACAGCAGAGCTCAAGAGAACTCACCACCCTGAAGGGAAGAACACAGCCTGGCTGGCCTTGCTGCCTGATGATTGCAGAGCTCTAGGGCCTTGAGTGAACATAGGCAGTAGCCAGGTAGTGGTAATGATGGGCCTTGGGTGATACCCAGTGCTGTGCTGACTTCAGGTCTGACCCAGCACAGTCCCAGCGGTGGTGGCCACAGGGGTGCTTGTGTCACCCCCTCCTGCAACTCCAGGCAGCTCAGCACAGAGAGAGAGACTTTGTTTGTTTGAGAGAAAGTAAGGGAAGAGAAAATAATCTCTGCTTGGTAATCTAGGAAATTCTTTTGGATCTTATCCAAGACCAACAAGATGATACCTCTACAAGTCTACAAGAACCACAGCTTTACTAGGTGTGGGATGCCCACCAATGCAGATGTGACATCAGTGAACAAAAACTTAGATCACAACACTCAAATCCCCTCAAATACCTGGAAAGCCCTCCCAAGAAGGATGGGTGGGAAATAGCCCAGACTGCCAAGACTACAATCAACACCTAACTCTTCAATGCCCAGATACTGACAAATATCCACAAGCAACAAGATCATCCAGGGAAACATAACCTCACCAAAAACATGAACACTAAATAAGGAACAAGGGGCCAATCCCAAAGAAACAGAGATTTGTGATCTTTCATACAGAGAATTCAAAATAGCTGTTTTGAGGAAATTAAAAAAAAAATCAACATAACACAGAGAAGGAATGCAGAATCCTATCAGATAAATTTAGTGAAGAAATTGAAGTAACTAAAAAGAATCAAGCAGAAATTCTGGAGTTGAACAATGCAGTTGACATACGGAAGAATGGATCAGATTCCCTTAATAGCAGAACTGATCAAGCAGAAGAAAGAAGTAGTGAGCTTGAAGACAAGCTATTTGAAAATACACAGTCAGTGGAGATTAAGAAAACAAAACAAACAAACAAAAAACAAGAAAGAATGAACCATGCCTACAAGAGAGCTAGAAAATAGCTACAAAAGGGCAAATCTAAGAGTTACTGGCCTTAAAGAGGAGGTGGAGAGAAATGTATATTAATGCATAGAAAGTTTATTCAAAGGGACAATAACAGAGAACTTCCCAAACCTAGTGAAAGATAGCAATATTCAAGTACAAGAAGGCTATAGAACACCACACAGATTTAAACCAAAGAAGACTATCTCAAGACATTGAATAATCAAACTCCCAAAGATCAAGGGTAAAGAAAGGATCCTAAAACAGCAAGAGGAAAGAAACAAGTAACATACAAAGGCGCTCTGATATATCTGGCAGCAGACTTTTCAATGGAAACCTAATAGGTCAAGAGAAAGTAGCATGATATCTTTAATGTGCTGAAGGCAAAAAAAAACACTTTTATCCTAGAATAGTATATCCAGCAAAAAATCCTTTAAATATGAAGGAGAAATGAAGACTTTCTCACATAAATAAAAGCTGAGGAATTTTATCAGCACCAGAATTGTCCTACAAGAAAAGCTAAAGGGAGTTCTTCAATCTGAAAGAAGAGGGCATTAAAAAAAACAAGGAATTATCTGAAAGCACAAAACTCAATGGTAATATTAAGTACACAGAAAAACACAAAATAGTATAACACTGTAATTGTGGTATATAAACTACTAATATCTCGAGTAGAAAGACTAAAAGATGAACATTTCAAAAACAATAACGACAACTTTTCTAGACAGACAGTACAATAACACAGATATAGAAACAAGAAAAAGTTAAAAAGCAGGAAGATGAAGTTAAAGTCTGGTTTTTGTTAATTTTCCCTTTGCTTATTTATTAGTTTTGTTTATATAATCAGTGCTAAGTTGTTATCAGTTTAAAATAATGAGATTTAAGACATTACTTGCAAGCCTCATGGTAGCCTCAAATAAAAAAAATACAGCAGATACACAAAATATAAAAAGCAAGAAATTAAAAATACCACAGGAGAAAATGACCTTCACTAAAAGGAAGACAGGAAGGAAGGAAAGAAGTAAGAGGAGATCACAAAACAGCCAGAAAATAAATAACAAAATGGCAAGAGTAAGTCCTTACTTATCAATAATAACATTCAATGTAAATAGACTAAACTTTCAGATCAAAAGACATAGAATGGCTGAGTAGATTAAAAAACAAGACTCAATTATCTGTTGCCTACAAGAAACACACTTCACATATAAAGATATACATAGACTGAAAATAAACAGATGGAAAAAGATATCCCAAGGAAATAGAAACCAAAAAAAGAGTAAGAGTAGCTATACTTGTATCAGACAAAATATATTTCAAGACAAAATCTATAAGAAGAGACAAAGAAAGTTGTTACATAATGATAAAGGGGTCAATTCAGCAAGAGGCTATAACAATAATAAATATACATGCATCCAACATTGGAGCACCCAGATATGAAAAGCAAATATTCTTAGAGCTAAAGAGAGAGGTAGACCCCAATACAATGACAGCTGAAGACTTCAACACCCCACTTTCAGTATTGGAAATCAACAAAGAAACATTGGACTTAATCTGTCCTATGGACCAAATGGACCTAATAAACATTTATAGAACATTCCATTCAGCAGCTACAGAATACACATTCTTCTCCTCTGCACATGGATCATTCTCAAGGGTAGAGCATATGGTAGGACACAAGTCTTAAAACATTCAAAAGAATTGAAATAATATCAAGTATCGTCTCTGAGCACAATGGAATAAAACTAGAAATAAATGACAAGAGGAATTTTGGAAACTATATAAACACATAAAAATTTAAAAATATGCTCCTGAATGAACATTAGGTCAATGAAGAAATTAAGAAGGAGATTAGAAAATTTCTTGAAACAAATGATAATGGAAACACAACATACCAAAACCTGTAGGATAGAGTGAAAGCAATACTAATATGGAAGTGCCTACATTTAAAAAGTAGAAAAACTTCAAATAAACAACCTCACAATGCATCTTAAAGAATTAGAAAAGGAAGAGAAAGCCAAACCCAAAATTAGTTGAAGCAAAAAAAAGTAATAAAGATTAGAGCTAAAGTAAATGGAATTGAAACAAAAAATACAAAACATCAGTGAAACAATAAAAAGTTGTTTTTTTGAGAAGATAAACAAAACTGACAAACTTTTAGCCAGACTAAGAAAAAGAGACAAAAATAAATAAAATCAGAGATGCAAACAAAGGCATTGCAACAAATACCACAGAAATTCAAAGCATCATGAGTCTACTTTGAGCAACTATATGTCAATAAATTGGAAAACCTAGAAGAAATGGATAAATTTCTAAACACATACAACCTACAGAGGGAAACCATAAAGAAATCCAAAGCCCTGAGCAGACCAATAAGAAGTACTGAGATTGAGGCTGTAATAAAAGTCTCCCAGCAGGGAAAAGCCCAGGACTCAGTGGCTTCTGTATTAGTCAGTTCTCACATTGCTATGAAGAAATACCTAAGACTGGGTAATTTATAAAGAAAAAAGGTTTAATTTGCTCATGATTCCACAGGCTGTACAGAAAGCATGAGGCTGGCATCTGCTCAGCTTCTGAAGAGGCCCCAGGAAACTTACAATCATGGTGGAAGGCAAAGGAGGAGCCAGCACATCACATGGCCAGACCAAGAGAAAGTGATGGGGAGTTGCCCAGCTCTCTCAAGAACTCACTCATTATCATGAGAACAGCACCATGAGAAAAATCAGCTCCCGTGATCCAATCACCAACCACCACCTCCAAGACTGGGGATTAAGATTTGACATGAGATTTAGGCAGGGACACAGATCCAAATGATATCAACTTCACTGCTGAATTTTACCAAACATTTAAAGAGGAACTAATAATAATCCTATTCAACTATTCTGAGCAACAGAGGAGGAGGGAATAATTCCAAACTTATTCTATGAAGCTAGTATTACCCTAATAACAAAACCAGACAGACACATCAAAAAAAGAAAACTGCAAGTCAATATCCCTGATGAACATTGATTCAAAAATCCTCAACAAAACAATGGCAAATTGAATTCAAAAATACATTAAAAAGATCATTATAACCAAGTGGGATTTGTCTCAGAGATGCAAGGATAGTTTGACATATACAAATTCATCAATGTGATCATCCATATGATAATTTCAACTGATGCTGAAAGAGCATTTGATAAAATTCAACATCCATTCATGATTAAAAAAACACTAAATAACTGGATATAAAATAAATAGACCTCAACATGATATAAGTCACATACAACAGACCCACAGCTAGTATCACATTGAATGGGGAAAACTGAAAGCCTTTCTTCTAAGATCTGGGACATGACAAGGATGCCCACTTGCACCACTGTTATTCAACCTAGTACTGGAAATCCTAGCTAGAGCAATAAGACAAAAGAAAGAAATAAAGGGCATCAAAATTGGGAAGGAAGAAGTTAAACTATTCTTCTTCACAGATGATATAATCTTATATTTGGAAAAACCTAAATACTCCACCAAAAACTATTAAAACTGAAACAAATTCAGTAAAGTTGCAGAATTCAAAATCAACATAACAAATCTGTAGCATTTTAATATGCTAACAGCAAACAATATGAAAATGAAATAAAGAAAGTAACCTCATTTTCAGTAGCCATAAATAAAATAAAATATGTAGGAATAAACTTAACCCCAAAAGAGAAACATCTCTACAATGACAATTGTAGAACATTGATGCAAGAAATTGAAGAGGAGATAAGAAATGGAAAGATATTTCATGTTCCTGGATTTGGAAGAATCAATGTTGTTCAAAATGTCCATACTACCCCAAGCAATTTATAGATTAAATGCAATCCCTATCAAAATACCAAAGACATATTCACAGAAATAGAAAAAAAATGCTAAAATTTATGTGTAAGCACGAAAGACTGAGAATAGCCAAAGCTATCCTGAGCAAAAATAACAAAACTGGAGGAATCACATTATCTGATTTCAAATTATACTACAGAGCTATAGTAACCAAAACAGCATGATACTGGCATGCTGACACATAGACCAATGGAATACAATATCTAACCCAGAAACATATCCGTACATCTACAGTGAGTTCCTTTTTGACAAAGACACCAAGAACATACACTGGGGAAAGAACAGTCACTTCAATAAATTGTGCTGGGAAAACTGGGTATCTATATGCAGAAGAATGAAACTAGACCCCTATCAGTCACCATATACAAAAATCAAATAAAATGGATTAAAGACTTAAATCTAAGAACTCAAACTATGAAACTACTAAAATAAAACATTTAGAAACTCTGTAGGACATTGGACTGAGCAAAGATTTCTTGAGTAATACCCCAAAAGCACAGGCAACCAAAGCAAAAATGGACAAATGGGATCATATCCAGGTAAAAAGTTTTCGCATAGCAAAAAAAAAAAAACAAAAACACTTAACAAAGTGAAGAGACAACTCACAGAATGGGAGAAAATATTTGCAAACTATCCATCTGGCATATATATATAGAAGAAGCTCAAACAACTCTATAGGAAATAAGTCTTTTACTAATAATTCAATTAAAATGAGCAAAAGACAGAAATTCAAAAGAAGACATAAAAATGGCAAACTCGTGTATGAAAGGTGCTCAACATAATCAATCATCAGAGAAATACAAATCAAAACTACAATAAGATATAATCTCACCCCAATTAAAATGGCTTTCACCTAAAAGACAGGCAAGAACAAATGCTGGCACATATTTGGATAAAAGAGGATGCTCATACACTGTTTGTGGGAATGTAAATTAGTACAACCAATATGGATAACAATTTGGAGTTTCCTCAAAAAGCTAAAAATAAAGCCGCCATATGATCTAGCAAACTCACTGCTAGTATATACCCAAAAGAAAGGAAATCCATATATCAAAGAAATATCTTCACCCCTATGTTTATTGCACCACTATTCACAATAGCCCAAATTTGGAATCAACCTAAGGGTCTTTCAACAGATGCATGGATAAAGAAAATGTGGTGCATATACACAACAGAGCACTATTCAGCCATAAAAAATAATTAGATCCTGTCATTTGCGACAATGTGGATGGAACTGAAGGTCATTATGTTGCGTGAAATAAGCCAGACACAGAAAGACAAACTTTACATGTTCTCACTTATTTTGGGAGCTAAAAATTAAGACAATTGAACTCATGGAGATAGAGAGTAGAATGATGGTTACCAGACCCTGGAAAGGATAGTGGGTGGGTGAGGGAGAAGTGGGGATAGTTAATGGGTACAAAAAAATAGAAAGAATGAACAAGATCTAGTATTTGATAGCAAAACAGGGTGACTATAGTCAATAATAGTTTAATTGTACATTTAAAGATAACTTAAAGAGTATAATTGAATTTTTGTAACACAAAGGATAAATGCTTGAGTTGATAGACACCCATTTACCCTGAGATGATTATTATGATTATATGCGTGTAACAGAATATTTCATGTACCCCTAAATATATACAGCTACTATGTGCCTACAGAAATTAAAGAAGAAAAATTTATAATAATTTTGAATAAAATGCAACCAAACTTAGAAGACTTGTGTACCAAAAAAGTTCAATACTATCGTGGGACACTTCAAATTAATTAAAAAGTAATTCTTCCATGACTCAAACATTTCTAAAATCCTATTGACAATAGGCAGCAAGGAGAGAAAGCACATAGTGCCGTGATGTGTGTTGTCTTGTATTCAGTATCAGTGTTGTTAATAAAATTTTATAGATCAGTTACTCTATGTATATAAAAATACCTAAAAATTTGACAATTTTTATTTTGAATGGTAAAATATCAGTTTTGGGGACATATAGAGTGATTTATAGCCTGCAACCAATTTTTAGAACACTTCTGCCCTATATTGTTTTAATTTAGAAGAAAATACACTTTATTGCTTTTCATAATGTTATGCTTCCATCAATATTTGAATTCATATTATCACCATAAAAATAATTGATTTTCAATGCTGAACTTCTAAACTGAATCTACAATAGCTTTTACAATGATGTCAGATGTTTCATGCTGCTATGGTTCGAATGTGTCCTTTCCAAAATTCAGCTGTTGCCAATGTGATAGCATTAAGAGGTGGGGTATTTAAGAGGTGATTAGGCCATATGGGCTCCTCCCTCATGAATAGGATGAAGGCCCTTTTTTATCATTATTATTATACTTTAAGTTCTAGGGTACATGTGCACAACGTGCAGGTTTGTTACATAGGTATACATGTGCCATGTTGGTTTGCTGCACCCATCAACTCATCATTTACATTAGGTGTTTCTCCTAATGCTATCCCTCCCCCAGCCCCCCACCCCCTGACAGGCCCCAGTGTGTGATGTTCCCTGCCCTGTGTCCAAGTGATCTCATTGTTCAATTCCCACCTGTGAGTGAGAACATGTGGTGTTTGGTTTTCTGTCCTTGTGATAGCTTGCTGAGAATGATGATTTCCAACTAGGATGAAGGCCCTTTTCAAAGTGGCTTCACGCAGCAATTCAGCTAGCTTGCCCTTCTGCTTTCTTGCCATATAAGGATGCAGCAAGAAGGTCTTCATCAGAGACCAGATACAGTCACCTTGATCTGAGACTTTCCAGCCTCCAGAAATGTGAGAAATAAATCTTTGTTTTCTATAAATTACCCAATTTGCAGTATTCTGCTATAGCAGCATAAATGGACTAAGACATTTAGAAGGAATACTGTTTTTACATAATGTTATGTTCCATCAATATTTGAATTCATATCACTACAAAATAATTAATTTTAGTGTTGAACTATTTAACTGAATTTAAAATAGCATTTATGGTAACATCCAATGTCTCTCCTTTAACGAAATGAACTACCAAAAAGCTTTATTTTTATTTCATAAGCTGTGTGAAAAAAAAATCCAACTATCCCATCATTATTTGAATAACTATCTTATCTGATTTTCTATTTGAAATATCTGATGACATTGATATTAACTTGGTATTATTTAAAAGCTTGGAAAGTTGTTCTGCAAATAGAACTTCACTTTTATATATGCACACACACAGATATAAAACTTGGAATAGAAAAAGAGAAAAGTTAATTTGAAGCATCAGTCACTTGATCTACCTAAATGAAAATTTATGTTTCACTTAGTGTCTTAGTCCACTCAGGCTGCTGTAACAAAATACAATAAACTGGGTAGCTTATAAACAACAGACATTTATTTTCCCCAGTTCTGGAGGTTAGGAATCCAAGATGAAGAAGTGGGCAGATTCAGTGTCTGGTGAGGACCCACTTTCTGGTTTATACATAAAAGCTTCTAGCTGTGTCCTTACATGGTGGAAGAGGTTTGCTAGTTCTCTGGGTTCTCTTTATAAGGTCCCTAATTCTAAGCACCTCCCATAGGCCTCATTTCCCAATACTATCACCTGGGGGTTAGGATTTCAATGAATTTGGCTAGGGACACAAACGTTCAGACCATGGCACCTAGTGATATAAATAATACCTTTGGCAACTACTTTTGTGAAATCATCATCTTTAGGCAAAATCCTCTTAAAATAATGATTTCTTTGAAGTAGATGCTGATGCTTGTTCAGCAGATTCATGTCTTTTGGTTTTCATGCTATATCAAACAACCCCATGGTGGTTGGTAAATGTCAACCAACATCTTATGCAAGTTGTACATAAGTTATACATTCACCATCAACTTTCTTGGAAAATGGAAATTCATTACTTAATTTTTTATTATCTAGACATTTGAAATTTTAAAGCTCATTGCTGACAAAAGCATTTATTTGCAAAATAAAAAGTGTTACCAAACAATAAAATAAATAAGTGGTTGTAGATTTATACTACACAATAGATGATAAAGCCCTTGTAGGAAGAGCATTCAGACTACTCTCTACAAACTCAGTGGAATGTCTTCTTAGTTTCTATTAATATTTCCCTGTTTATATTCCACATACTCTTAACCTATAATTACCCACTCATCCTACTGACATGTGGCCTGATGGCTTTATGCATCTCACAGGCCATGGCACAACTGGCTGGTCCACAAAGGGGTTGGCAGGAGCAGCAGTCCCTCACCAGTCCTGGAGACCAGAGGTGATAGCTATCTCTAGCTACTTCCGTCCTAGTGCACATCAGTTTATTAGCAAGCACCCAGCAAGTAGTCATTGAAAGGGGGCTGTAATTTGTTTTGTCAGAAAAGGGCCAGGAAAGGAGAGGGGTTATCTCTGGTAAATGTTCAGATTTAACCACATATTAAAGAACTCTGTTTATGAAACACGGCAAAAAGTAGTATAAAGTGGAAGTGTATAAATTCATGTCATATAACTTCAATACAATAGTAATAAAAATACTTTATAATAAAAATTTTAAACCCACACAATTGCTAAATGAATTGGACACTGGAACAATAGTTAACCAGGACTTTCCCGAGCAAACAGAGATGTATAGACATCCTGCTTATACTCCAGCTAGCCAGATGGGAGGGACAAAATAAACTTCTGGGGATTCTGCTTATGACTGATTATGACAGTTTTGTCAAAAGCGTATAATCCACAGACTCCCTCCCTATCCACCAATAAACAAGTTAAGGTGGCTGGACAAAGAGGTGTCTCCCTTGCTTGGTGAGCTGCATTTTTCCTGCCTTCTGCAGCATGGTAACTGGGGAAAAAGCCAAGGCCAGGCTCTGGAGGTGGTAGGAGAAAGAGGACCTCTGACTCCTGCTGTAATGTGGTTTTTCTTCTAGCTTTCTTATTGCCTTCCCTAAGGGAATCAAAGGGTACGTTGCAGCATGGTGTGGCAATAAAATGATAATAAATGAATTTGTTTTGGAAATGAAGTAATCTTGAAATCATCGGCGATGGTCTTTTTTCCTAACCTCATAGGTGTGGAAGAGGTGTGTGTAAACTAGCCTGTGGTTAGCCCATCATGCTTTGTCTTTAAAACACAGGCTTTCTTAGGGTTGTTTGCCATGGAGTTGGGAAATGAGTAAACTTCGTGAAGAGTTCCTAAAGAGGGTGGATGCCGTAAATTAAGTGTTCCAAGTCCAGCCACTCTTCTGGGTCCTTCCGCAAGACCCTTTGAAGGCATATTTGTGAGAAAGAATGAGGCTTTATTTTCTCTTGTTCCTTAGAGCCTATTTCCTCTCTCGTCCTGCTTCAGGAGGGGCCAGAGTGCCAGAACTTCCCATAGAGATGCTCAGAGAGGTCCCAGGTACCTGTTCCTCCTTCTCTCTCAGCCTCAATGTTTGGGCATCTCCTGGGAGCTTGTGGACAACGAGGATTAGGGGGTGGCAGTAGGTTGTCTTTTACTTGCAGGATAGTATCACACAGATTTATAAATCAAAACAGACAACTTGGCATTCACATGCAAAACTTCCCTTTAATCATCCTTTAGTCTTACAATCTCCAAGGGACCCAGCAGGTGAATAGCTTATGCCCAGTTACAGCAAGAGCAGCTGGTATCAAAGACCAGGCCTTCCTGACAAGCCTCCTCGTATGTGTGCTCATCCACACAGTTGTAGAAAGCATGCTTGCTGGTGGGACTAGGATACAGACCTTTGGACTTCCCAGTACAGAATCCACTGCCACCTGTGCTGCCACCCCCAGGTGCTGCAGTGATGATGGGGGCCAAGCTGGTGCCCAGGATAGAGGTGGGTACTCTGCAATCTGAAGAGAGAAGGAAAATGGTCCCCATAAGCTCAGGAGAGGACTCCTTTCCCAGGATGAGTGTCATGTCTGTAAGGTCACTGTGGGTTTCTCTCAGTACACATCCTACCTAAACCAGTGGTTTAATGCTCTGAGCCTGAATCGAGGATACCCAAGTTCATAGCCCAGCTCTGCCATGAGCTATGTGACCATGAGAAATTCATTAACACTTCTCTGAGCCTCAATTTCCTCTCTGAAATGATGGCATAATTGTATTATCTCTTAGAATTATTAGGTAAAGCATTTTCCAATGTGCACGCTATATAACATAGTGAGTACCACATAATTATTAGCTTTTATTTGTAAGTAAACTAATACAGCTGGCACCAAGAGTGCCTATGAGAATTATACGAAATCTAAAAGAACCAGCAGGCTTGACACGGAATAAAGATCCAATCATTAGCACTAGCTTTTTCCGCAGCTTCCCAGCCCCTCTTTCTTCCTGGACTTGCCCTGTTCTCGGGGCTGGGATAGAATCATGTGTTGAGACCATCTGTAGCTCTGCTCCCCACTTCAGGAAAGATGCTAGCTGAGCCCCTTTAGAGTTCTCCTTCTCTCATTCCTTTCCTCATCTTCTAAGTTTTTAATCCCTCCCTTGCTTTTTTTTTCCTCTGACCCACAAAGTTCATAAAAGCTGGAGCCGAGCAGCAGTGACAGGGAATACGGTGTTTTTGTCCCCTTCCCTACCCAGGCTCCAGCATGTTCAGTTTACTTTATAGAAGCTTCCCTGAGTAGCTCTACAGAGGAGAATCCTCCAGAATATTGATAGGTCCCCTTTTACTTGCCAGGGCTCTCACTCATGGCCTGCCCTTTAGTAAGTCCACTGGGTCTTGCTTTCTGGGTCCTAAATGCAAGTTCCAACTGGACACACTAAGACAGCTGGAAGATCTGGAGGAGGCCTTGTTTGAGGTGAGACTGGGAGGAGCTCTGGTCTTCTCTTCCTCTTAACCATGTCTAGTTTGTTATCTCATGGCTGTTAGGTCATCACTACTTACTGGGTGCGGAGACACCAAGCGCGGATTTGAGTGCATTCATGAGAGGGTATTTGCCTCATCCACAGAAAGTGCCTGTGAAATTATCCAGGTCAATGGCCCAGACAATGGCCCCTCCAAATCTGTTCTTTAGGAGCCACTAAACCAGAGGAAGAGAACCAGGGGGATTCTGGGCTGTCCTTGCACAAATGCAGGGAGTAACTCCAGCAGGATGGCAGGAGGACCATGATCTAGTCATGGAGAGGAGAGACTGGGGGTGGGTTTTGAGGAGGCAACTTTGAGGAATTCATGAACATATTTGTATGTACAGGACTGTAGGACTAAGTCACAGAGAATGAGTCTTGGCCCCAAGCAGCTCTTACCCCCTGCCCTTTGTTATCACCAACCACCTTCTGAGAAGGCACCTCAGAGCTGGAGTTTGGGTGGGTTGAGTGCTATAGAGATATAGGGCCCTTCACAAAGCAAAGTACCTGGGCAAAGTGAGAGGGCTCTAGATGGAAGGTGTAGGGTGAAGGGCCCTGGGATTGATAAACAGCAATTATGTCCTCCCCAGACCTGAGCATAACCTCACAGACCAGAGGCTCTATCGCCTCCCGATTTGGGCTCAGCCTGTGTGAATTTGCCATGGGCAGGAGATAGGCAAAGGAGAGCAAAAAACTCTGTGGTCTACACTTTGTCTTTGGAGTGGGGAAGAACACCTGTATCAAGAAGCAGGAAGCATGAATCAAAGAGCTGCATGAGGACCAGAGAAGAGCAGGGGAGGGGGCCAAAGGAGAGTCTCCAGGGGTGGGAAGAAGGAGAAAGTGCAGGAGTCAAGGAAAGGAAGGAAAAGGAGGTGAAGGGGTTGCTCCAACTGTCAGGCTCCGTGGCTGGGTCACTGGCTCACCCTGAAACTTCACAACCTCTCTGTGTCTCTCCTCACCTCCCTCAGGGGTCTCCTGGGATTGCAATTCAAGGGCAACTGGAGGGTAGGTCCCCCAACTCTCCCCAACCATGCATTAGGAAGAGTGTGGAGGGCCTTACCTTGAGGGTGAAGCTCTTGGAGTTGTCGTACCTGATCCACTGGTTCCCCTTGTAGACATAAGGCACCTCCCAGGGGGCATTCCACACCTAGGTGGCTCCTTTCGGGAAGGAGTAGAACTGGGGCAGGTACAGAAGGAGCAGTCATAACTCAGATTGGCCCTGCTGTACTCAGGCCAATTCTCTGTCCTCCCTCCATTTCTTTTCTAAGATCCTCATCCCAGCCCATTCCCCTTTGCTGGAAATAATAGAAACTGGTTCCAGTGTCACCCAGCTCCCTGCCCTGCTTTTGTCCCATGGGACAGTGGAGTGCTCTAGCTAGAGAGATGAGACATGAATTCAGTCCTTTGTCTGCCAATAACCTCATGTGCAACAATGAACAAGCAGCTTCCTTATGCCTTGTGTCCTGGTTTCCTTTTGAAATGAATTTGTTCCGTTTGAAAGAGTTGTGTCTCAAAACAGCTAATAAGAGGACAGTATAGCATAATGGGTAAGGTCTGAGATTCTGGAGCTGGACAACTTAAGTTTGAATCCCAGCTCTGCCACTTACTAATTCTGTGACCTTGAGCAAATTACTTAACCTCTCTGTGCCTCAGTCACCTCTTGAATAAGATGGGGAGAATGCAGTACCTTATTGTTTGTTAAATGAGATGATATATAAAAGTCACTTGGAGCACAACCTGGCTCTCCATTTGCACTCAGTAAGCATTAGCTAGTTCTAATATTAAAGATGCATGTTTACTTTAAAAGGTTAACATTTAAGATGTTTTATCAATCTTTCACTCTTCCTTCCTCTCACTGCCACATATATTCAGAGCAGTCAGCAACAGGGTACCCTCTACTGGAAATCAGAGTGTAGACTCTCTCCATTGACTTATCTTCAACCTTGAGAACAGAGAGAGTGGGTCCTCTAGGCCCTCTGAGGACATTACCTCAAAGTAGGCAAGGGTTCCAGCCTCCTGTGTATAGGGCCCAGAAGTCCCAGGGCCAGAAGTGGGAGCATCCAGGCCATGATTGGCAGGATTACTGAGAGTGAAGGTGTGAGCATAAGCCCCAAAGCCCACCATCAGCTTCTCAGCAGAGGCACCTTGGCTCTTCCAGTAGTTCATTGCCTAATCCTGGAGGCAAGATGAGGAAGATATCATGAGAAAGCAGCTGAGTATGTACCCAGAGGCCTTGGAACAGCCAGGTTTTCTGCCTAATTCCCTAGTATCTCCAGGTACAGCATCCAGTCAAACCCCTTCCACAGTCCAATCTCATTGAAAGGAAAGGAGTGCTGCCCCTTCTAGAATGGGTGTTAAGAGAGGTTCATTGCTTTAGTAGCAGGGCCCAGTGTTAGCCAGAGATCCTCTTTTTCCTCATACTGGAGTTCATCTGGGGCATGACTGGTGTTCAGCCATGCATCCACTTGTCTTCCAAATGGGCTTACTACAATGCTGAGAATTGTTCGTGCATGGAGCATCGACTGGGAGATTTTCCCATGTCAATTTTTAAATCCCTGGTTGAAATCTCCACTGAAATGACATCTAGCCCATTTACTCACCTACTAATCATTAGGCAGACTAACTATTACAGCTGCCTAAACCACATAAATTAGGAAGAAAGAGGGTGGAAGGGAGGGAAGGAAGAGTGGGAAGAAGATGGATCATGAGATGTGCTCCTAGCATAAATGGAAAATATATTTTTTAAAATTCCCCAATGTTTGGGATTATCCCAAGCCACTATTCTGCTTCCTTTTTTGTGAAAGATGAATGGATACAATCAGTCACAGGGACAGGGAGGTAGAGAACATGAGCTGTCCATCAAGTTTCTTGGTCTCCTTTGCAGTCTGGGGCAGGGGATCCAGTGACAGGCTTTGAAGATGTCTGTTAGGACTGGCTTCCTCACTCACCATATAAAAGTATTTGTAGTCTCCCTGGTCATTAGGTCCTGCAAGTGGGGGTGTCCTCGCCTATGAAGCCCTCCCAGGAGCCCCTTAGGTCATAGGTCATCAGACTGATGAGGTCCATGTACCTTAGGTAGCTGGGAGAGAGAGCAAGAGGAAATAAATGACCCAAGGGAAATCATTCTTTCTAACCCACTACCCCTAACACTCCTAGTCCCAAATCGGCTGATTGCAGATTTGACAAACAGCCAAATCTGCTGTTTGCCACTATGCAATAAAGTTTCCCTTATGCATTGTTATTCTTTATTCCATTCTCCCTCACCTTCATCTCAAGAGCACCTGGAATATAAAAGGCACCCATTCCATGATCACTATCTGGTTACACTCAGACCTTCAGGACTTGTAGAAGCTTGAGACTCAATTAACCTTCTCCAAATGGCCGTTTGCCCTAGAGAACCTTGGAGATAGACTTAGAAACAAGGCCAGCATTCATACTGTCTCCCTCTGCCTCTTCCTCAGGAATTGAGGTCATTTCATTCCTCTGAGATAGAGTCCTCTCTATCCTGGGTACCTGAGCATTGGTCACTGGTATCTGGGCATTTGACAATGCCCGGGGAAGGTCTAAGGGTCACTTAGCTCTGAATATGAGCTCCTGGGTTTGCTTACCTCGACATCTCAGGGATCTGGCAGGCAGTCTCAATGGTACCTTTGCCAGCTGACACAGCAGCAGACATCAACAATCTGGGCTTTTTGCTGCGGGTAGACTCTTGCTCAAAAGCCTCATACATTTCCTGTGAAACAGAAGACACTGAACACAGGCTAGAGGGACAAGTGGGCATGTGACGAGGTCACAGCTCTTATGAAGAAAGCTGCAACGTGCTCGGTTTAGAGTCCTTTGATCCAAAAGCTGTTGTTGGTATCTGGGGATAACAGTAAGCTGTCTTCCGAAAACTTGGAAATGAGGGAAATTCGGTCATCCTCTGAAAGTTAAATTTTAAAATAAACAAATAATGTCCAGAGTAGAATTTTATTTTAAAAGGAGGGAGATTGTATTAAAGAGACAAAAATGGCCTCCAGCACTGCAAACTGTATATGTGATTGCATCTAATCATCAGAAAAAATGGAAGAAGGGGAAATAAGAGCATCGAAGCTAACATTGGTGCTCAAAGATATACTTCTCACTGCCAGTCGGAGTTTTCCCCAAAAGAGAGATCTGCTCTTACACTAAAGAGATGAGGCTGTGAGCCAGAAAGGGTGAGATCCACACCCCTGGCCAGCATATATTCAGCCTCTCTCAGAACCCCTCTCCAGAACTCCCAGCCCGCTGTGGGCCAGATCATGTATTCTTTGGACACAGTGAGGGTGAGACACCTTCAACAGGATGGTGAAGAGCTGCTGGGTGTCAGCTGGGCTGCCACGATTGCCTGGATACTCCCAATCAATGTCCAGCCCATCGAAGTTGTACTTCCTCAGAAACTGTATGGCTGACTGCATGAAGGTCTGGCGGTTCTCAGCAGTGGCCGCCACATCAGAGAATCTGGAGTCAATAAGTCATTGTAGCCTAAATCACAGTAGCCTAAGCTCCTGAATACTCTGTCTTGCCACTTATCCGCCTTACTATTTGCCTGGACATACATTCAGTTATTCTGTCATCTATTGTCATTTACTGTCATTCAGTTATTCTGTCATTTATTAACATTGCTGGGATAGAGTGGTGAATAAAATAGTTTCTGCCCTGGAGGAGCTCATATAGAGGAAGGTATAGATAAGTAAATGGAACTTAAAATACAGTGTGGTATAGGATGACTATATAGTTAACAATAATGTATAGTTTCAAAGGGCTAAAAAGAGGATATTAAATGTTGTCAACACAAAAAAATGACAAATGTTTGAGATGATGAATATGCTAATTACCCTGATCTGATCACTCTACATTATACATATTGAAACATCACTATGTATCCCATAAATATGTACAGTTATTGTATGTCAATTAAAAAACTAAGTTAAAAATAATATAACAAAAAATCATGAAATGTCCAATTTAAAAAAATAGTGTGGTAAGAGCTATGATGAAGGAAGAGCAGACTTCAGGGAGACCTGGTCAGAGAAGAGTTCTGGGATGTCTACACTGGGGTCTGAGGCCCGGGGTTCACTCACTTTAGAGAAACTTACAGTCCTTGGAGCTTGGAAGAGACTGATTAATCTGGAAATGATTCAATCCTGAATGCTAGGTCTTATCCCTGGGATCCAAAGTTCCAGCCACCAATAGACAGCGAGGTTTTCAGTTCTGTGTTGCTGGAGATAAAAAGATACTAGTGTAAAGAAATTCCACTTGAAACGAGCTGTCATTTGCCAGTCGGTCCCTCCACCCTCACATTCCACACAAGGCCTTTGTGTTGGGAACAGAGCTCTCTGTAGGATCAAGGGGCCCTTGTGCCATGAGTCCTCCAGGGCACGCTATAAATAACTCATTGAGTAGGTTCTTGCTCCCATCTCTGCCAGTGGGCTGATGGACCCTGGTGCAGAAGGGAACTTCAGGGAAGAAAAGACAGGGCATCCTGGGGAGGATGAGGGAGCCAGATATCAACCCCTCAGCACAGAAAGTAGATTGGCTGGAGCTTCCGGGATACACAAGGCCAGAAAGCTGGAAGTCTGAGTCTAGGAGAGAGCAAGGAACACCGGCAGTGGAAGCATCTACCATTTACTGAGTGCCTGCTAAATGCCAGGTACTTTACACGCATTGCTTCTTTAATTCTTATAACCCCACAAGGCAGAAGCTGTTAATATCATTTGACCTTTAAGTGGTATTCAGAGAGATGAAGCAACTTGACCGAGATCATCCAACTCGTAAGGTGGCAGAGCCAGGACTCACACCTAAGTCCTTTATACCATGGTCCTGTGAGCTCGACTATAAAACCTACCCATTGGATTCCTGATGGGACAAAAGCATCAACTTAGCTGATAAGGTGATCTGGCCTTCCTGGGTTCTGTGGGCTAGGGAAAGCTTTTAACCTCCCTATGACTCAGTTGCCTCAACCTTAACATGGTTTTAATATGCCCACTTCATTGCATTTAATGTGTGGGTATATAAAATAATAAATGAAAAGCACCTTGCACACAGTAGTTACCCAATAAATATGCTAAGCATTTAGCTGGTGCAATTTTAGGTTAAACTTTAGGTTAAATTGGCAGCTAGTTGATAGGTTGTTGTGGGGCTGTACAGCAACATGGCAAACTTCAGGGGATACTATTCACAGAGAATCCTTTGTGGATGGCACCTCCTGTGACACACAGAATAGGATGCTGGGGAGTTGAATTTCTTGGAGAAAAGAATCCAGAAAAATGACAGCAACCTGCCTCTCCTGGGGAGAAGGATGCTGAAGGCTCTACCAATGAAGCACGGCATGAGAGTGACTGTGGACAGCATTCAAAGGCTAAACATTCTGCTGTTGGTATCTTTTGGGGAACCCTCTCATGGGATACTTACCCAGCTGCAGCAGGAGGGCCAGACCTAAAGACAAAAAGATCTTGGTCAGAGGGTGCCAGGGTCATCCTGTCTCTGGCTGGGAAGGGGCAAGCCTATGGCAGCCATGGCCAGTAAATGGGGAAAGGGAGATGGGGCTTGACGCCCCCTCTGCTCTATAAACCCTTTCCCAACATAGGCTACTGTATGACATATTTGGAGCAGGTGGCTAATGTAGGCATTCACTTGGCTACCCGGAAGCTCAGGTGATGGTGTGTGACTCAGGAGCCAGGAGGATGTGTTGTTATTCTTTCAATAAACCTATATTAATTACTGGGTGGTAGAGATCAAAAAACTACATAGGCAGGGTCCCTCCCCTCAAGGAGCTCACAGCCTGGTGGAAAGTCACACCTGTAAGCACATAGGTGCAATGCCATATGACAAGTGATAAAATTGAGACACAGAGGTCAGGGAAGACTTCCCAAGAGAGGTGACCTTGGGACTGGAACTCCCTGATGTCCCTCTAGGCCCCTTTGACATCTGTGCTTATCCCCATCACAGCCCTTACCACACTGAAAGATGATTGTTTATTGGTCTGCCCATCAGACTGTGAGCTCTGTGAGGGCAAAGACTGTGCTGACACGGCTGAGTCCCCACTACCCAGCACACAGTCAGCTCTCTATCAATATGTGTTGAATGAATGGACCCTAAAGATAAGCCAGATTGGTGGGGAGGGGCACAGGAGGCATAGAAGGTGAAGAAAGGGAGATTTCAGGCAGAGGGCCCCTTCCCATAGCAGTCTCTTCACCCTAGAGCTACAACTCATCTTTTCCAGGAACAACTACACTCTGCTTTTCAACTCAGATGAAGTTTTTAAATTGTATCCTTTTCCAAGCCACCCAAACACACCCTGGATGTGCTGTTGTGCCATCCCAGTGATCACCCTTATTGGGCTTCTTTCTACAGTTTGGTCACTCTCTCTGGGAAACAAGTTAGCCATGGGGGAGCTGCATTAACTCTTTGAGGCCTTTTCTTCCTCTCTCCCAAACCCCCTCCTATGCACCTGCTCCCAGAGTTCTACATTCAGAGAAACATCTGTCTTATTCATTTTTCTACTAATTGCTCCTGGTAGTTGGTTAATCTTTGATTAAGTGAGTGTCTTGGGCTCCTGCTCTGTGGCTGGCACTGAGCGGGAATCACAGAACACTGGAAAGGGGTTGGGGTGGGGGCTGGCCTAAGTCTTCTATTATTTCACGTGGTGGAAATGGCCTTGTCCTGGTCTGCCAGAGTTATCCACTTTCCCTCCAGTATGAAGCCCTAAGGTGCTCAGTGAACTCTTCCTTACTTCCCCACCATGTTATGAACTCAAGAAGGCTGCAAGAGACGGAGGAAGGACAGAGTGCAGGCCTTTGGAACATAGGATAGGGGAGGAGACAGCAAGTGAACTGAGGAGAACAGGCAGCTGCTCTGAAAGCTAAACTCAGCCTGCCTGGGAAAGACTCATCAGCAAGAATCAGCAGCTTGCCCATTTTTCTGGGAAGTCCTAAATGCAAGTTCCAGGTCTGAGTGGGGTACTCAACAGCTTTTATAGGGAGCATGCAGGCCCTCTCATCCTGCACCTGACCCCCTTCAGCAGGCATGATGGGAGATCAGGAATAAAGGGATAGGGGTGGCATACGGCTCCCCTTAGCTCTCTGAATCTTATCTGTGTTTTCCATCTTGGGTAACCAACCCAGGGACACATGGGAAGGCAGCTTTAAAAGGCTGTTGACTGAAAGTTCTTTGAGGAAAATGGCATATTTGGCACACGTATGAGGCTGACCTAGAGTCCAAAGTCATTTGGGGTCAGAGTAGGTCCCATGTGTCCAAAGAGACCAGATGGATGCTAGCAGAGGAGTATGGACAAAGGACATCAAATAACCATTTGACCGCATTCCTGGATAAACCATCCTGGGTGGGTTTATCCCTGCCCAGGCCCTAATACCTTGATTCTATTATAGCAATAGATTTGGGTAGTGGCTACAAGAAGTTTGTGAGTTCTATCAAGTTTGGCATGAGAAAGCATCATTTTCCAAGGTTGTTTCTGTTTATTCAAATGTTGTCTGGTTTACAGAGGACAGAGAAAATTCACCTGGGACAGACATTTCTAATTATGCTTTGACTCAGAAAGGAGAGGCAGCAAGCCCTGGGACAGATCCCGGGAACAATGTATATCAGAGAAAAGACAGCTGCAAAAATGCCCAGGGATCAAGGCTTTGAAAATCACAATATTTTAGGACCCACCTCCTTCCACTCCTTCCCCAGTCTTACTACCCATACATAAAGGGATGCCACCTACAGGAAGCCCACCATGATGCCACATCATAGGTTTCTAGACCATTTCTGAGGGTCCCTCTGCCCCAGAAGACAACGAAAGTACCAAAGATGTGATCTGCTGTCCTCCAAGGCAGGCCTTTTTAAAAAAACCTTTGGTATTGACATTAGCCCCGAGGCATCGACATAGCCTAACTTAAATGAAATCCCATCTAGGAGAGAGTCTTGCTGCTGGCTCCACTCCCAGTATATGCCAAGATACCTCCTTCTTAAGAGATCTGCCAGGTACATTTTCAAGATTTTTCTGGGAGATGCTACTCAGACCATTGGGATCTTTGAGGCCGGATCCGTTTAAAGGCAAATTAGATTCACAAAGAAAACAGAAATGGGTCCTACCAACTTTAGTACATGTGTATGGTTGTGCAGAGCTGATGGCATTTCCAAAGCTATTTATTACCTAAAATCTGTCCCCATCCTTCCCAGGCTTTTGACTGTTTAGCTTCTGTCTGAACACTAGAAGAATGTCAAAAACTGGAGGCATTGACTAACTAGAACTGGAGCAGTGTTGAACACAATAATAGCGAACATTCATTCAGCACTTACGATGTGCTAAACGCTTCATATGTATTAATTCGTTTATTCAAAACTATCCCTTCAGGAAGATGCTATTACTGTCATCTGTTCTACGTATTAGGAAAACTGAGGGACAGGAGACTAAGCAAACTGCCAAAGATCACACCGAGAAGTAGCAGAGCTGTAATCCAAGCGGAGACCAACTGGGGCCTGGGTTCTTACGACCTCCTGACTCTCACCCATACTGCCCCTGAGCAAGTCTAAGATATGGTTCCTCCTTGGCATAAGACTCTTAGCCTACAAAGATCTCCTCAAAGGGGTTGTAGTGGGTAGGGGTGTAGGGGAGAGGAAAGGAAAGTAGCGGAGAGGAGAGGAGAGGAGAGGAAAGGAAAGGATGACCAGAATCCATCCCCAACCCCAGCCAAACAAGGGGCCTTGATTTCCTTAATCTTCTCCTGGATGTTTGCAAAACAAATGGTTCTATCCTCACAGTAAGCATGAGAGAGGGCTCCATGAGTTCACGGCTTAGAGCCCAAGACATAGACCTTTAATGGGCTCTTAGGCTCCATGCAAGGCCAAGGTTAATGTGTTGGGCAGCTGCCCATACTCTCTCTTGTGCCCGTTACAGCAGCTGGATAATGGAAGTGTTAAATTAACTTTGGCCTGAGGTTATCTCTGTAGTTTGAGTCCCTCCTAATGATCTAGAACCTAATGTAGTATGTACATAAACTGAAACCTAACTTAGAAGTATATTTTTTTGTAACAGTAACCAGATCTCAGCCAATCAGAGGCAGCCAACTGATCAGACCATGTTTAAATAAGGCAAACTCCTGGCTGTGACCAATTAGACTATTTCTCTACTTTCTCTTCTGTCTATAAATACTCATTCTCCATATTGCAGAGGACAGCTCTCTGAACCTCTTCTGGTTCTGAGTGTTGCCGAATTCATTGAATCATTCTTTGCTCAAATAAACTCTGTTGGATTTGTTTTATCTAATGTTTTCCTTTTAATGGAAATAATAACAAACACAAATAGTATTTGTGATGTGTCGGGCATTTGCCCAAATGCCTTACAAATATTAACTTACCTAACCATTATCATATCCCTGAGAGGTAGATATTGTTATTATCCCCACCTTAAAAATGAGAAAGCTGGGGGCACATAAAAGATAAATAACATGCCCAAGGTCACATAGCCACTAGGTTGGTAACAAAGCCACTGTGTGTGAACCCAGGAGATCTGGCTCCAGACTATGTTCTTAATTACTCTGATCTTCTGCTTCTTGAGAATTCAATTACCATAGGAAGCAAAGTTAGAAAGCCAGAGTTAGAAAGCCAGAGAGGTGCCCAAGCAATTTCTACCTTGTAGTAAGAAGATCTGAGCACTGGAGCAGCATTCAAGGGGACCTTGGGGACTAACTTCCCTTAGTATCTGTCAGTGCTTGCCATTCCCATTCTTTGGTATGTACGTCTGGGGTTTTCCATCATAATAGGATATTCAAAGCAGTTTTGAAAAAAGTCTCCTAGTATTCCCACCTTATGCTGCTTTGATCGTGTAGCCACCTCTAATGCCCTCCTCCACGGACATTCTGGTGCAGCCGCCTTCTTGGATTCAGTCTAGTTGCCACCACTTATCAGACATGTACCCTTACAATGATGCCCCAGTTAGCTCATCTGAAAATTGGGTTTATTATCACTAACTTCACAAGCCATGAGAATTAAATATGTGCATGAAACTGTTGTTCAAAGGTCAGGATAAAAGTGGCTTTTCTAGACGGAAAAGATTGGAAGAAATTGGGAAAATGGGGGAAAACAGTTCATCCTAAAATTAAGGAGTCTGACACCGGAATCAGTCTTAGACCTGGTGCTGTGAGCACCGTGCTTTAGAAAAGGGGTTGGCAAACTTTTCTGTAAAGGGCCAGAGAGTAAATAGTTTAGGCTTTGCAGGCCATACCATCTCTGTCATACTTCTCAACTCTGCCATTGTTGGGAGAAAGTAGCCACAGACAATATGTAAAAAAAACTGAGTGTGGCTGTCTTCCAATAAAATTTTATTTACAAAAACAGGCAGTGGGCTAGCTTTGATCCATGGGCCATAGTTTGCTGACCCTCCTTTGGAGGGTCCCACTTGGGCCCTCTTCCAGTTGCACCCCTCCCCACAAGGTAAGGAGACTGCCAGGCTAGGAGCACATTCACCTAAAGCTCACATACCTCCTCTTCTAAATCATGATCCAGACATCCAGCATTTCTACCCAAATAGCCAGAAGAGCCTGTGCGCTCTCTCAGAGCCTGCACATGACTTTTCCCTGGGCCCATCTTTACTGAGAGTGGACCACAACGCCGGTGTGCACATGCATAGCCCAGAGGCAGGTGTATGTGTGTGTGGGTGGGTTTGTGTGTTGGAGGTTGAGGGTAGAGGGTAGAGTGCAGATGAAGCTTGGATACAAAGCCTACAATGTCCACAAGTATGCCCATGAGGCTCCTACTGTGAGAGACAGAGGCAAAGATGGGAATTCTGGTGTGGTATTCTAAGGAGTCTGAGAATTTTAAATTTTCAGGTTCTGACCTTCTAGGTGGTTGCAAAGTTGTATGTGTTAATGTTGGAGCATAAGTCATATTTTAACAGCATGTTAGCTGTTTTTAATATTTAAACATGATATGCAAAACTTCGTTTTCACCCTAGCTCTGGATCCCACAAATAGCAGGGACAGAACAACCTGATATCACAGGGTCAAGGACTGAATAAATGAGGCCATACTTACTGGAGCAAAATGAATTTTTTTTATTGTACTTCAGGGCAACAAGTCAACAGCTGCAGGAAAACAAAACCAGGTCCAATCTATGATCTAAGAGGAAGTCAGGAAAGGCTTGGAAGAGAGATCCAAAGGCCAGCCTGGCAAGGGGAATCCCACATGAGAATTCCTGGGAGAGAGCAGGCCCCAGGCAGCAAGGTCATCTTGCCTGCTTCTCTGTAAGTTAATCCTGGAAACAAAAGGAAAAATATTTCAAAGCCCAACTCAGTAAACTGAGGCCTAAGTCAAGTTACTAAACAATGGATGCTCAGAGTTGGAAGGCTGCTACCCAATTATCTAATCAGGAGTTTTCAAATGGTTCTAGGCCCTTTGCCAGGATAGCAGAGCCAGTCTTTTAGTTGTCTGTCTGCAGTGAGCCCCAGCGCCCTGCTTCTCCACCCTCTGCCCTAGAACCAATGTATCACAGCATAACTGTTTGGTCAGCAACAGCCTTCATCTGCACAGGAGGATATACAACGCACCTAGGGAACTGGGGGCCCAGGGATGGAGCAGCAGCAAAGCCACCGACCTTCAAGGTAATAGGGAGGCTTGGGTAAAGGCGTAGCAATAATGACCATGGGAGCTCCCAAATGTCTAGACTAAGTAAGATCAACTGTGGGTGGGGGAAAAGAGCCTCAGGTAATGAGTGAGATGGAAATTATCATCAGTCCAGTGAATTGAGGACATAGAGTCAGATTTATTGTGATTTAGAAAATTAAGACAGGCTGATGATTTTGTAACCAAGAATTGTGGTGGTGTCAATATTTATCCCTAATATATATGTAATGAAAGTCTTTAGCTCATACTATGCTCAATAAATGGTAGCCAAAATTTATCAATATTATTATTATTACTTTAAAAGTCTATGGGAAGCCTATGAAAAGGGCAGAACCAGCCTAATTGCTAAGAAAACATGGCAGAAGAGCCAAAGGAGCATGAGAAAGGATTAGTCCAAATATGTGAAGATGATCTCCCCCAGTCTCCTGTGCCCTGTTCTGCCCAGCTGTCTGCCCACTCCCAGCTCCAGCCTGGACTGTTACCTTCACAGGGAGCCAAGGCTTCTCTTGACTGCTTGGACAAGAGGGTAAGGGCCCTGGTTGCAGGATTTGCCAGTGAAGTCATCCATGTCAATAGACCAGATCATGGCTCCTCCCAGGTTTAAATTCTTTAAGAACTGAACCTATGGGAGACACAGAAGGATACACAGAGATTCGAAGGGTGGCCCCTAAATGCCCAGGACCATATCAGGTTCAGATGAGGGACTAAGCTTAAAATACAGCAGTAGACTAACTGGTTTTCTGGAGTTAGAGACTTCCTGAGGGGTAAGATTGCTCAGGGAGAGAGAGCCACCAAATCAGCATTAGCTACATCTCATTCTGACTTGAGTCACCACACTCAAGGTCCGGCATTCTTGGAGGCTGAGAAAACTCTCCATAATAAGGGAAGAAACTAGGAAGCCCTTAACAAGACAAGTGGCCAGGATTGTCAATTACACTCAAGCCTCCTTTTTGTTCTAACCATGAAAGGAACACAAATGTCTTACCAAGGTCTAAGAACTGGTAGGCTCAGGAATCTGGAGCCTCCTAGCTAGGTAATCCATGAGAAGGACTGAACAGTTTGTCCCGAGATAATTAACAAAGTAGATTATCTATACAGGCACCAACGTCTCCTTTATTCCCTCTCCCTTCTCCTTGCCTTACTCTTCTCTCCACTCCTCACTTATCAGAATAAACTTACTTGTTCTCAATTCTTTTTTGCGTCCTTTCCAACTCTTCTACCTGTACCACAGCTGCTCGCGGGTGTGACATAGAGTCACTACTAGACTTGAGCTATAAAGGCTGCTGGATCCCATCCTAGAGTCTGGGGCCTCAGAAGCTTCTCTCTTTGAACATAGAGTATTCAGGCATTTTACTACATATCACCATTCCCCACCTAAAGGAGTATCTGCCTGTGGCCCACCTACCTTGGTCTCCATACTCTTCACATCATCATAGCCCACCCACTGGTTCCCCTTGACTGCGTAGGGAACCTGCTGATCCTGGAGCCGCGTGATCTTGGCTCCTTTCAGGAACTGGCAGATCTGGCAGGGGAAAGGGAAACGAGAGGGTCAGTAATGGGTTATTCTTGAAACTTGGTTGGGGTAGACAGGGCAGGTGAGCCACTAGGGACTTGGGGAAAATATCAGAACCTTTATCCCAAGGATCAGACAATGAGAGAAATGACCACATATATCATATGAAGTGGGTGTTCCAAGGTGAACCTCTAGGAAGTGTCTGTGCTAAAGTCTCATCAGGAGGAGACACAGCAGCTAGAAATCAGAAAATACTTGAGTTCCAGATCAGACCCCAGCACCGACCAATAAATCTTCCAATTTCTTCATTTGCAAAATGGAAATAATTATAATAATGCTTTCAACATATCTACCTTACAGTGTTGTTGTTAGGATCAAATGAACTAATACACATTAAAAAATTTTTTTGAAAACAGTAAAGTGCTCTACTTCTAAAGTGAAGTATTATCATGACCATCACCACTATTCCTCATCTTGTAGCATCTCCACTTAAATCTTATTACTCCTCCTCTGTCCCGTCCCATATCCAATATGCCCTGTCCTGGGGCTCCCCTTCTATCATTAGCTATATTCTTTCTGTTAGCATAAGGAAGAGCTCTAAAAAAGATAAATCTTCAATTAAACAATGCATTTCAACATCACATAGAAAATCCATTTAGGATTACTCTTTTTGGATGAACTACATTCGTGCTTACTACAATGAGGGCAGAAAATGAAAGTTGAATATTTAAGCAAATATCAACCTGTCAAAGTTATAATGACCTAGAGTCATTATGAACTGAACAATCAAATCAAACTTTCCATGAGATGGGAAGTGCATATCTAGTGGTTGATATTATAACCCTACCAGGAGATTCTGAGCAATGACCTCTCTTCTCCCTTATATTAAGAGTGTTATTGCTATCAACCTAGAACTACCCAAGGATGGGTCAGCCTCTCTCCCACTTCCTATGTATCAGGCACCCTGAGATTCAATGAGGACTCTCACAATGACCCATGTCCCATTCTTGTTGCCAATTGAATTGATGATGTGCCAATCATTCCTATGTGTAAGATGAAGGGAAAAATTGAGCATTACACTGAATGGGTACCTTGGTGGGTGCCAAGTCATTCAGCATGGGCCGATGGCATGTTCACACTCACAATGAGAGGTCAGGCTGGGACTCCAAAGATAGACCAGGATATAGAATGATATTTTTTTTTCTCTACCTGATCAAATTTCTACTAATCCTTCAAGGCCCAGCATAAACTTCTCCTCTTCCATGGAGCCTTCCCCAGTCACCCATCTCTGATCTCATGTCACTCTACACCATTCATTGGTCATTGAATCCCATATTGTTTTACAATACCTCTCTGATTTTATTAAATGTTATAGTTATCTTGTTTTTGAACTCTTGTTTAACTAGCTATGTCTGTATTTCACATTCTTTCCACCTTGACAATAACCCCTTTAGAGACAAGGATGGATAATTACTTATTTCTAGCTTTCACAGTACCCAGTGTTTGGGATATGGGAGTGTCCAAAGAGTTTCTGTTGGTTGACCTATTGTTAGATTTATATCTTCCCCTATGCTTTTTAAATAAATTTTCCCAGATTGGAGGGCAGAGAGGAATGATGGTATAATTAGCAGAACAATTTTGTTATCCCTATGATCTATCTGACAACTGCACAGAATTTGACACATTTGACCACTCCCTCCTTTTTGAAACACCTACTTCTCTAAGGTCTTTGGCACAGATCTGGGTGGGTTCCTCCTATCCCTCTTGTAGTTCCTTGTCAGTTACCTTAATATGTTCCCCTTCCTCTGCATGTCCCTCAGGTGTAGGAGGTTTTTGGGTGTGTCTGGGGCCTCATTCACTTCTCACTGTATGGTTTGGCTTCAGGTACCAGCTTTATGCTGATAGTTTTGAATCTACCTCTCTAGTGCAGACTGGCCTGCTGTGATCCAAACCCATATATTCAATGACTCACCTGTTATCTGTATGTCCCACGGGCTCCTCACACTCAGAACGTCCAAAACTGATCTCATGAGCAGGACCAATGTCCACTCTGTTCTCCCTCCAGTCTTCCCTATCTCTGTAAATGGCATTGCCATCCACTTAGCTGCTCAAATCAAGAACTTGGGGTAGTCTTCCTTTTTCAATTTCTCGCACTCTCCTCTGCCTATCCCCATTCCTGGCTAGCTCCATCTCCTCTTCAGAGTCCAGCTTATTTCACTTCCTCCAGGAAGCATTCCCTGACCCTCTCCCAACCCAGAGTTAGGAGATCCCCTCACATGTTCAGTAGTACTCTGCCCTTTCCCCTTCGCAACACTCAGGATGCTTTACTCTGCTGTCAAATTGAAGATGGAACATCTACCCAGACATGGCAGGGAGCTGAGGGTACAGGGGGTTTCCAGGTACCTCATAATAGGCCAGGAAGCCTGAAGACTCTGTGATGGGTCCAGCAGCTCCAGGGCCAGAGGCAGGGGCCCCCACGGTGGTTTCTGCAGAGGCCAGTGTGAAGGAGTGCCCATATGTGGGGATGCCCATGACCACCTTCTCTGATGGCATTCCCTTATGTATCCAGTACCCCACAGCATATTCCTAGAATGGGAAGAGAGATGGAGGCTCAGAGTGTGGGGAAAGAAAGGTGTCAGACCTTTTTTAGCCTCTATCCCAAACTTCACAGAGGTGACTGCCTGGTTTCTTTTCTACATCCGAGTGTGAACAGACCAGACCCCCCGGACCAGAGTGCTTGTTGTAATGCACATATGCTCTTTAGCAGCAAGAGGCTTATGCAACTTTTTCTAATTTCTGAAAGGAACTAGACAGTGGATCACAAAAGAAATCAGTCAAGGAACCTAGAAAACATGAAATCAAGGTTGTCACCATCTTCCTTCCCCTTTTGAGTCAACTCAAAATCCCTGTGGAACTTGTCTACACAATGGCTCTTTGTGAATACTGACAAAGGTGGCTGTCAGATTCCTAGTCCATGAGGCCTCACAATGACCTTGCACCCAATGGGACATGTCAACGTAAAGAGTCAAACTCTGTAAAATATTTGAAGAGATTTATTCTGAGCCAAATATGAGTGACGAATGGCCCATGACACAGCTCTCAGGAGATCCTGAGGACATGTGCCCAAGGTGGTCAGGTTACAGCTTGATTTCATACATTTCAGGGAAACATAAGACATCAGTCAGTACATGTAAGATGTACATTGGTTCACTCCAGAAACGCAGGACAACTAGAAGCTGCAGCTTCCAGGTCATAAGTGAATTCAAAGATATTTTGATTGGCAATTGGTTGAAAGAGTTATTATGTAAAGGCCTGGAGTCAATAGAAAGGAATGTCTGGGTTATGATAAGTGGTGTAGAGACCAAGGTTTTATCATGCAGATAAAGCCTCCAGGTAGCAGGCTTCAGAAAGACTAGATTGTAAATGTTTCTCATCAGACTTAGAAATTCTCTTCTATCAGTCTTAAGGTCTCTGTATTGATGTTAATGCTGGTCAGCTGTGAGGCATGTCTGACACCCAACTTCCCATCATGACCTGAATTAACTTTTCAGATTAACTTTGAATGCCCTTGGCCAAGAGGAAGGATTTGTTCAGATGTCTGGGGGGCTTAGAATTTTATTTTTGGTTTATAGACAGATTGGGAGGTAAGAGGCTGATTTTGGCTTTCCTGCTCTCAGAACAAAATAAAGGGTTAGAGAAGACAAAGATATGTCTCCTTATCCTTAAAGATAACTGATAGAGAGGAAGGAGTGAAGGAGGCTGATGTGACTTAGCCACATGAAGGCCTAGAAAACCCCAACCAGAAATCATATCTAGCTCTGGACCGATCCATTTTGTGACTTTGAATATGAAGGCCTGGAAACATGCAACACAGATATTTTTTCTCCCAAAATTTTAGGAATATACATCCATATATATGAAACAGCCTTTGCAAAGATTGTAACTGAGAAAATTATGACAGTGAAAGAGATCTGACCTAACTGACTCCATCTTGCTTCTAACCTCCAAGCTGTCCTTGTTCATTCCTGGGTGTAAGCCAACTCAATTTGGGAGGAATTTAGTCTCTAGGTTAGCTTTGAAACAAAGATGATTAACAGCCCTTTTTAGAAACAAACTCTCTTCTTGCCTAGAGACCAGTCTGCTTTTGTAGAACTAACAAATTAGCCATGAGATTAGAAGTTATGGTTTAGGAGTCATGCGGCCAAAGGCTGCAAGATTCTAAGCCTCCCCAAATTGCAGCTGGGAATAGCATCACTGTTGCAAAACCTAAGATCAGTGCTTGAGATATTTTGCAGATCTTGCATTCTGATGCACCAGCTGACACTACCCAGACCCAGGAATCTGGCTCAACCAGTTCTGTGATCCCAAACAAGAGCAAAAGACAGCGAGAAAAACCCACTTTGAACCCTTATGATTTCATCTTCAACCTGACCAATCAGCACTCGCCACTTTCTGTCCCCCATCCACAAAATTATCCTTAAAAACCCTGATCCCTGAATTTCCAGGGAAACTGATTTGAGTAATAATAAAATTCCAGTCTCCCATACAGCTGATTCTGCATGACTTTAACTCTTTCTCTATTGCAATTCTCCTATCTTGATAAATCAATGGGCAAGGAGAACCCATTGGGTGGATAAGTTATGTTCCAGAACAACATCAACAACATTATTTTTTTTTTTTTACTTTTCATTTCCCATCACCAGGAAGTTCACAACACACGACCTTGAAGAGTCAATGGAATCTGCCAAGCTTCTGTTTCATCATCTGTGAAGTGGGAGTAACATTTCCTACCCAGCTGACCTCATGGGGTTTTTTTAAAGATAGAATTAAATAGGGAATATAGATGGACACAGGAAGGTACAAGTTCTGTTCTCCTGTGTAGATGCCAAGAAATGTATGAAAGATGGAGAATCCAGAGAAGACTGGGATGGGGGACACTCTGAGCCAGAGACAGAGCTTAGGGCACTTCAGCTATCAGCACTTCTGATATTTTCTAGGTGACATTTTGTTGGTGCCTGGTCAAAGCACTTCTCCTGCACTCACTTGCTCCTGGGGCTACCCAATTCCCTCTTGGGCTCATAGCTCTTCCTCAGTTCAAGACAGAAGTAACTCTAGACATGCTGGACTCTCCCCAGCCCCACCCCCACAGCCAGTACCCCTGCGGTTCCCCTGGCCTACTCACCACATTGTAGTAGGAGCTTGGCCCTCTGTCCTGCCACCCCTTGCTCAGAGGGCTGTTGTGGCCAGTGATAAGGGGCTTTTCCCAAGACCCATGGAAGTCAAAGGACAGGAGGTTGATGAAATCCAGATCTCTAAAGTGCCAAAAGCAATGGGAGAGATTTTGTGACGAGCAGTGGTAGAAACAATTGTAAGTAATTGTTTTGGCTTTGAATGATGCTGCTAGAAGGATTGAAAGTCTCTGTAAAGAAGTTGTTCCTGGCTGAATGATGCAGGGTTAGGACAATGACCTTCCCTCTCTTCCTCCTCCCCTCATCCGTCAAACATGCTGATGCATCATTTGCATGGACCAAATTGGAAGCAGAGGGATGGAAAGTTGCTCTGATGTACTCACTTTGCCAGTTTCTCAACTTGATAGCTGTTATCAATCATTTGCCTCCCTGCAGATACGCCCGCAGTCAAGAGAAGCCTTTCCTTGGTGGATTTTGTGAAGTCCTTCTGAAAGGCTTCTGCTAACTCCTAGGAAAAACAAAGAAACGAGGTGCAATATTCCCCTTCCCAGAGTACAGTGCTAAGCTTCTTGCCTGGAATCTATGAGGTTTCTAGAACCACATTAGATGGAAAGGATCAACCCTTTCCTCCCCACCCCACATGGGGATGCCTTGTGCCTGTATCTGCTCAGGAAGTCTCCACATTAGGCAGGAGAACCCCAGCCTCACTCTACCCAGGAATAACTATCTTGGTTTCTACCTGATAGATTTTCAGATCTATCTGATAGATCTTCTGTGAGGCCACCTCAGTACTCAGGAAATCCTATGGCTACACCCTCTTTCATATGGATGTTGCTTTATTTTGATGTTCTTCATCAAAAAGAAGGACATCAAAATAAATGTGCAAGGGGGCTCCACTGTTTCATGTTGTTACTGCCTTAAAATAGGAATCAGGGCTTTTCTCTCATTAGTGGGAGCTTCAGAAAGGCTGGGGCTGTTAGACTCAATCTCCTCCTTTTTGTCTCCCAATGTGGCCATGGATTCTGGATATCAGAGTACTGAGTACACCGTGGCATCTGACTCACATGAATTACTTGATTCATGACTTACATGAATCAGCACAGTGAAATGAGTGTTTTCTTTCTGATCTGGGTAGATCCAGCTTACATCCAGTCCATCAAAGTTATGGTTCCTCAGAAACAGGATTATGGAGTTAATGAATTCCAAGCGTGATGTAGAAGAATCCACCATAGGGTGGAACCTGGAAAGAAGCAATACGAGTGTCTTTTTGGAAAGAACAAGTAACACTTGTAGTGTAACACATTTTTCACAGAAATCCTGAGCAGTCTTCTCTTCCCCAATATTCACTTACAATTTGTCTATTCTAATGCTTTCCCCTTTTGGAACAGACGAGAGAAAAAGGATTGTTGGGCCGGAACATTGATCCAGCCAGGTAAAGGAAGACTAGATTCTCTGCAGACCTTCCTAAGGGTAACGGAGCTGCCTTTGGCTAAGACTCTTGCCTTGACCAAACTTAGGTAGGCTTCTCTGAGCCCTCTTCTCAACTGGACCTCAATCTTGGGCTTCTGTGTCTGTCTTTGCAGTGTCCGATTCCAGAAAAAGTCCTGCTAGGTCAGTTTAGCCAGAAACCCCCAGACCTGGTACCTGATTACTCACCCCCTGCCATCCCCCAGGTGGTATCTCATCGCTCTGGCATCCTTTGGCAGGAATCCTGTTGAATCAGTTTAGCAAGAATCCATCCCTCTAGCCCCAGTGTTTCCTCTTTATGATTTTCCATCCACTGATTGCCCCTAGCGTGCTCTTTGGCTATATTTCCTCACTTGCCTTTGCTGCCTTTGGAATAGAACCCAGTACCATACTGAGGTCTTTTTCCCCGTTTCAATATTTCCTGAATAAAATCTGTTTTACTGCTTTAAATACTGTCCAGCTTTGGTTTTCTTTCTTTTTTTTTTTTTTTTATTGATCATTCTTGGGTGTTTCTCGCAGAGGGGGATTTGGCAGGGTCATAGGACAATAGTGGAGGGAAGGTCAGCAGATAAACAAGTGAACAAAGGTCTCTGGTTTTCCTAGGCAGAGGACCCTGCGGCCTTCCGCAGTGTTTGTGTCCCTGGGTACTTGAGATTAGGGAGTGGTGATGACTCTTAACGAGCATGCTGCCTTCAAGCATCTGTTTAACAAAGCACATCTTGCACCGCCCTTAATCCATTTAACCCTGAGTGGACACAGCACATGTTTCAGAGAGCACAGGGTTGGGGGCAAGGTCACCGATCAACAGGATCCCAAGGCAGAAGAATTTTTCTTAGTACAGAACAAAATGAAAAGTCTCCCATGTCTACTTCTTTCTACACAGACACGGCAACCATCCGATTTCTCAATCTTTTCCCCACCTTTCCCCCCTTTCTATTCCACAAAACCGCCATTGTCATCATGGCCCGTTCTCAATGAGCTATTGGGTACACCTCCCAGACGGGGTGGTGGCCGGGCAGAGGGGCTCCTCACTTCCCAGTAGGGGCGGCCGGGCAGAGGCGCCCCTCACCTCCCGGACGGGGCGGCTGGCCGGGCGGGGTGCTGACCCCCCCCACCTCCCTCCTGGATGCCAGCTTTGGTTTTCTTTAACACTTTACACCCTTGGAAAAGCAGTTTGCAATGTGGTGGGCTTAGGGTCAGGAGAACTAGATTCAAGTCCAAGGTTAGAGTCCTTTCTGATTGATGGCCACTTTGTCATTAACCTGCTCTCTGGGTTCCAGTCTGGCCACCTCTAAATTGGGACTGAGGGTACTAATCCTGCTTCATGTGCCTCAAGGGGATAACATTTAGGGAAGTTCCAGGAAAAAGAACTGGACTCCAGTGACTTCATGGTCCCCAAACAAGCATCCCGGCCACAAATAGGCAACGCAGATCTCCCCACCCCCGGGATTTCTGATGAAAACAGGACTTGAAATCAGCAGCTCCTCAAGGGCTTCATCTGAACTAGAATTCTGAAGCCATGAAGTTGATTCTCAGATGCCCACACCAAGGGCACCAATAGCATTTTAAACCCAAAGCTGTAGATGAGATACTGGTATTTTCCTGAGGACATAACCTTTAAGTTGTGTCACTTTTCACCTCTTACAATACCTCCCACACCCAGGCTTTCTTAGAGCCTTGAATTAATTTTGTTTTACTCAATATTAAATTGAGATTTTGATTCCTGCATGTATCTCATCTTTGAAGTTGAAGAGATAGCAAGAAACTGGCCTGATATCAGAAAACTACGGTGGAAATAGTTTTCTAGCTTTTCTCTTGCATTTGAAAGTGCTTACAATGATTAGAAAGCCATTGCACCTGAGCCTCTGGGCAGATGCCTCCAATTTTAGGAGAGCTGCCCATTCAATAGAAATTTACTAATTTGTTCCTTAGAAGCAAGTTTGTATATTACACATATATAATTATTCTGCACAGCACCTGGCACAAAGCCTGGCATTTACCTAATAATAACAACAATAATCATATAACAATGATTACTGCAACCATTGAGCCCTTATTGCACAGGGGCACTATGCTAAACAGTTTGCTTGCGTTGCCTGCCTTTACAACACCACCCTGAGGTAAATTCTGTTATTATTCTTATTGTATAGTTAAAGAAAACTGCGGCATACAGACATAAAGAACTTGACAAAAGTCACATAGCTTGCATGCATCTAAAGGGAAATCCAAACCAAACACGTCTATCTCCAAAGTTCTACTTTCAACCACTAAACTGGTAAACAATTACTTACTGAATGAATTTACTGAATGAATGAATGAATGAATGAATGCAAGAATGAATGAATAAATGAAGACATTTTTATTTGCATCAACACCTAAGCAAGTATTAGGAAGGGGAGAAAATTTGATAATTAGAAGGATGGGTGCCATGGAAGCCCATTCATATTGAAGGGTGTTCACGGAGGAGTTAACACAGAACCAAAAAAGTTAGGTAGCCTGATCTTTCTTCCTTCTTTCTGTGTGCAGAAATCTACATAGGTCTTCTAACACTACTTCTTCTCTCTGCCTACTCTGGCTGTAACTGACTTCTGACAGGTTGCACAAGTTGTACTATCAGATTTCTATAAAAACTCCAAGACTCTCTCAGCCAAATTTAAGATCTCTGGACTTTTTAAGATGTTAGCACTTTAAATAATAAAGCAGAAGAAATTCAAAATTAGATAAACTGTAGCTGAAGATTGAAAAAATGTGATATTTATCCTTATGTATTTTCATTTAGCTCTTGATGTAAATGGGATATCATTTCCATGGGAATAGAAAATATTATTTCGAATGTGTGCTTTGTATCAATAGCTATTTTGATTTTAAGCAAAGCAGGACTGATTGTTTCCTCTGCTGCTCTGATGGTGCTGAGGCCATCTGGCTGCACAGCCATGATCCCAGACATTGTACTCCACTGACTGCTATGGGCCATGGTGGGGCTTCTGAATGGAAGCAACCCATCCAACCCACCCCGGGGCACAAAGTCAAACCCTCAAGTGATTTTTAAAAAAATTGCACTTTCCAATTAAAACTAATTCTATAATCCATAAAGTGAAAAACATTCATGTAAATAATTCAGAATTTTCTGAATATTGTTCATGGCCCACTTTCTCTCAAGCCTTGAGTGTCTGGGCTTGTATTAAGCTCCAGAAGAATTCCTTCAAAGACCCCAGGAAACCTAATGCTGTTCCTCTGCTTATGACAAATCTCAGATCAGTTTTGCCACCTGGCCAAGGGAAAACCTCTTAAAGCCTAGTTTAATATCTCTTCTTAGAAGGAGGAAAAATGATGATGATCAAAAATTACATGGGGAAATGAACAAAAAATAAAGATGTAGTCTTACCCTTTGGAACCAAACAGGTACCCTCCAATGGACAAGAGAATTTTCAGTTTGGGATTCCTGAAGTAGAAGAATAAGATGATTATTTATTTTCTGGCTGCCAGGGAAGCCTTTGTCTAAAGAACAGAGTTCTTAAGTGTAGAGAAAATGGACAATTAGGGCCTGGCTGTTTGAACTAAAGTGAAGTTCAGTGAAGGGATGAAGCACTGGTGAGAACAGTTAGGATCAGAAATACACCCAGAGAAATATATAGGAATGAATGAATGAATGAGATAGTATGTCTTAGTGTCAGCTTAAGACCAGCTTCCCTCCTCTAAAATCCATGCAGGATGCTTCCACCCCCATCTTACTCACTTGGTTTTGAGACTGTTGATGGTCTGGTAGAGCATCACTTCACTCTTGTCCTTGATGATAACCTTGTTGTTTTCGATGCTGGCGAATGAATAGATGAGATGAGAGCATAGGAAGGGGTCAATATTCTCAGGGGTGAATTTTCCTGGTTCCTGCCGGTCCTGGGACCAGTTGGTAAAGTAGCAAACCAGTTTGTAGGCAGATCCTGGAGTAGAGTGAAGAGAGCCAGTGAGACTCTAGGGCTGTTGCCTTAGAGTCCAGAAAGTCACAATTTTCTCCCCAAGACAGCCATTGCATCATTTGCTCATTCTGCCAGAGCCTCTGAGGGTCATTCAGCCTGGGCCTTTAGTGCTGGCTCTTGAGTACCCAGACCCCAGTTAAGAAATACGCTGAGACTGGGCACAGTGGCTCACACCTGTTATCCCAGCACTTTGGGAGGCTGAGGCAGGAGGACTTCTTGAGCCCAGGAGTTCAAGACCAGCTCTGGCAACATAGCAAAACCCCATCTCTACAAAAAATTTAAAAATTAGCCAGGTGTAGTGGTTCATGCCTGTAGTCTCAGCTACTAAGGAGGCTGAAGTTGGAGGATTGTTTGAGCCTGGGAGGTCAAGGCTGCAGTGAGCCATGGTCACACCACTGCACTACAGCCTGGACCTTACAGTGAGACCCTGTCTCAAAAAAATTTAAAAAAAAATACATTGAGAGACAGAGATACCACCAACATATGAAACACCCATGGAGCACTAAGATTCAGTATGTATGTATGGATGGATGACACAGATCAGTAGAGAAACAGATAATACAAACATTGTGTATGTTTGTATTCACACACACATATTGAGGCCAGCTATGGGGGAGGGGTGAGAGAGAGAGTGGCTCAAAAAGAACTAGAACAAGGGATACACAAAAAGATAGAATAAAAACTCAGTGTCATAAATATGTCAGTGGCAGAACCGGAGAGAGTAATCAAGAGAAAAAGCATGTAGCAGAAAAAGAAACTGTACATCAAAAATGAAAGCACCCAAGCCAGGAGATCCAGGCGGTAGTGACTTATTGACTACTTACCTCCCTGGAGAAGCAGCAAGACCACTACACCTGCAATAGATGGGTGGAAAGAGAAATCTGTTGAGCCAAACCTGGTTCTGCTGTCCCAGATAATGGCAGTGAAAATGTGGGTGTGCTCACATACAAGATAGAGCCACACTTCATCTGGGCTCCCCAGCCACAGCTGCTGTGGTTTCTTTTTTTTTTTTTTTTTTTTTTTTGAGACGGAGTCTCGCTCTGTCGCCCAGGCTGGAGTGCAGTGGTGTGATCTCGGCTCACTGCAAGCTCCGCCTCCCGGGTTCACGCCATTCTCCTGCCTCAGCCTCCCAAGTAGCTGGGACTACAGGCGCCCGCCACTACGCCCGGCTAATTTTTTGTATTTTTAGTAGAGACGGGGTTTCACCGTTTTAGCCGGGATGGTCTCGATCTCCTGACCTCGTGATCCGCCCGCCTCGGCCTCCCAAAGTGCTGGGATTACAGGCGTGAGCCACCGCGCCCGGCCTGTGGTTTCTTTATAGGACCTTGAGGTCCCCAGCCCTGGGGTGCCTTGTGTCTCTACATTCCTAGGCAGAAACATGTTCCAAGCTGGGAATTTATTTTTTCATTCATTTATCCAACAAAGTTTTATTGAATCATATGCTCTGTGCTAAGCATTGCTCAGGACACTGGGGAAATTATAATGCAGTTAATGCCTTCCCTGCACTCAAGGAGCTCATAGTCCAGTCTGGAGTTGAATATAGGTAGGGTGACCATATAGTTTATTGTCCAATGAGACCCTTCAAAGAGTAAAAAGGAACATTATTAATAATTTCCCTAGGACGATAGCTTGAACCAGAACTATCTCAGGCAAATTGAGATGGTCCCACTATGTATAAACAATTAACTCTTAGAACAAGATAAGCAGTGTGAGCTGGCCCTGGTAGTGCTTTAAACTTATATGTTTGAAATTATGCCCAGTCTCTTCTCCATAGGACATCTACCCTAGGAAGACTGGTGAGATTATTCTATACTTAACACATCCTCCTAAAGGAAAAAAAGAGCAGACCCCTGGATCCTAGAAACTTTGCCCAATGGACAAGACTCCTGGAACTGCAATCCCCCCAGCCTGGGGATATTGTTCACTCTGAAACCTTTACGGGTCCAAAAGTGAAGAAAGGGGCAGCCAAAAAGGAGAGAAAACTTTCAATGACACAGCTGCTGGAGCTGATTCCTCCCCTGCAGAGCTTAGGGCTGGAAAACAGGGCTCTACTGTTCTCTCTTGATGACTCACATGTTTTTTTAGGCAGGGAGGTTAGGCCCTGGTTCTCCACACACTCACTAAGTAAATGGTCAGAGAAATTCTCTGTGGCACATCCACTGTCAGGTCAGCCTCCAGGCCCTTCTCCAAAGTGTGGCCTCCCTACGGGCTCTACCCTGTCAAGGGTCAGTCCAGGGCTCAGCTAAGTTCAACAGGGAACCCAAAAGGCTCTTGCCAAGTGGGGGCTTCATGGCTTGAGAGGGTAAGACAAGGTGAAAGAGGTATGGACACAAATAAATGATTTCTTTCCTCCAGCAGACATATTCCCTCCCCTCCCCTCCTGGTAAACGTCCCCCGTTCACTCATAGCCTTGTTTATTTAGCCTCATCCCCACTCTCATCCCAATTCCCAGCCACCACAAAAGCCAGAGTTTTGGATCAGAACTTTAGAGTTGAAAGGGAGAGTTTAAAAAACATTAAATTCAATAAACCATTCTGCAGATGAGAAATGTGGGGCTCTCCAAAAGTTGTAAAATATAACCACAGCAGAGCCCAAGAAAGATGTGACTCGCAATACAACGCTCATACACCAAGAGACTAAGAAAGCTTGGCCTCTTTCCTGTCTTAGCTCCAGTTCTAATGTGGACAAGAAGGACCTCTGCACAAACTGAGAACATCCTGCCAGTGCAAAGGGTTCTGGCTACTGCTGCATTTTTGTCCATTCAGGAAAGATCAGGTGGTTCCCCTACAACAGTTGCATTGGCTTGAAATTTTTTGACACTAAGGTCAACGGAAAGACTGAAGTCCCAGGAAAGGAGGAAGATTACTTCTTCTACAGACCTGTTACCTCTTCCTTCCTCACCAAATTTCCTGCTGAATTATCAACCCCATGCTCACCTGCCCAGAGAGACTTCTGGTCCATGGTGGTTGCTCCCATATCCTTGGCCAGCTTCTTCTGGGATACACATTCTCTAGGTCTTTTATCCACTGAGGTTTCGACAGCCTGTCCTACACGAAAGAAGCAAGAAGTCCAGGGACTTCCCCTGGCAGACTTGTGAAACTTCTTGGAAATGAAGCCCAGATTTGAGCAATGCCAACTCTGACCTGTCAGAAATTAGTTGCTGTGAAGTCAGCTGCTGAAGAGCCCTTTTCATCTAGTCTCACCTAAAAGGGACCCGGTCCTGGAGAAGGGAAGGAGGTGATACTCAGGCTCTGCCTCCTGGTATCACCCTCGGCCCTGAATCTCCTTCCTCATCATCCCAATCTGTCTCCTTCTTCTTGCCCCCACCTCTCTCTGTGTTCACACCACCTCTGGCTTGCTTAATTTTTTTAGAAACAGGATCTTGCTCTTGCTGTATCACCCCAGTTGGAGTGCAGTGGCACCATCATGGCTCACTGCAGCCTCAACCTCCCGGGCTCAAAGGATCTTCCCAGCTTGGCCTCCAGAGTAGCTGGAACCACAGGCATGCACCTTACACCTTGCTAATTAAAAAAAAAAAAAAAAATTTGTAGAGACAGGGTCTCACTACATTACCCAGGCTGGTCTTGAATTCCTGGGCTCAAGCGCCCCTCCTGCCTTGGCCTCCCAAAGTGCTGAGATTACAAGTGTGAGCCACCACACCCGACAACAGCTATTGTTTACCAGGCACCTACAATGACACCTTCTCTGTAGCTCTTCCCACTGTCCCCCAAGCAGAGACGAGCTGGCACCTCTGCCTACAGTGCATTCTATTTCCTTTCATTCCTTCACAGTGTATTGTGATGTATTGGTGTCTGTGTCTCCACTGTGCAAGTACAAGAAGTATGCGAAGGAAAAATTGGCCAGGAGTAGTGGCACATGTTGATAATCCCAGCTGCTTGGGAGGCTGAGGTGGGAGGATCACCTGAGTGAGCCCCAGGGGTTGGGGCTATGGTGAGCTGCGATCACACCAGTGCAGTCCATCCTGGGCAAAGCAAGACTCTATCTCAAAAAAATAAAAAATAAAAATAAAGAATTATGTGAAACACAAAAAGAAAAACCTCAACAAATGTTTGTTCAGGATCCTGCCTTAACCTGTGAGAATGGACTTGCACTCCAGACTCAAAGGCTCAGATCCTCAGGGCCTTGCACATCTCCCTACCTATCTCCCAGTGCCTTTTTCATAACTGACTCCTCGGTGTCACCCAAAATGTACATGTTGAAGCCCTAAGTCCCAGTGTGATGGTCTATGGAGAAGGGGCATTGCGGGTAATTAGATCATGAGGGTAGAGTCCTCATGAATGGGATTAGTGCCCTTACAAGAATAGACACAGAAGAGATGATCTCTGTTTACCATGGGAATATGCAGCAAGTAGGTGGCTTTCAGCAGATCAGGAAGAGGGCCATCACCAGACACCTCATCTGTGTGCAGCTTGATTTTAAACTTCCCAGCCTCCCAACTGTGAGAAATAGACGTTTGTTGTTATGCCACCGAGTCTGTGGTATTTTGTTACAGCTGCCTGAACCTACCTACTCAGTTCTCAAGGGCTCCAGAAGCCTGCAGAACCTTCAGTGTGAAAATACCTCAGCTGAGCTTACTGAAAGGGTGCCAATTTTGTTCTTGTTTCTTTGTTGATAACAAAACACAGTATGGGTTCATACTAAACTTCTTATGCATACCAATGTATTCATTCTTCTTTCAGATTTAAAATGAGGTTTAAAAAAGCACTCATGGTCCAGCCTGGGTGACAGAGCGAGACTCCATCTAAAAAAAAAAAAGAAAAAAGAAAAAGAAAGCACTCATGGTATTCTTTGTTAGTTTGAACTGAGATCTTTTCATCTTTTGGTAGGTATTTCCTGCCCTGCTGAAGAAGGTAAATGTAGCATTTCACAGTGTGCCTGTGCATTCGCTCTCGCTGGCATTGCTTTGCAGTTGTCTATCTCCGTACTTCAATCAGATGACCAGATTGGCACTGAGAGTACAGTAAAGAAAGGCATTAATGTTTTATCTCTGCTTTCCTGACATTACGCCTTATTATGTTGGTGGATGGAGAGATGTATCTTTTTTCTCCTGACATTTTAATTCTAGAAAATGATAAACTTGTCCCCAGGACTAAAAGAGAAAGCTTAGTCAATCAGATTTTGACTTTCGTGGTCAAGGTCATGGCAATTATTTGCAGATTTTTTTCTTAAACAAGTTTCCTTCCAGGCTTAAGCTGTGGATTCTCTCCTAAGCAAGGTCTTCATCTGCTCCAGTGCCTATTCCAACTGAGAACCTAACTTGGAGACATTCCTTACTAGACTCCTAATCTTTCAAAGTCACAAGAGACATTAGTATGTTCTAAACTCAAACCCCACCATGGAAGAGGAAGATAATGTGGGTGTGGGGGTTGGAGCCCAAGGAGGAAAAATGGCTTTCAATCCTTCAGCATCTGACAAATACAGCAAACACTTATGGAAAATCTACACCTTGTAAAGAACTGATAAGAGCTTATAGAGTCCCTATTTGATCTGCCTCAAGAAACTTGTACTCTACTTGGGAAGGCAAATGTATAAATACAGGTAAATATAACATTAGGGGGAATGAAGTATGTGCTAAATAAAGCATCCACCCTTAAAATGTATAAAAGAAAAGTAATTTAAAAAATTAATGGAGTGTTTACTCTGTCAGTCACTGCAAAAATGTAATTTATACAGTAAACCAAATATGAACCAAATATAATTTGATTTCAGCTTTCTATTGACTTATGTTTTTAGTGGGAGAGACAAACATGTAAACAAATTATTCCTTTTTTCCTCAAACTTGAAATTTAAAAAATTGGGCTGGCCACAGGGGCTCACGCCTGTAATCCCAGCACTTTGGGAGGCCGAAGTGGGCGGATCACCTAAGGTCGGGAGTTCGAGACCATCTTGACCAACATGGAAAAACCCCGTCTCTACCAAAAATACAAAAAATTAGCCAGGCATGGTGGCACATGCCTGTAATCCCAGCTACTTGGGAGGCTGAGGCAGGAGAATTGCTTGAACCTAGGAGGCGGAGGTTGCAGTGAGCCGAGATCGCATCATTGCACTCCAGCCTAGACAGCAAGAGCGAAACTCTGTCTCAAAAAGAAATTTAAAAAATTTAATTGTAGCAAGTTTACATTGTAGCAAAACCCTAAGAATATTAAAATATATAAAGCAGAAAATGAAAGTACCTATTCATTCTCTAAAGAAACTACTGTTAACAATTTTGGTATACATCATCCCTAACTCCCTTCTCTCTCTCTCTCTCCTCTTTCTTGACACACACATACACACACATACACTCTCTCTCTCTTTTTCTCCCCTACCCTCAACAATTTATGGCAAAGCATCCTTTCACATAATCAAAATAGAGAATATCAATTTATATGCAATTTTAAATTACTACATCCCCCATTGATGGACATTTCAGTTATTTTCAAATTTCACAGTCACAGATAATTCTGCAATGAGATGATTTTGTATAAAAGACATCCACACACTATTTTTATGCTACTTTTCAAATTGTGCTTTAACGTGTACTCCTTCCAACTACGTATGAGGCATGCTTATTACCCCCATTCTAGTAAACAATAAATAATGGGTATTATCAGTCTATCTTTTATATTAAAATTATGCCTTCTTATTTTAATTTATGTTAAAACTAAAGGTTGGGCAACTTTTTAATGTATATATTTATTGGCCAATACTTTTTCTCCTTCTCTGAGTTGCCTGGCCGTTTCTATTGGATTCTCCATCTCTTTGGTATGGCTTTTTAGGAATTCTCTCTGTATTATAGAAATTAATCCATTATCATATTTATTGTATTTTTTCATTTTTTACTTCCTATTATGTTTATATTGTTTTCATTACATAATTTTAAAAATATTTTTATGTCTGCCAATCTTCATTTACAGCTTTTGCATCTAGCTCAGGAAAGAGATATGTAAGAGGCAGGATAAAGGAGCAGAGAATTAAACACAAACACCACAGTGGTACAGAAAGAATGGAGGACTGCAGAGAATAGAAGGGCCACACTGCCCTGGTAGGGACCCGGCTGGCTTCCTCCTGAAAGCAAGCTTTGAGAAGGGATTAGAAGGAGGATCTGGGCATTGCCAGGAGGAGAAGAATAGGAAACACACAAGGAGACCAGTCTTAGTGAAGTCTCAGAGTTGGACTCCGTAACTCTATGGCAGACGTGGGAACAAGGGTGACTTAATGAAAGTGTAGGTGTGTCATGGGAACCGAGATCACCAGCGGGGTGGAAGCATGAAGATGTCCATTTCTTGGCATATAAGGCCAGATTTAAATGCCACTTTCGATTCACCTTGATTTACAGGGGTCTGTGAAGGCAGGATCTAGCTCTGTTCCAAACCCCAGGGAGAACTTGAATCCCTAAAGATAGGAAAAACTATACTTATTAACCCAAGGTTAGGTTAAAAATATGCTTTGGGGATTTGCTTGAGGAGAAATTCAGAACCCAGTTCTGCCACAGGGAGGAAATAACAATGAAGGTTGGCCTTCTATTAGTCAGTGATGAGGCAGAGGCACTGTCACCTTCCAGATACAAGCCTGTGTCCAGGGCCTGCAGCACTTCTGACCCACCCCAAACCTGGACTCCCGAGGGAGCCTCCGCAGGAGAGGCATGGGGAAGGGGCGCCCTCTCGTGGTTGTTGGTAGGCAGCTCAACACCTAGTTGGCGCTGGGCAGGTGTCCTGGGAAGATCCTACCTCCCCCAGCTTCTCAGTCTCCTCTTGGCCCCGGGATTGTCTCAGAAAGGTTGGAAGGATGAGTGGGGACAGAGGGATGATGTCATAACCTTGTTCACTGCAGAAATAAGTATGACCCAAAAAAGAGAATGCAGAGGGAGAACACCAGGGAAGATCAAAGGGAAAAATGAAAATAAAAATAAAGGAAGGAGAAATGCTCTGTTCTAAATACAGCAAAGTGGATTTTTCTTGTTTGCCCTAACATGCTTGCATTCCTGAGGCTTGGCACTGTCCCATCTTGCTTTCTGGGGCCGGATTCAGGCCTAAAACTGGTGTAACAGAAAGGGACTTCTTTAATGTGCTTCAAGGCTGAGGAAGAGCCAGGCTCTTTTAGCATATCTCAGCATGGGACACATGGACCACACTTGCTCAGTGTGGCCATCAATAAGGGAGGACACTGGAGGGAGGTTTAAAGAGGCCAAGTGTCCACTGGGACGGGGCGTGGGGGAGAAGAGGTAGCAGGTTCAGAGAGAGGTATGTGCTCCCTGGGGAGAGCAGTGGGTCTGTGAGGCACCCAGAGAGCCTAAATAGAAAGACCTGGGCCCAGTGCAGAACCAGGGAGGAAGAAAACGAACTGCAGCAGCCACCTCAATACTCACCTTACCTGAGACCCTTTATGTGTGAGATGTTATGATCCATCCCAAACTACAAATCTCCTGTACATTCTTCTGGACTTTGTGTGCATGTGACTGGACTGTTACGAAATTGTTTGATAATGGACTGTAAATCTTATTTCTTCCACTAAGTGGAACATAAGATCAAGACTCTTTCTTGCTACCCACCACATCTTTAGGACCTGTGCTTCAAACAAAATAAGACCGCAGTAAGTCACTGTTAGGTGAAAAAGTATAAGAATAAATGAATGAATCACTCATCTGTACACTTCCAGTTTCCCCCACACACAGCAGGTCGATCACTGGTAGTCCATTGCTGATAAGTGAAAGAGTGACCTCTTGGGAGCCCAGCTTTTGTGGTTGCTAGGTTGGCTATGAGTTGGAAGATGTCGCATAAATGTTTGCCTGCATTGAACCACTGGTGGGAACTTTGCTCAAATGCAGGATGTGGTCTGAGAGTTTCTCCTCTTCCTATTTTTGAGGGTGGGGGATGGGCATTGAAAGTGCCTCGGATTTGCTGGTAGGGTCTGAGCAGTGCTGCCAGATCTGCAGAACTGAGAGCTGGGGAGGGAGGAGAAGAAAGAGGAGATAAGCAGGAGCCAGCAATGAGAATGAAGCTGCTCACAGGGATTCATGCTGTAGAAGACAGGCCAGGACCCTGGAGGGCATCTGAGATCATCACTCATTGCCCTCAGGCCTGCCCCAACTCTCATAAGACAGAGGCAAAGGGCTTTATAAAGTGGGGATAATGAGATTACCTCCCTGGGAGGTTGTTTGAGGGAATGAAACGTGATAATGCAAGTGAAGGACTTAGCTTAGTACCTGGCTCAGAGTGTACACTCAATAAACATAATCTGATCTCATGTCCCAGTAATTCATCTTCATTTCAACTTTCTGTCACATTGATAAAGAAGGGAGATTGGCCATGTGCAGCGGCTCATGGCTGTAATCCCAGCACTTTGGCAGGCTGAAGTGGGTGGATCACTTGAGGCCAGGAGTTCAAGACCAGCCTAGCCAACATGGTGAAACCTCAGCTCTACTAAAAATACAAAAATTAGCTGGGCATAGAGGGTGCCTGTAAACTCAGCTATTCAGGAGGCTGAAGCATGAGAATCACTTGAACTCAGGAGGCAGAGACTGCAGTGAGCCAAGACTGTGCAATTGCACTCCAGCCTGGACAACAGAGCAAGACTCTATCTCAAAAAAAAAAAAAAAAAAAAAAGAAGGGAGGTAAAAAGTGTTGAGAAGCTGAAGCCTGTGGTATCAGGGTGACTCTTCTGTGGAGTCATCATCCCCTGCCTGACCTGACCTTTCCCTGTCTGCAGGGAAAGTGGACTGGACTGTAGCTGCCAAAGCCCATGGTCACGGCCATTCCCTGTGTCACGAGTTGGGCCCCCTAGAAGCAGGTGTGGAATTGAAGTGTGGGCACAAGCTGTTAATTAGAAATTATCTGTTGTGAAAGGAAAGAGGGAGCAAGATTGGGCAGAGGAAGAGGCTGAGTTTGGATGCAGCTCCGACAAAGCTTCAGCCAACCTAGCCATGAGATTCAGAAGAAGTGACGTCCATCAGAGTTGCCTCACTTCAGACTAAAATGCCTGGGTCTTTATACGCCCTCCTCATTCAGCCACAAGTGATGGGCTTCCCTGGTAAGTCATGACCTTGGGCAAAGGGATCCTTTGCCTTATCTGCACCTGAGGCAGACCCTGAAACCACTGGCAGCAGGGTGTTTTCTGCTAACTGAACCCCACAGTGGGCAGCCAGTCTCTAGAATAAGTGCTTCTTGAGAAGACAGGCCTTTTACCTGTGCCTCTTGTGGCCTGGCACACCGAGGCAGATGCTTATTGCTCCAATTATTGATTAAATAATCCAATTTCCTTAAGTGTTGCTGTTCATGGCACGGTTTCACAGACATGGTCTCATATTGCAGGCTGCATGGTGGTGAGAGGGGCTTTGGGCAAATCGGAAGTGGGAGTCAAAGCAGGGACAATCAGAAAGCTCATCCACTGGCTCATGATGGAGCTAGTGGGTCTTGATCTTTCCAAATGATCTGATACACTTGGGATAGAAAACCTCTTTCCACTTTATCTGAATGTGGGTATGGGGAGGGCTTGGAGGGGGCTTGGCTGAAGAAGTCAGCATCCCAAATGCTGGAAGACATAACTGAAGAGGAGGAGACGACTGAGGAGGAGGCAGTGCTCAGAGCAGCTAAGCCAGGGAAGAGATGATGTGGCTTGTGTGTGAAAGCACAGCCCGAGGATGCAAAGCACCAGGCCTCTCCTCCTAGGTCTAACAATAGCTTTGTCTTGGGCAAATTCCTCCTCACCCACCCACCCTGAGTTTCACATCCTCTACCTCCTCTATGCACACTAACTCATCTTCACAGCCTACTAACCAGCATGGAAACTAAAATACTTCACACGTTTAATAAGTATTTGTGGCCTCCTCCAGTAACGACTGAGTAACTCTCACACGGTAAACTAGAATATGATATAAAATATACAGAATGATTGTTTTCATACATTAGGCAACATGCAATGCAGGGCTGTGAAAACAAATGAGGTGAGCCCTCCCACAACTGTGCCTTGTGCAGACTGCAACACAAGGAGGGGGGCCTATGGAGAGCATGCAAGTCCCACTGAGACAAAGAATGGAGTTTGAAGAGGCTGAGAGGCTTGGAAACTTCACAATAGAATGCCAGAGATAAGGGAGCAGTACAGAAAAAGAGCTTCAGAAACCTGCATGGGGTTCTCTCAGATCTGTGGCTGAATACAAAGCTCTCATACAGAGGGTGAGACTACAGCAGAATGGGCAAAAACAACAACAACCAAAAGTACCAAGGAAATAAGCACCACCAGAGATCTGGAAGCTGAACAACCACTAAAGCTTGCACTGGGCTGGGAGACATTTGATAAGACCGGCTAGAGTGGAAAGTCCTTCTTGAGCAGCTGGAAATTTAATAGAAACCTCAGAAGCGTCAAACTTTAGTTAAGGGCCTCACTAGCCCCATGGTAAGGGTGACTCTAGACTTGTTCTAACAAAGTTTAAACACAAGCTTCAAAATGTTCAAGTTGAGCGGGGCACAGTGGCTCACACTTGTAATCCCAGCACCTTGGGAGGCCGAGGTGGGAGGACTGCTGGAGGCCAGGAGTCTGTGACCAGCCTCAGCGGCATAGAGACTCTGTCTTTACAAAAAAAAATTTAAATAATTATTTGGTCATAGTGGCATACACCTGTAGTCCCAGCTACTTGAGAGGCTAAGGCAGGAGGATTGTTTGTGCCCAGGAGGTCGAAGCTACTGTGAGCTATGATCACACCACTGCACGCCAGCCTGGGCAACAGAATAAGACCTTGTCTAAAAAAAAAAAAAAAAGCTCTTGTCAATCTCCAAATAAATTGACTTCCTGGCCACAAAATCTAAACATTCAACAGCAACATAACATTTATAATGTCAAGCATCCAATTAAAAAAAAAATCACTAGATATACCAAAAAACAGGAAATGTGACTTATAACCAGGAGAAAAATGTGTCAATAGAAACAGATCTAGAAATGACAGATATTAATATACAAGACCTTTAAAGCAGCTATTATAAGTATGTTCAAAACCAGGCACGGTGGCTCACACCTGTAATCTCAGCACTTTGGGAGGTCGAGGCAGGCGAATCATTTGAGGTCAGGAGTTTGAGACCAGCCTGGCCAACATGATAAAACCCCAACTCTACTAAAAATACAAAAATTAGCTGGGCATGGTGTCAGGTGCCTGTAGTCCCAGCTACTCAGGAGGCTGAGGCAGGAGAATTGCTTGAACTTGGGAGGCGGAGGTTGCAGTAAGTCAAGATCGCGCCACTGCACTCCAGCCTGGGCAACACAGTGAGACTTCATCTCAAAAAAAAAAAAAGTACATTCGAGGGTTTAAAGGAAAACATGAGTATAATGAAGACAGAAGTAGAAATTATGAAAAATTAAACAAAAAGTGAAGAAAAGCTGAAAAAATATGAGATTTAAAATTTAAAAATTCACTGAGTGAGCTTAATAGATTAGATCCTGCAAAAGAACAAGCAAACTTGAAGACAGTAATAGAAAGTATCTAACCAAAACAAACAAACAAACAAAAAAAAGCAAAACAAATGAAAAAAACAGAGAGGAGCCCAATCAGGTAGGTGCCCCATAGTCCATTTTAAGGACCTTGGCTTCTAATCTGCGTAACAGAGGCACCATTGGAGAGCTTTTATAAGAGAAATGATACCATCTGATTTACATTTTAATGGAATCATTCTGGCTGCCATGTTGAGAAAAGACTGAAGGAAGAAAAGAGTAGACTCAAGTGGCCCATTAAGAGAATGCTGCATTACGAGTGAGAGATGATGGTGGCTTCAGCCAGGTTAATGGCAGTGGGGGTGGTGGGAAGTACTAAATAGTTGAAATCTGGGATACACTTTTGATGGTAGAGCAGACAGGACTTGCTCATGCACTAGATGTGGAATCAAGGCTGACGCAAAGGTGTATATAATGAGCCTTTAACCATTTTTGAGAGGATGCACTATGTACCTATTAGGACTGCATTTAAGTATAAATAACAGGAAACCCAGCTACAGTGACATAAACAAATGAGGGCTTAGCCGTTTCACATAACTGGTAAGACCAAGGCTGGTCAGCTACTCAAAGTTTTCAACTATCCCAGGTTCTTGCTATCTTTCTGCTAAGCCATAGTTTCATAGATTGCTTCTTTGTTCTTTTCCTTGTGCTTCATGGTTCCAAGATTGCTGCAGTATTTCCATGCGTAATGTCAGTATTACAGGAAAGAAGAAATGGCGGAGGAGCAAAAGGGACCCTACCAGTTGAGTCTGTCCTTTTTTGCCCAGAAAGCAAAAGCTTTCCTGGGCACTACATTCAGCAAACTTCCCCTCATAGCTCATTGGGTCACATGACCAATTATAAGAGAATGAAATTACTATGTGTGGTTTAGGTGAATTACAATTCATGCATTATGGTGAGGGTAGGAGGCCTCCTCTCTTTAAAGTCAAAGGATTTCTACCGATACCTAGCAAATAGGGGTTCTATTAGCAGAGAAGAAGGGGCATGTGATAGGAAAGATGTTGGGCTAGTGATGAACAATTTCAACTGTTGATTGCTTTTTTCACTTTTATTGCAAAATACCTGCTGCCCATGTTTGGCAGGTGTATGTAATAAACATGTTTTTATAAGATATCGGCATAATGGCACTATGATTATGGAAGACTTTACAAATAAGCTGATTGAAAGACATGGGAGGGGCATGGAGGGGGCACCATTTCAGATTATACAAATGGCCATAAAAAGCAGTGTTCTGGGGACTCTCGAAGTCCATGTAGAGGATGGTGGACCAGCTTGGTGGTCTTGCTCATTTTAGGTTCTCTGGAGAAACAAGGGAAGTATCGACTGAAAAACTAATACAGTGAGAAAAGAAAATGCACGTGTTTTAAAGCTGGAGGCAGAAGTCCTTTTGGGGGACTCGTGTGTGTGTGTGTGTGTGTGTTAGCAAAACATTTGTGTGGTTGTTTAATTCTGAAAAATTAGTTCCCAGAATCTTGTCTTGAAAGGAAAAAATGAAACAAAGAAAACTAAATTGCTCTGCAAAATAAAGCAAGCAGAATTTTAAGTTTTGGCTGTCAGTGTAAGAGGAAGGATAATGGGATCTTGGGAACTGGGAAGGAAAGGGGAGAAATGAAAATGGATAGGAGAGGAAGTTACATAACCCTTATCACCGGGGTATAGTGCACATTATAGCCTTCCCCATTTTACAGGGAAAAAGTTGAGCAACTTTCAAATGGCAGGGCCAGGATTTACATGCAGCAATTTCTGACTGCATTGCAGGCCTGGCAGGCCTGGTGCTTTTTCTGCACAAAACCTCCCTCAAGTCACCAGGGAGTTCAGATTTGACCTGAGAGGTGGTTAGTTGGTCATTTACGAATTCTCTCATCCCCCACTTCTGTCTACGGAAAGAGTTTAAGGTGAGGGCCCACCTCAGTCATGAACTGTTCCATCAGGTGCTCTGGCAGGAAGTCCCATAATGACCTTGGGGAACCAGACAGTTTCCTCTGGTTGTGGGTGATGGTTCCACCTCTGTCCCCAGAACAAGCTGATAAACAAACTTAGCTCCACCTCCTAGGCCCCGGCCTCCTGCAAACAGGCCTCTGTTGAGAGATTTACTGAGACTTTCCATTTCCTGTGAAGAAGGAGACTAGTATCTGGGCCCTATAGAATAAGTATCAACTTGCATTTGGTTTCCTTTGTGTCACGAGACAGAGAGAGAGAGAGAGAGAGAGAGAGAGAGAGAGAGAGAAGAGCTGGGGAAGAAAGCAAAAGCAAAATGAAGCAGTGATTGCACAGCCCCATTCACCCTGGGAACTTGGTGCCCATGGTTTCTCACGTTCTCTACAACTCTACAACGTGATGGCTGCTCAGACCTCACATCTCTCAGGCATCCCATCGGGTGCTGATTACCACTATATTCTGCTTCCTGTCAGTTGCAAGGACACTAGTGAGCTCTGTTTTACCTTTGGAGTATATGGCAATAATATTAGCTCAAATAATCCAATTATTTAAAGCATTTTTATATCTAAAATATCTGTTGGTGTTTGCAAGTACCCTGCAAATTACGTTGGTTGTGAAAACTCAAAGGGCTGAAACATGTCGATGGAAAAGAGTCAAACTCTGTAAAATATTTGAAGAGATTTATTCTGAGCCAAATATGAGTGACCAATGGCCTGTGACACAGCCCTCAGGAGATCCTGAGAACATGTGTCCAGGGTGATCAGGGCAAAGCCTAGTTTTACACATTTTAGGGAGACATGAGACATCAATCAAATACATGTAAGATGTACTTGGTTTGGTCTGAAAAGGGGGAACAACTTGAAGTGGGGGGATTGCAATGGGGGCTTCCAGGTTATAAGCAGGTTTAAATTTTTCTGATTCACAATTGGTTGAAATAGTTATTATCTAAAGACCTGGAATTAATAGAAAGGAATGTCTGGGTTACAATAAGGGGTTGTGGAAACCGAAGTCTTACCATTCAGATGAAGCTTTCAGGTAGCAGGCTTCAGAAAGAATTGACTGTAACTGTTTCTCATCAAACTTTCAGAGTCTGTTCTGAGAGGGAGGCGTGTACGATGAGGCATGTCCACACTCCACCCCCCATCATGGCCTGAACCAGTCCCTCAGGTAACTCTTGGAATGCCCTTGCTGAGAAAAGGGGTCCATTCAGATGGTCGGCGGCGGCGGGGGTTAGAATTTTATTTTTGGGTTACAGATGGTATGTCCTATGAGCTGAGTTCAGTTTTGTGTGGTTTGATTCCCAGAACCAAGCAGTGTGACGCTCAGGAAATGATAGCTACATAAAGACTTCTTAGAGTAAGATGATAAGTGAACAAAGAAGTGGAGAAAAGATGGAGTAGACTGTGGCTTTTTTTTTTTTTTTTTTTTGACACTTAGGAAAGTCTGATAAGAGCATCTCCTAGTGAGGGAGGAGAAAGGAAGAAACTGGTCAGGCAGGTAGTTAGGGTGGGTTCTCTTTCAAACAAAAGAACAGCCTGAAAAATGAAGCTGCAGGCACAGATAAAGGAATTTGCACAGGGGGGCTTGCCTAAGACATGCCCACAGCCACACAGATAAGAAAGGCTATACAGGTGGCTTGCCCAGACATGCCCACAACGGACAATTCCATCCCCTGACACATGCACAGTAAGGGGAACAAAGCAATACGGAGTAACTCAAGCTAAGGGCCCACATGTGCATTAGAAGAACAAGGTAGAGCTACCAGAAATTCGTACCTATGCAAATGAGATCCCCAGCCCTTATTGGTTTCCTGTAAAAACCTTTGCATTCAACTGTAAAAATGGTAACCCTTTTCTGGGTCCCCTCTCCGCAGCCAAGAGCTTTCTCCTTTCTTTTATTAAACTTTCGCTCCAACTTCACCCTTTGTGCTCACTCTCCCTAATTCTCTTAGTTGTGAGAAAAAGAACTCCAGGTGATAACTCACAGTGAGAGACTGCTACTTTGTGGTGCATTGGTGAGACTGTAACATCAGTGCTGAGGCTGGCCCTCTCCCCTAGTCCGTATGTAATACCAAGAGTGCAAGCTCAACAAGGGAACCAAGTTTGATTGGCTCTGTTCAGCAGAGATCAGTTTGGGGACAGATGTTAATTTAGTACATACAGTTAAATAGACATGTGGGCACCTACACATATATACACTTTGTGCATCTATCTCTTTAAATAAAACATGATGTTACAGTAGGTAGTTACGCAGACATGAGCAGGGCAGGAGTGGGCCCCCAAACCAGGAATGCCAGGTGACCATGAGGTGATGGTCAGGCGGTTGTTGACTATCTCTCTAAAATAATAATTTGTCGCAGCTGGCACCAGGGAAAGGCAATCTCCCAGTAGATAGAAAACATCAAAATTTGGTGATCAGCAGCTTCCCAATAAGATCTCAGGAGTTGGGCGAGTGGGCCCAAGCATGCACGCTAAAAGGCAAAATGGCAGAGTTTAACTGGTATATGACCTTCCTCTAGGAATACTCAACTGGTAAGGGAAGAACGCCTCAAGTGAGCATTTGCACAACTCCAGTAAACACACTGTGCATGCGGCCTCTCGCAAGTACTGGCAGGCCACTGCTCATGCGGACAGCCCACCCTGAAGGAAGAATCAGGGGAGAGGTAATGCAAGACCTCGGAAACATGACAACATATAAAACCCCAAGTCAAAAGTCAAACCATTCACTCTAACCTCTCAAGTCATCCGCTTGGCCCTCTTCCAAGTGTAGTTTACTTCCTTTCATTTCTGCTCTAATACTTTTTAATAAACTTTCACTCCTGCTCTAAAACTTGCTTCAGTCTCTTTCTCTGCCTTATTCCCCTCAGTCAAAATCTTTCTTCTGAGGAGGCAAGAATCGAGGTTGCTGCAGACCTGTACGGATTTGCCACTACTAACAATAAGATGTAAGATGGAATGATATTCTCTGCAGGAGCACAAAGGGAAGGAAAAGAGAGTTGTTTCTGAGACTCAAGTAGGCAACATGGTGAGGGTGATGGCAATCCGCCCCCAACCTCTCCACCTGACCATGTCTCTCTTCCCCCCAGGATCCTGTCCACCATGACCTTCTTTCTTTCTTCCTGCAGTTGTCTTTCGAAGCCTTTCGTCACTTTCTTGGCTTCCCTTAAATGCCATGGTCACTTAGCAGGCAGCCCTTCTGCCTGCTGTGGTTGCTCAGCTGAGCACCTTCCTGGGTTGTGCAGGGGTGAGGGAAGAGGAAAAGAACTGTGGGGGTGTGGGCATCATTCCTTCTTGGAGTTTGTGATTAGGGCAACCAGGACAGGTGGGGGTTGGTGGTGTTAATCAGTCTGTTAACAAGTATGTTCTGATTTCTGAGTTTCAGGATTGAGCTAAGGGCTCACTGTTCTCTGTTGTCTATCTCTGCTCATCAAGCAAAAAAAAAAGGGGGGGGGGGCGGGGGAGAAAATAGAAAAGAGTTATCCATCAGATCTCCTTCTTGTGTTGAAGATAGGGGCTTGGAGAGACATTTCCTGGATTCTGGTCCTGACAGCCACTAACTGGCTGTATAATCACAAGCTTTCACACCCCAGCCAGGGAGGCCAGGGAACGGCAGGCTTCATATTTTCTCAAGGCAGGATTTTCCCATTGTTGAAACTGCTAGGCAGAGTTCCCAGCACTTAGCAGGAACAGTGGTGGGGGCAGGGGCGGGGGGTGGACAGGTGGGCACATGAGTGCCTCTGATACTGTCCCTTCTAACTCGACACTCTAAAATTCCAGATTCTTTCTGTCAATAAATGGCCAGAGAGCAGTGGTTAATAAACACAAAAGGTTCAGAGGAACAGAGTGTAGGACCCAGGTGGGCAATAGAAAGATTTCACTGCAATTCAGTTAAGAAGAAGAGAATTTTAATTCAAATTATTCAATAAAAATTTATAAAAAGACATCTTGGTAAAGTGTTATAAAAGGTTACTGTTCAAAAAAGCCAAAAAGTAATAAAGGATGCACTATATTGCAAGAAAAGGTATATGATTAGGAAGTTGTATTCCTACAAGAAGTGTTCAGTTTATTAACTCATGGCTCATCTAGAATGAACTTGGAACTAATGCTCAGGCCTTGCTTTCCCATCCAGAGTCTCAGACCAAACCCTGATTCTGAAATGTCAGTTACTGTACTCATGTGACTGACCTAGTTTTAAAGTCTCCCTTATCTGGATAAGAAAAATGTGTAGTTCTGGGAAATTGTACAAGCAAGCAGAGAGACAATAAAAAGATAAAAATGGGATCAATACTTTTGGTAAATTGTGTTCATTCAAGGAAATTGATTTGTCCTCATGAGCTGCTTTGACGATGCTCTCTCTGCTTAGCACATTTAGCGGGTGGGTATGTTCGATTTACAAGACTTAGTTATATGCTTACAAAGATTCTGCTTATTAGATTTATAAATCTTATCTGTCAGAAGTTTGAAGTGTTGGAGATAATTTAAATTTCCAATTGTAGGTAGAAATATCTAAGAATCGGCCTGGCGTGGTGGCTCACGCCTGTAATCCCAGCACTTTGGGAGGCCGAGGTGGGCGGATCATGAGGTCAGGAAATCCAGACCATCCTGGTTAACATGGTGAAACCCCGTCTCTACTACAAAAATACAAAAAATTAGCCGGGCGTGGTGGCGGGTGCCTGCAGTCCCAGCAACTCAGGAGGCTGAGGCAGGAGAATGGCGTGAACCCGGGAGGCGGAGCTTGCAGTGAGCCGAGACGCGCCACCGCACTACAACCTGGGCGACTGAGCAAGACTCAGTCTCAAAAAAAAAAAAAAAAAAAAAAAAGAAATGTCTAAGAATCTTTGATGAATTACAAAGCCCTACATGATCTTCTGTCCCCTTCTTTTCTCCTACAGTGGTGAATGGTGTGCTCATTTCCCCAGGACTGAGGTAGACTTTTATATGTCAGCCTTATCTCTAGGGGGTTATTTACATCTCTGAGGACTTCCATGACACCTATTATGATGAACCTCTGGCTTCCATTAAAAAAAAAAAAAATTCCACCACTTTGGGGCATTGTTCAGTGTAGAAAGCAGAGTAGGGCATTTTGGGAGCACTACACAGACCTGAGTGTAGTCTCATAGGATATCTATTTGAGACCATCATGGAAGGCTTGGAGTGCTGGGTCACTTGTCAGCTCCATGGAAGACTCCACGACATGTCCTGGTGGGCTCATCAGGATGCTCCTGGGGATAAAGTTTCCATCTGAGTGTGAATTAAAAGTTCACTTTACCTGCTGTGTGATTTTGGGCAAGTTCCTTAACATCTGTGAGCCTGTTTCTTCATCTATAAATTGGGAATAGTAATAGCTAGCTCAAAAGATTATTGATAATGCTGATTTGAGTTAATATTTGTAAAATACTTAGCATACTGCCTGAAACATATAAAGTGACCAAGCCATGAGAACTATCTGTTCCTCTTAAGTTTATTGTCAAGGAGAACTGGGAACCCCCAAATGCAATCAAAATGTTAGGTCTAGAGTTCAATTCAACAAGCATGCATTGACCATCTGCTAATGTAGTCATCATGCTGGGAATTCATTCATTCATTTGTTCAACAAATATTTATTAAGCAGATGCTTGTTAAGGAAATTGGTTACACCTATTGGCTGCTCAATCCCCTGAACAGTGCTGAAAACACACTTAAAAATTATTACTCTTTGTTCTTTTGCTTATGAATGTATTTTGCATTCAGAGAGGGTTTTGAAAGATAAATACACATTTCTAATTAAAAGACGCAAGGCTTCATATTGTATGATGAAAAGGCTACATGCTGTATGATTCCAACTATATGACATTCTGGAAAAGGCAAAACTATGGAGACGGTAGAAAGATCAGTGTTTTGGAGTGGGACAGGGGAAGGAGGGGTGAATAGGAGGAGCACAGAGGATGTTTAGGGCAATGAAACTATTCCACATAATACTGTAATGGTGAATACATGTCATTGTACACTTGTCAAAACCCATAGAATGTACAAGCAAAGAGTGAACCCTAATGTAAATGATGGACTTCAGTTAATAGTGGATCAATGTTGTTCTACCAACTGTAACAAATGTCCCACACTAATGCAAGATGTTAATAATAGGGAAAACTATATATGGGGGTGGGGTGAGGGGATATGTGCAAACTCTCTGTACTTTCTGCTCGATTTTTCTGTAAATCTAAAACTAGTCTATTAGTTAACAAAAAAAAGTGAGTGAGATTTTATCTCCCAGACTTACCTACTGGAGATCAGACTTGATTTCTTAAGCTAAAATGCGTGTTTCTCCTTCATGATCTTGAACTACCCGTGCTTATCTTAATCCCAGTATCTCTGCATTATATTATTCCTGCAAGAATGCAAACTCTGTGAGAACAAGGACCATGCCTTACTCATCTTTGTAGGATCATGTAAGTCTTGTGTTCAGACTTGCCAATGGCTTCCCATTCCAAGCGCTTTAGATATATTAGCTCATTTAATCCTTAAAACAACCCTGTAAGGTAGATGCCATTATTATTCTATCAGTTATGAAAAAACTGAATCACAAAGAGGTTAAGAAACTTGCCTGACGTAACCAAACTAGTAACTGGCAGACCTGAGACACCAACTCAGATAGTCTGGCTTCAGAGTGTGCAGAAAAAGTACCAGAAAACCCAAAGATGTTTTAAACTGTGGGTCACAACACATTTTGGGGGTGAAATAATTTTAAGGTGCCTCAAACAAGGATGGTTTTAAAAGCGCAATAGTAGAATGGAAGAAAAAGGAGAAATATCAGCATACCTTGCACATAGTAGGAATGGTATTGTTTTGTGAAACTTTTATTTGTATATTACATGTGTGTATGTTACATGGCACTGAGATGCCATGTAAAATGTATTTAGAAGGCTCACTGTGTTAAACCATAAGGAGAGTTATTACCTCAGGTAACAAGCAGTGCAGAGTGAAGGCAGCTTCAGGCCTGACATGCCATCCCTGACTCCTGCCCCATTACCCTGAGAGCCTGTTGTCCCTGTTCTGCTATACAAGCTGGCTTCATCTCACCAGTTCCTGTCATCATATCCAAACCCAGTGATGCCCAGAGGCAGGGAAACAGCATCACTTCTGGAGAATCCTATCCCAGAAGTCCCTAGGAGATTGCCTCTTGCCTCCCTTACTAGATTAGATACCTCCTTACCTCTCACTGGCCACACCTGGATCACATGGCCACCATGAGTCAACCTGGGGGAAGGAGACCAGGACTACCACGATCAGATTCCACCATCTGATATACCTCTGAGCAAATATATCCATATATCCAGCAAGGGTAAAAGGGGAAATGAGTCTTAGGCACCCAAAGTGTTTGCCCTGAGTAGAACCCAGAAAATAAAAAAATGTTTAAATTAATTTTCTGTCTCCTTAGAGATAGAAGCTTTCTGCATACTACCCATCTATTAATTCATACATTTATTCACTCAACAAATATTTACTGTTTATCTAACGTATGCCTGGCACTGTGCTTAGGAAATGGGGACACAGAAGTAAGTGAAAGAGATAAGACTCATGCCTCCTGGGGATGACTCTAGAAAGGGAGAGAGTAGTCGAACAAATAATCTCAGAAATACATATATGTAACTTCAAATGGCTATAAATGCTCCTAAGGAAACGGTGTGATTGAGGTTGTAACAGGAGGATCTGATTTAGATGGAAAGGGGAGGTGGTCAAAGAAGTCTTTTCAGAAAAGTTCGTTTAAGCAAGATATAAAGAATGAGTAGAAGTTAGTAGAGTGAGGAGTGGGAGGAAGAAGATTCCAAGCAGAGGGATCAACACACACAAAATGTTGGGATTGAAAACTTAGCACTTTAGAAGACTGGGAAGAAAGAGAATACAAGAAGATTTTGGCTATCAAATATAGAGCAGAGACCCTTTATAGGAGACAGAGATTTGAGAACTTTTTAACTCCAGGAACTCTTTGTGGTAACAGAAAAGGCTATCTTTGTTTCTAATATACAGATGTTCTTTCCTAATCCTGGATATCATTGCTTGTTTCTGGAAGATGGGTAGGTTATTCAACTCATTTCTCACAGGAGATGAGAAGCCAAATTTCAGATGGCTTGCAGTATACACAGTTTGAGACAGCTTGAGCTTTTGTTCATCTCAAAGGAAGAGGAATTGTGCAGGCCAATTGATGGTGGCATTCTGTATTGATGGGCCTATTCTTGGGGAAATATGGGTTGCTTTTGTTTTTGTTGTTGTTCTGGTATCTCTGTGCCAAAAGATATTAGGTTCTAAGTATGGGACAGGGTTTCCCCGTGAATGTAATAAACATCGCTCTTGTCAGTCATTCTTGAATATGCGAATACTGAGACAGGGCTGCGTTCAAGGGCATTCCCACTGGAGTCAGGTTAGCTGATCCCTGCAAGATGGGGGCAGCTCTAGGGGTAGGGAGAGAAGTACTCCAAAGAGGACCCTCATACAGACCCCAAGAGTGGTGATACTTTGTGTTTAAGTTTTCCTTTTATAACGTGCTTCTCTTATCATAAAACAAAGTCTTAACAAACCTTCAGCTAAGTCTTAACAAAACCTCTTCTGACCTCAGCTATCTCTATATGGAATTGAAGATAGAATCATTGTCCAAGTTGGGCAGTGTGGCACAGGGGAGAACAATAGCAGTATGTCTTCAGACAAATGGGTATAACTGTGGAAGGGAAAGTAATAGTTTGAATTCCCATGATGGACCCTAATGACCAGTGAATATCAGAATTGGTCTTTGGAGTGTGTGTTTCTTGAGGTTTCTCAGAAATTCCTGGAGATACAAGCCTGGTAATAGACAGTGCTTTCTGCAATTAAAAGAAATGGAGCTGAGACTACAGTGATTTGAGGATTAAAGGTATGTATGAAGTTTGGCATTTTTATTACAAATATATTCTTTCTAATCCTCACAACTGCCCTGCAAGGTGATTTTATTATATCAGAAAAGTGAGGCTCAGTGCAAAGCCTAACCCAAGGCTACAGGGCAAACAAGAGGCAGAGTGGGTTCAGGTCCAAGTTCGTCTGTGTCAGATGCCCAGGCTCATTCTGTTATGTCATACTGACTGCCTCCTTGAATACAACTTATTAGTGTGCTTCCTTTCAAGACCTTCAAAAAAGGAAGGCTAGGGTCGTTCACTTCCACTCTACAGCCAGACTAGGAGAATGACCCAGGGGACAGTGGAAGATGGCAGCTACAAGAAGAAAAAGAACCTTTTGTCTTAGCAGAAACTGAGGCCTCCTGTGGTATCCTTTAACTTCTTGCTACCTTATCTACACATTTATCAACATCTATAGCCATTTTCATCTTTTTTTTCCCTCAGATAAAGTTTCCTTCTCCCGGCCACACGCGGTGACTCACGCCTGTAATCCCAGCACTTTGGGAGGCTGAGGCAGGCAGATCACTTGAGGTCAGGAGTTTGAGACCAGCCTGACCAACATGGTGAAACCCCGTCTCTGTCTCTACTAAAAATACAAAAGTAGCCGGGTGTGGTGGTGCTCGCCTGTAATCCCAGCTGCTCAGGAGGCTGAGGCAGGAGAATCGCTTGAACCCGCGAGGTGGAGTTTGCAGTGAGCTGAGATCACGCCATTGCACTCCAGCCTGGGCAATAAGAACGAAACTCTGTCTCAAAAAAAAAAAAGTTTCCTTTTCCCATTTAAAGCCAAACTTCTACCTAAGCTTCTAATTGCCCCCCACCTTCTCTCAGACGCTGCTCCATCTGCACACCCTCTTTCTTATACTTTAAATGTCTACCCTTGCTAATTCTCATTGCTATACCCATAATATGCTCTCATCTTCGCCATCTTAACCCATCACTTTAAACCCAAATTTTCCACTATGGATCAATTAACTTGTTCCTATTATTATCCACACTTCTCAAAAATGCAGATTATACTTAGTTAGCTCCACTTCCTCCCATCCCAATAATTTCTAGTTTTATTCTGAACTAACTTCTTCCTGTTTCATTACCTTCATTAATGTCACCCTAACATCCTAACGAATACTTTAAAAATCTTTTTAAAGTCTCATATACATATAGAGAAGTGCTTAAGTGTTCACTGCAAAGAACGATCACATAGTGAATACATCCATGTATCTATCACCTGGTTAAGAAACAGGACATTATCAGCATCCTAGAAACACTATGGTATTCTCCCAATCATTATTTCCTCCTTCCTCCCTAAAGGTAACACCATTCTGACCTCTCATACCATAGATTAATTTCACCTGTTTTAAACTTTATACAAATGGACTCTTACATAATGTACTCTTTTGTGTCTGGCTTCCTTTTCTCAACATGATGTTTGTGCAATGTAGCCATGTTATTGCATGCAGCAGTGGTTTATTTATTTTTACTGCTATGTAGTACTTCATTATGTGAATATACTGCGATTTACTCACTTTACTATTAATAGACATTTGAGGTTATTTCCAGCGTGAGTCTGTTTCAAATAAGACTCCCTTGAACATTCTTGTACTTATCTTTTTGGTGCACATGTACACAGTTTTCCTCATCTGTTTTTAAAGAAAGGAAGTTAGTTTGGTTGGGAATACCACAAAATAGATCGGGGAAGTTAAGGCACAATAATATTCAATCAATTGGACAAGTTTATCATGAGCAACGACTGTTCTTACACAGAGATGCATAAGACATGGGTTCAGCCCAGAAAAGGTACTTGGGGAAGGGAAGTGTACTTGTGTGAGGGAATACACAAAGAATAGGGAACAGAAACAGACTGTAATTAAGTGCAAAATTGCATACGGCCGGAGTAAAGTCAACTTTTAGAACCTCTGGGCTAAGACCAGACAGTTAATACTAGGGCTGGATTCCCAATTCCGGCTCTCCCATGGTGACTGGAGAGTCACCTGGAGGCCATGGAAAGAGGGCTGTAGGTCTGGGAGTCAGGCCAACAGATTCCAGACGTATTTCTGCCAGAGTCCCTTCTTCCCTCTGCCTACCTCTCCTGAAAAGGACCCTAAAACCTTGTAAACCAAGCAACCCCAGATGGACTCTGCACTTCCCAGCCCTACAGATAATGTCCTGAGAGGGAGCGGGGAACTAGGGCAGATCTCCCAGGAGGAAGTGGGCTGAGCAGACCCACAATGTCATGGTTGATACCTGAAGTTTACAGCCTGGACGTATTTGGAAGTCAATGAAGATGTGAAAAGGGAGGAGCGGAAAGGCTGCATTGAAATTCAGGATTAGAAGGGGAGAGGGGACAGCTGCAACAATTATGACAATAACAGTCCCTTAAATTTGTATTATGTAACAACCTACAAAGAGTTTTCTATTCCTGAACTTTCACATTTCTGTGGAATGGCAGGGGTTACCCCCATTTTGCTGGTCTGCTCAAGGCCAAGTTTGAATGGAAGGCAGCGACAGGTCCCTAATCCGCATCTCCAGTTCCTCCTCAGGAACTCCGAGAGTGAGAGGACAAGTAGGGCAAGAGACCTGGAGATGGTCGAAGGGCTAAAGCAGTTGCAAAGGGAGAGGTGGAGGGGTTGGAGAGGTGTGAGGACTGAAAACTCTGCCCCTTTTGGGATTCGTTTGGGGCCACCTGGAAGACGGTGATTTCAGCCAGGACATGCGCTTTTGCGGACTGCAGGGTGTTCGCTAAGTCAAGCCTCCCCGGGAGCCCCACGGAGGGTGGGAACGAGGTGGCGCCGCCCAGTCCCGGACGCGCGTCGAGCGCCCTCTTCCACCCCACGCTGCCCTGCCCAGGGCGAGGGCAGAGCGGGCCCGCCCAGGTGCGCCCGGGGGTTGGGCCGGAGTCCGGAAGGTGCGCCGCGCCGCCCCGAACCTGTCCCCTAGGCCTCCCCCCGCGTGAAAGTGAAAGTGTCGGACCCGCGGAGGTCAAGGATAGGGGGGCGGGGCCAGCGCGGAGCTGGGAGCGGGAGCCGGGCACTCCAGGGGCCATGGATGGGCTCGGCCGCCGCCTTCGAGCCAGCCTGAGACTGAAGCGCGGCCATGGGGGTTAGTGCCGGCCGGGGAGAGCGCGGGGGGACGGCGTGGGCACCGGGGAGCCGGGGCTAGGGCTGGCGGCTGGGGCCCGGTGGAGGGCGGCACGGGGCGTCGAGATCCGGGAGCAGTTGGAAGGGGACTCAGGAGGCTGCGCGGGGGCAGGTGAGCGGGAAGGAGCGCGCGGAGAGGGGAAGAGGGTCAGGTGGGGGCGGGGACGGCGAGGCCAGGCCTGAGGGGGCGAGGGGGAGGCGGCGGGACACAGGAAGCCGTTGTGGGGCCCCGGGGCCACGTGTCCTTCCATCCAGGAAGCTTGTGGTGCAACCGCAGTGTGCCTGAAAGCGCCCCGGTTGTGGTGTCCTCCCAGAGGCACTGCCTCAGCTCCCGGCGTGCCCGCCGCCCCGCCCCACCTCGCCGCCCTGGGAGTCCTCCGTGGTCTTTGCCCAGTTCCTCGGAGCCAGCGCCCCTGCCCCTGCCCAGCAGATAGCCACCGGCCACAAACACAGGTCTCCCCGATGACGTTACCACCCCCACCCACCCTCGGCCAGGTGCCCTTCAGAGTGTGGCCTCCAGCGGAGCGGCGGTAGAACCTGCGCAGCTGCTGCTTTCCAGCGTGTCGCCCAGACAGGGCACCCCTTCCCTTTCCCTCAGCCCCGCAACAGTGAAATGGACATAATTCCCCCGTCCAGGATTATGGGGATTAAATTAGAAGTCAACTTCTAAGTTAAAGAAGCACCTTCTTTTCTTTCTTAGCAGAGCCCTGGGGTTGGAAGGAGGGCAGTTAGAAATTCATTCATTTATTCATTCACTCGGCAAATATTTGTGTGGCTTACCACTAGCCAGTCCTATGGCTGAACAGCCGTGACCCTTAGATACTTTGCCCAGAGGTCCTACTGTCTGAGGAGCAAAGAGCAGGGGCCATTCCCAGACAACCTGCCCTTTCCAACATTGGCACGCCAGGAGGCCAAGTGAGCCCCTCTCTTAGCCCAAGCCCCAGAGTTGGGGGGACCTCAGGGAGTGAGGTCAGTGCACCCTTCTTTGAACTGCAGTGACCTCTGAGTGATCTGCTCTTCCTCCTGTTGCCATTCCTCCTGCCACACCCTGCTCCTTCCCTCTTTGTAGTGTCCTCTCTAGACACAGATCTCCAATATCTGGCCATTCCATCTGCACCATCAGGGAGAGGTCAGAGACCACAGTTTGGGGCAGAGGCCTGGGACCGTGCAGTGGTGGGAGCAGAAGGCAGGATGAGGCTGACATTCTCTCTTCTCTGGAGAGCACTGGCCTGGTCTGTCCTGGTCTTCCCAGACCCTGGGACATCTGTGTGAATGGAAGGGGTCTGCCCCCTGCAGCCCAGAGGAGACATTCCAGTTGTTCCCACCCACCCCTGCCCCAACACCAGGCACTTCCTGATTGTGCCTGGAGGAGCTTCCTGATACTGAGGAACTGTAAGAACTGAGGCCTAACACTTGTAGGGCCAGGAGCATATGCCCTCTTCATCTTCCATACCATCCTCCACTTGCCTGGGGATTCTCCCCCTTCCTCCTTTGCCTTTCTGGCCCCAGGACAGTTGTGTATTAGGAGGGAGTGTGTGTGTGTGTGTGTGTGTGTGTGTGTATCCTGGTGACAAGGAGTGATGTGGTGGTGGTCCTGGGTTGAGAGCAGCTGAGCTGGAAGGGATGGGCCAGCTTCCCAGATCAAGGTTCCAGAAGGTCCCCTCACCTATGTTCTAGACAGATCTGGGACTTCAGTCAGGTGTGTGTGGGAGAGGCTTTCTGGTGGAGGAACAAGTGTAACCAGATTCCTGACTTCCCTAGAAAGGGTGGCTCCCTCCTCAACTAAAACTCTGAATAATAATTCCTTTCTAGGGCACTGGAGATTAAATGAGATGCCTTATATGAAACATGAGTTTGATGGAGGTTAGTTTTCTCTTACGCTTTTCTCTCCTGTGGATAACACCTTTTGAAAGAGGGGAGAAAACAGTCTTTTGCTGCATTTCTTGGGCCTCATCCCAAAAGTCTAATTACTTTCTTTTGTCAATGATTTATTAATTTTGCTATTCTCTTGGCTTGCTTGATAAAGCAGAAGAAAATGATCTGAAAACGCAGCCCAAAGGATTTAGGGAAAGGCATAATTTCATTAGAATCTGGAATGATCAGTGATAAGATTCTGTTTCTCAATGTCCTTTGAAAACCTCTGTGGGGTATTTGATGTCAAATGCATCCAGAAGGCAGGAGCATGGATTTGGAGCTTTCCTAATCCCCATTCCCAACAAATCCTGTCAATTTTAATAGCCTTTGAATTACTTTATGCCTCAGTTTCCCCATCTGTATCAGGAAGATGCTTGTTCCTCAAACAGGTGGTAAGGCTTGTGCAACAAGTCTGTGCAGCTTGCAAGTAAGGTGTGGTGCCAGCTCCAAGTGTTCTAGTTCGCTCTTCTCACCCATTACAGCATTTGAACATCTTTCTTTACTGTACATGAGTTTGGCCGTGAGTCCTGGCTTTTTCTAGTCCCACAGAAGCCAGGTCTAGAGCTCTTAGGAGCAAAGCAGCTGTTTTCCCTATCCTAGCACCCCACTCTCTTCCAGAGGGGTGCTTATTCTTAGCAGGAGTGGCAAACACTGGCGTCAAACCCTTTTGCCCCCTGCTTTCCCTTTGAGGCAGCTTCCTGGTAAAAGCCTTCCCTGTATTTACTCATTCAGGGGTTTCTGTGAGAATCCAAGGTGATTTTTTTGCTATTCCTTCTCTCTTACCTAGTCTCCAGACACAGCAGTGGGCTAGCAGCTGTGCCTGTAGCTTGGGCAGAACAGCTGACCTGGCCTGACCCGGAGGAAGGCTGAGCAGGCGTGGGGGTTGGGTGGAGATCACCCAGATGTTTTCCACTGCCATGGAATCACCCTCAGGCTGCTGGTGCAATCAGTCCCCTACCTTATGCTGGGGACAGTCTTCTGAGCCAGTGCTTCCTATTTGAGAAGAGGGACTCTGCTGGAACCCTGGAACAAGTGCCAGTGACAGAACTCTCCAGGGGGTGAAATTCACCATTGTAGCTATTTCCAAAATATCACGAACTCTGGGCTTAGAGATGGATTTTGCTCTCTACTGCACCATCAGGAAAGAAGGCTATTGGGTATTGACTTCCAGAACTCTTTCTTTTGTTGGAAGAATTAATCTATTTGGATAATTATTAGGCCAAGTCTATTTATCTTAATCAGGGGAGGGCAGTGACATCCTGGCTGCAGAAAGTGTTTGGCCATGTGCTCTAGGTCGGGAAGTCCTGGAAGTTCTAGAATTCAGCAGGTGGCCTTGCTGGGGTTTTTGACTTCCGTTGACCAAGTTGAGAAGTGAAAGGTCAGCAATCCAAGTGTTGGAGGTATAGGATCCCTATCCTGAGACCAGCCGGTTTCCAGTGCCCACAGTCTGACACTATCAAGCATTGTCCACTGTTCTAAGGTTGTAAATTAACTCTCTGCACAATCTGCAGCCCAGATTCAAAACCCTTAGCCCATAAGTAGCCAGGCCTTTCCGGCTACTTTCAGCCAGAGGTGTTTGCTCATGACCTTTTCTCTCGCCACACCCTGGGGCTCTTGGGAGGAGCTGAGATCTGCGCTGCAGTGCCAGGATGCTGACTCTGTTGGTGCTGGCTTCTGCTGCCTTCCTGGGTCCCGTCACATCCTTCTTGCTCAACCACTGGGTGCACAGGATGGAAACTTCTATTCCCTCTCTGGAAGACAGCGCGTGGCTTGGCTTCACAGAGTTGTGGCTGGAGACCGAAGCAGCCCCTTTCTCAGGCTTACTGTCACCAGTCTGTCTGTGTTAGGGGAGAGGGGAGTCCGCTCTGTCCTGAAGGCCCAGAGATGGAAGGACAAGTGGTAGGCCGGGTGTTCAGGCTCTTCCAACGCCGACTGCTTCAACTCCGAGCAGGTCAGGACTGGACTGCCTACTTCCTTGTTTTTAGGGTGACCCTCTTAGGCGGGACTGTTTCTTCCTTGAAATGCTCCTTCCTCCTCTTCCTTTATATCTCGGCCTCCACATGGTTCCCCATGTGACTGGGTCAGGAGGCTTCCTCTGCTGGTTTTTAAGAGCTGGTCATGCCCTCTCTGGGGCTAGTGTGGTCACAGTCACATGCCCTTTGAGCCTGTTCTTATTCACTTAGTATGAACTAAACTCTCAGGCCATATTGTTCCAGGACTGCCAGAAGCACCCGACAGGTTAGGCAGTCTCTGTGGTACCCTGGGGCCTTGGCCTCCATGTGGCCTCTCCAGCACATTTCCGTGGCTTCTGTGTCAGTGGTTTCTTTCCTCTGCTTGGCTCCCCATGGTTTCAAGTCTACCAGGGCAGGTGTGGAAACTGCCCATTTGGCCCTGATCCTGAGTGACTGGTGGTTCTGGCCAGTATCCAGGTATCTCAGCATTGGCAAGGCGGCCTTGAGGTGTGGAGGTCACCCGGATTCTCACAGACTCCACTCCAGGAATGGATCAATGAGATTATACTAAATGGGCTCTGGCTTGATTTCAGGACCACCCCAGGACAATTCAGGGGAAGCTTTAAAGGAACCAGAAAGGGCCCAGGAGCACTCTTTGCCCAACTTTGCTGGGGGGCAGCACTTCTTTGAATACCTTCTTGTGGTTTCTCTCAAAAAGAAGCGTTCAGAGGATGATTACGAGCCTATAATCACCTACCAATTTCCCAAGGTAAGGACTGAAGGAGGGGCAGGGCCAGCCAGAGGACTGGGGTGTTTGGAAGGTGGTAGGGGTGGGGGTTCCACCTCCTTCTCCCTACCCTACCGGGGCTTGAGCCTGGAGCTGCCCTGAGCTCTGAGCTCACTGCTCTCCATTTCCTTCTTAGCACAGCCCCAGTTCTCTGTTATCACCCACAGAATCTAGGTCTAACTTCTTTGTGAGGGACTGACCTAGGCTTCCTAGCAGGGAAACTAGGCTAGACATTTTGCCTTTTAGGGGACCTGATAGGTCTTCCAAATCCCATTTTCAGTCACCCTTCTCTGCAGAGAAGCTTACCTTCTGCCAGAACTCCTAGAATGAATCCCCTCTCTGGGATGTGTGGGAAGGAAAGAGTGGGGCAGCCTTGTAACTGGTGGGCAGGCACAGCCCTCTGCCCGAGCCCAAGCATTAGACTCCTTGTCTGATCCTTCACCAGGTAGAGGGTTGGGAAGCCTTCTCATTAGCAGGTGTGCCAACTGAGCTGGCCGCTTCTCTTCTCTGATGTGGTACCTCTCTGATGTTGTCCTCCCAGGGGCCTGGGCCATTTCAGGGCCTTTCTATATTCAACATGGCCCTGTCCCCTTTCTATGTAGATCTCGATACTGAGGTCGAACTCAAGCTTATGTAGAGTTGACCCAGGAGGGGCTGTTTCAGCTTTGGAGTTGTTCCAACTGGACCCAGAATGCAAACTGTGCAGAGTCATGGGCAAAGGCACCCTTCGCCCCTATGCTAGTGGAGAAGCTTAACCCTAGACTGCTTTAGAGCCTCAAAGGAAGCCCACCAGCTCTGAAGCTGTCTCCTGCTATCTCTGCCCCCAGCTTCACATCCACTTGTCTTTTCCTTTGCCTTATAGCGGGAGAACCTGCTTCGGGGTCAGCAGGAGGAGGAGGAGCGGCTGCTCAAAGCTATCCCCTTGTTCTGCTTCCCAGATGGGAATGAGTGGGCATCACTCACCGAGTATCCCAGGTAATTGCTCAGCCCTGGGCAAGGGTATTGGATTTGGGGAGAAGGAACATGTGTGAGTTCTGTGGCTCCTGTAGCCTCCCTCACTGCTGTCATTTGTTGATTTTCGGCCTGGGAGTGTAATTGATTTGTTTGAAAACATCTGGCCTGGGGTCCCTCAAGGCCAAGAATATGAGCTATCAGTTTGATCAGTCACTTCTGTCCAAAGAGCCAGATTCTCCCACCTGTCCTAGAAGCAATAGTTGCTGCTTTTAACTCTGCTACTGGCCCAAGCTGGACTTAGCAGAAAGCAGTTAGCCTCCAAGAAGGCGACGTAGCAAAGGCCCTTCTAGCATGAGCCCTGGAATTTGACTGCTTGAGCTTTGACTTCACTATTTATGAGTTGAGTGACCTTGAATAAGAAGCACCCTCTGGCCTCAGTTCCTTCATCTTTAAAGTGGGAATAATTACTGAACCTACCTCAAAGAGTTGTTTTGACAATTAGATGAGATGATGTGTTTAGGGCCTGACACCAGTGAGCCCTTACTCCTGTGATTAATCAGCAACTCCCCTTTGCCCTCCTCTCCACCCTCTAGTGCTGACCACTTTCCTGTTTTAGGATTCAGTGAGCAATACAAATCAAGCCTTGTCTGCTCTTTCTTAGGGAGACCTTCTCCTTCGTTCTGACCAATGTGGATGGGAGCAGAAAGATTGGATACTGCAGGCGCCTCTTGGTCTGTGCAGCTCAGAACTGCCCCTTCCTTTCTGCAGTCTGCTCAGCTCCACGGCTGGGCTTGCTCAAGCCTGAGCTGCAAAACTCCGGGCTTATTGGCAGCACTGGTTGTAGAAAAAGCACAGCCCAGGACCTGCTGCCATGCTAGTGCTCCCTCTGCAGCCCCACAAGCACGAGGACCTGATGCCCCTTCTCCCGCTGCTGGTCAGGCTCTGGTCTGTGCTCTCTCTGGCTTTCAATACAACTAACTCCTCTCCCTGCCTGCTCTATCCAGGCCTGCTTACCTTGGCCCCTGGAGCCTCCCAGAGCAGAGGCTGGGACTTGGACAATTAGTTTCAAATCTTAGGTCTCAGGAGGATTCCCCAAGTCACCTTTACAGTGCTTTCCTCCTTAGCCATTTCTTCATCTCTAAGGCACACTTGCTACCCCTCTTTGCTGACCCCAGATTGTGCTGGCACTGAAGGTGGCAGCGCTTGCCCACCAACTCACCCAGTACCCTCAAGGATTTCTTCTTTTGATGCTGGTGGCCATTCTGACCTCCCTGCTGCACCCACCATTCCCCATAAATCCCCCTCCCCAGCCCTCAGCCTTGTGCTCCTTCATACCCAGTTGGGAGAAGCCCTTGGGGAGGCTGCAGCACTGAAGGAGCCTCTCTGTCCCTCCCCAGCCTGCCGGCCCTGGCCCTCGCCTTCCCAAAGTGTACTGCATCATCAGCTGCATCGGCTGCTTCGGCTTGTTCTCCAAGGTAGGGATAGGATTCCTCAGGGCCTGCCCATATTCCAGGCTGTCTCTGGCTGCCAACCCTGCCTGTGCAACTAAGCTCTTAGTGGAGCTCTTCTCCCATAGCCAGAGTCAGCATTAAAGCACACTTGGGAAAACTGAGGCAAAGGGGCATGCACTTGACTTAAGGGAAAAGTGGAAATTGAATCTAGGGGACTGGACCTCTTGCAGAGACAGCTACTGTTCCCACTCTAGCCAAGTAAGAAAGTAGTTGAAGTAGGACAAGCAGAAGAAACTTCTGCCCTGAGTTTCAATTTCCTCATCCGTCGAATGGATATAATAATCTCACCTTCCTATCTCACTGGGTGGCGTGAGGCTTAAATGAGGTGATATATGAGAAGACTCTTTATAAAAGGCAGAGCACTAAACAAATATGAAGGAGTTATAAGACCCATTCTGACTCCTTCAAGGGTAGAAGAACAGTTGAGGTCCCCAGGACTTCTCTTGGAGCTAATTTGAGTGCCAGTGCATCTGAGACAGAATTTGAGCAGAATCCATGGGGGCCATGCCATCCACTGGTGACCAGAAAGGACTTCATTATGCTCTGACCCCAGCAGGACCTTTGGAGGAGGAGGGGAGGAAACTCTGTCAGCTTTTGCTTGGGCAGAGCATTCCTTTGTGCAGTGCTCCTAGGGATGGAGGCAGTCTCTGACCTCGGGAATCTACAGTGGGAGTTGGAGGACAGAGTGGTACCAAGAGGCTTAGCCTTCTAGCCTCCTGCTCCAACCAGCATGAGTGGACATGGTACCATCATGGGTGATGAGTTTACTCCGGGATGACTTCCCAGGGAGGTGCTTTTATGTTGGTGTTAGGAGAGGGGAAGAATATGGATGTGTAGAGAGATAATAAAAAGGAAGCTGGAAGAAGGCAGGTCTTATGTGGGAGATAAACTGCAGATTATTTAGCATGAGCCCAGCCTCTGCCAGGGAGGGAGAGGACCAGTTCGTGGAGGGCCCTAGAAGATACATGAGGATCAGCTGAACCAGTATGAGAACATTATGACGCTCAGGGGCAAGTAGAGTCTCTTCCACCTGCCTGGTAGTGTCCCTTTGAGCCGTGCCTCCCGTGGTTCTTTTCCCTGCAGATCCTGGATGAAGTGGAGAAGAGACATCAGATCTCCATGGCTGTCATCTACCCGTTCATGCAGGGCCTCCGAGAGGCAGCCTTCCCTGCTCCTGGGAAGACTGTCACTCTCAAGAGCTTCATCCCCGACTCAGGCACTGAGGTGGGTTAGCAAAATGGGTGAGACCTTCCCTAGCTGGAGAGGGTAGGCATCTGTGGCACCTCTCACCACTGTTCTTCCATTAACCAGGTTAAAGTACAGAGAAACTGAGCCAGATGGGGACTGGGACTTGGTTAGAATGGACAAAGCTGAAATCAAACCCAGATTTTCTGATCCTTCTAACTTGATACCCACAAGCACCTAGTTACTGCTCAAGCCACCAAGACTTTTATTTATAATAAATAAACCATGTAAGTTGAGGCTTCTGGTGCTATAAAGGACTTTTCCCTCAGCCCTCAGACTGCCACTTGCCGCTACCCCCCTTCCACTCTCCTTTGTTTGTCCTGTCTCTACCTTACAGCGTCCATCTGTCCATTTCTTATCATCCATCCCCACCTCCGAGTCTCCACCCATGCACAGGGGAATGCTATCGTTTTAAGGCACCAAGCACACTGAGGCAGCAGGTAGAACACTGTTCTAAGAATTCCAGTCCTGTCCTCTGGAACTCTGAATAGTCTGTGTGCCCCTTTGAACCTTGGCTTCCCCACAGGAAAATAAGGGGAGAGGCTAGAAATTTTCACTTTCTCAAAAAATAAGTGCTTAATGCTTGCTGTGTGCCAAGCTATACTATTTTCTGGGAATACAGTGGTGACCAAAATGAATGTGGTCCCTGACCTTTTGGAGCTGTAAGTCCAGTGGGGAGAACAGATGTTAAATAAACACACCAGTGCATGTTGAATTAGAAATTATGTAACTGTGATGAAAGAAAAAAAAACAAAACAGGGTGCTACATAAGAAGATGGGAAAGTATCACATGGCCAAAGGGGGGCCTCTGTGACCTGAAAGAGGGTAAGAATGAAGGGAGCAGAGCAGTGCAGGAGGAGGGCCCTCACTGTGAAGGCTGCAGGCAGGAAAGATGGGATTGCTCAAGGAACAGAAGCCCATGTGGTGAAGCACAGTGAGAGAGGGGCGTGTGCTCGGGGAGGCGAGTGAGGGAGGGTGCAGGACATTATGGGCCATACTCAAGATCACATCAGTGCTGTCCTCCAGCCAATTAGCAGGGGGACAGAGAGACAGGGCCAGATTCACTCCTGGGGGCAGAAGGAATAGAGGCTGGTAGAGGCCTAGCACCTCGGGGTCTGCATGATCTTGCAGTATAGTGACACCTTCTCTCTCTCTGGTTTCCCCACAGTTCATTTCACTGACACGGCCCCTGGACTCCCACCTAGAACATGTGGATTTTAGTTCTCTATTGCACTGTCTCAGTTTTGAACAGATACTTCAGATCTTTGCCTCTGCCGTGCTGGAGAGAAAAATCATCTTCCTGGCGGAAGGTCTCAGGTGGGCCCAGCCCCTGGACGGCTCACCTGAACTGCCCAGCATCCCTGGGTTCAAGGGAACAGACTGGAGGTTATCCAAGGAAAATGGGCTGTAGGGTCCATGCGCCCACCCTCCTGTTTCTAGCTCCTTGTTCTTTAAACCAAGAGAAACAGCTGTTTTGAACCACCCCCACTGCCTCTTCCTCCACACAGGACTGCTGCCTGGGCCTGAGGAATGCTCCTGACTTAGCTTGGGGAAGGACAGGAAGTATTCCTGGGACAGCCTGGGTGGGACCAGTTAGGGTGGATGCAGACATGATTCTGCCCTTGCAAGGCTGAGGGAGGGTGGAGAACAGGGCAGGAGGTAGATACTCATTCAACAAACATTTATTGTGTGTCAACTGGTTGCCAGATGCCAAGCATTGGGAAGATACAAACAGGACAAGGTCCTTCACCTGAAGGGGATGCGGAATTACATACTGGTTGAAAGCACAGGGATTGAAATCAGCAGAATTAGGAGGTTTAAATCCAGTTCTTCTACCTTTAGCTATGAGGTTCCCATTAAGTTAGTTTGTTAACTTCTTAAAAATGGAAATAATGATTGTGATTACCTCATAAGGTTGTGGTGAGGATTAAATGAAATAATGCACATTAGGTACCTAACACCCTGCTGAGCACATATTGCTGAGTGCTAGCTTCTGTTCTTAAGTTCACAGTTGAGTATATCCCTGTGTATAGTGGAAGCAGGGTACTATTGTGCCATGGTCTCTACCTTTTAGGGGCTTCAGATCTGAGAAGGACGTGGGGAGATGTAATAGAATGGAGAATGAAAGAAGTCATAAAACAGTAGGGGTAGGGGTAGACCTTCTATTCATATCTGGGGAGGGAGAAAACCAGTGATTTTAGGTTGACAACCCTGCTTTTATCTTTTAGGGAAGAAGAAAAGGATGTTAGGGACTCAACAGAAGTCAGAGGGGCAGGTGAATGCCATGGGTTTCAGAGGAAAGGAAACTTGGGCAAGCAGTGGGGTCTCTGTGTTGAAGATTCTGTAAAAATGGGTGATAACCAAAGAGGAACTAGTTGTAGGTAATCCTTGAAGGGAGTGGCATCATCTTTTGCTTTGGAAATAGCTCTTTCACTCCCAGCCTTGAATGGAAACCAGAAATTCCTGTGTGGCTAGAGCTGGGATTCTGCCTTTCCTCCTCAGATCAGTGTTTGGGAAGTGGAGGTCGGCAGGATTCACCTCTCAGACGTTTACTTTCTTCAGGGAAATCCCACCACTCCCCACTTCCTTCCCACACTGAGTTTTTCAGCTCCCTGAAGCTCGGACAGGGAGGGGACTTCCAGTCAGCTAGCCTCTCAGAGACTCAATTTTGCTAATTCAGGAAGTGCCAGCTTGAAACCCAGAACTGAAACAAGGATTCCCGCATCTGTGCTTTTATTGGCCTTGACTTTGAGGCAATTTGGCTGGAGTAAAGAAGAGCCATGAAAGCCAGGGGATAAAAGAGAAAGACAGAGAGTGGGACTGTGTGTATGTGGTGGCGAGAGGAGTAGGGTCCAAGTTGTGACTTGGGCAGGAGTGACGAGAAATGCTTCACTGGAAAGTCTTGAGGAGGCACCTTTGTGGGACTTTCCGTGTAGGAATTGCTGGGCAGAGGTTCCTAGAACCTGGGAATTTCCCAAGCTACTCAGGCAGCAACCTGGTAATCTTTAATAACCTCGAGTGTGCCCAGAGGGGGCTGTGTGGGGGCAAAGGCTGGGGATGAGGGTGGATAGACATAGCGAGGTAAAAAGGCTTTGCCTCTCGGCTGAGCCTCCAGTGCTTGTTTACATGTTTGTCTCTTAACTACACTGTGAATTCCTTAAAAGCAGGGTCAGTGTCTTACTCTTCCTGGTATCCACATCTGTGAGGTATGCTCACAGTTGTGAGCACAGGCTAGGGGCTCAATCAATTATCTCCTTGAATGAAAGCAACTCTTCTTCCCTCTTCTCTTCAGAGTCACTTTTATTTTTGGCCAGTAGTAAGTTGAGAAGACTAACTGGGAAAAGAAGGGTCAAATCAAGGCCCTTCTTGATAGTGAAGCCTCAGACTCTCTAGTTTCTGTCCCTCCCTCCCAGCAATGTACGTTCAAGCTCTGTGACCAGCATGGCCCCCAGACTTGCCTTTCTGCCCATGGGCATGGGCAGCACTGCTCTAGCTGCTGTTGGTGGTGGGCGATGAGGGGTGTGTAGCATGGTGGTGCAGGGGCCCCCTGACTCTCATCCTCTGTGCTCTGTCCCAGCACCTTGTCTCAGTGCATCCATGCTGCTGCCGCACTGCTCTACCCCTTCAGCTGGGCGCACACCTACATCCCTGTTGTCCCTGAGAGCCTTCTGGCCACCGTCTGCTGCCCCACCCCCTTCATGGTTGGAGTACAAATGCGCTTCCAGCAGGAGGTCATGGACAGCCCTATGGAAGAGGTATGATGTGGCAAGAAGAGTGCATGATTTGGAGCCAGGTAGAGTGGGATTCAGATCCCAGCTCTGCTGCTTACAGCTGTGTGATTAGGGGCAAGTTACCTTACCTCTTTAAGCCTGAGCTTTCTCATCTCTAAAATGGGGATAACAGTGTTCACTTCCTAAGGATTCTGGGGGAAACCACCTGCCTAGAGCTCCTAACCTGGCACCCGACACACAGGTGATGCTCAATAAATGCAGGTTCCCTTCTGAAGGATTCCCCTTTAGGCATAAGGGGCAGTGGATAGCTTATTCAGGGGTGAGCAGACTGTTCTGTGCCAGCTGGCCCTAATGAGCAGTCTTCGGGGTGTCCCATCTCATCCAAATGTATGACACAGCTGGTCTATACAACACACACCCCACTGGAATGTATTTGAATTCCTTGGAATTGAGCTAACATGGCCCTCTGGCAAACTATGAGTCTTAAAAATGCAGATTTTTGCAGCAAGTCATCTTTCTGAGTAGCTCAGAGCTAAGGTGGCTAATGAGGATATAGGTCTGAATCCTCTTTGATTTTGTTAGCTTCTTACATCTTGGCAGTGCACCAGACACACCAGAGAACTCAGTTGTGAAAATGGGCATTAAAAGCGTAAATCTATCCCCGCTGTTGGAAAAATAACTCAAAACATGTGCTTTAGAGTTGTCAGTATAGGGACTTTCAAAAGATAGTATGTTACTGTATCTCAAGCCAGAAGAGGGACTTGGGAATGTCTGCCCTGGCCATAACCATTGACTCACTCCAAGAGATAACTGAGCTCCAGAGACTTATCCAAGGCCACATAGACAACAGTGGAACCTAGCACAGATAAAACCAAATCCTCTCCTATAGAAACCATTGCTGCAAAGTAAAGAAGAAGGCTGTGTTTCCCTTCTTTGCTCCACCGGCCCCCTCATCCTTCCTTAGGACTGCTGAGTACACATGCCCTTTGAACCAGCTTTAGCCTTGTGACTAACTGGGACAGAGTATTAGCCCCATGTTTAGCAATAAACATTTAAATGTTCCAACCCCAGAAATTATGAAACTTCTTGACTCTGCAGCTCCAGCTCCCTGGAAGCCGTGGCTCCTCTCCTGATGGCCAGTCAGACTCTGGCTTTTGGTAAGGGATTACTCCACAGACAATAATATGCCCAAATACTGGAAAGATTTCTGGGAACAATCTTGAAAAACAAATTATTTATACACACTCTCTCCCCCCAATCCCTCAAAGGAACAGTCTTCCCTTCATGAAGGCATCTGAGCCTATGTATACAAGTGGTTTCAGGCCTGGACTAGTTCAACTTTTCTCCCCTGATGACAGATAATTACAGTGCATGCTCTATTTTTTGGCATACTTTCCACTCTCTCCTTGTATTTGGAAGAAGGGACAATGGAGGGATCATTCTCTCTATCAAGACCAAGGGTCACAAATGGAAAAGAGAGGCCCAGCGGGCATTTAAATGACCAATACATGATTTGGGAAGTTACGGTAAACTGGTGGGAACATGCCCTGCCTAAAGCAGGCAACTGCTACTCAGTTCCATCTGAGTGTTGTCCTTTAGAAATGTGGACCCAGTGTTAGATCTCCTGACTTTTCAGGAGAAGCCCCAAATCCAAACTTTATGTGAGATAGTCCAGTTTAAATATTGGAAACCAAATCAATTACTTAAAAATACTGTGAAGATCAAAGAAACAGATCTGCTGGTTGGAATCAGCCAGCAGGATGCCTATTTGTAATCTCTGGTCTAGACTGAAGGCTCCCTGGGCAGTGATGGGGCCAGTGCTAAAACTCAGGTCCCCCAAGTTCCAGCCCAGTGCTTATCTCACTTGAGGACTGTAGACACATGGTCTCCTCACTTCCTTTCCTTTCCTCTTCCTGTTGACCCTGGGCTCATTTTCTTCCTTTGCTGTTTCCTGCTGGAAGGCCCAAAGCTGTGAGGTAGTTTTTTTTTTTTTTTTTTTTGAGACAGAGTCTCGCTGTGTCGCCCAGGCTGGAGTGCAGTGGCGCGATCTCGGCTCACCGCAAGCTCCGCCTCCCGGGTTCACGCCATTCTCCTGCCTCAGCCTCTGGAGTAGCTGGGACTACAGGCGCCCGCCACCACACCCGGCTGATTTTTTGCGTTTTTAGTAGAGACAGGGTTTCACCGTGTTAGCCAGGATGGTCTCGATCTCCTGACCTCGTGATCCACCCGCCTCGGCCTCCCAAAGTGCTGGGATTACAGGCGTGAGCCACCACGAGAGGCAGGAGTTTTTCTAATAGAAAATTGTACATAAGATGTTGCAAGCATGAAAAAAATAAAAAGATGTTGGTCTCTGTTCTAGAGAGCAGGGAGTTGAAGGGGAATTGTAGAGAGAGGAATGCAATCTCAAGAATATCAGTCTAGGCTTGGAAAAAAATTGGTTCTCTTATTAGCAGCATAGTATGACCTCGGGCAGCTTCTTTGGGTCTGTTTCCTCATCTTCAAAATGGAGATTGTATCTGCCTCACGGGACTGTTGCTTGAGATCAAACGTGTAAAGCACTTATGTGAACAATGTACTAAATGCTCCATGTAGAAGCAATTTCTGCAGTCAATGTTTTATTAAGGGAGTGACTGGCTGTGATTTCTCCATCTTGTATTTCCCTTCTACCTTAGCTCTTTCTCCTACTCCCTTCCTACAAACACCCACACCCTTTCCTCAGGAATGGAACTGAGATCTCCAGAGGGGAATGGTGAGAAAGGAGAATGCTAGATAGGAAATGAGAACTGAAGATATTGATTTTGTTGCTACCTGGGCTGAAAGATACAGCCACAGGCAGAAATCAAGACGGTAAATCCTCTGGGGGTCTATGAAGAAAGAGGACCAGAGAAAGCCAGTCTATGTTTATTTCAGGTCCTGCTGGTCAATCTTTGTGAAGGAACCTTCTTAATGTCGGTAAGTGTCTGGGTTCAGATCCCCTGCAGGCCTATCAACAACTCTACCACTCTAGTTTCATCCATGTTCCACTTATTTAAACAAACATTTAAGTTCTTTGTTGAGTGAGAATCTGTGCTAAAAAGACCACATCTCTCTCAAGGAGCCCATGGACATAAACACAGATGACTTCACTATAAGACAATCAGTGATAGTGCCTTTTAAGCAAGGGATATAAATCAAGTACCACCGGGATGGAGAGGATCCCTTGCTAATGTCTAGAGTCAAACTAAAGGCCAAGAAACAGCTTCTGTTGTTTCTGTCCTATGTGGCTATTTGCGGGTGGAGTGGGGGTGTAGAATTCATGCCCTCCTTATGCTTTTCTGCCAACCACCTTCACTCCACACTTCCTTCCTGCTTGACCTCGGAGCTCTGTCCTCTTCTAGGTTGGTGATGAAAAAGACATCCTGCCACCGAAGCTTCAGGATGACATCTTAGACTCTCTTGGTCAGGGGATCAATGAGTTAAAGAGTAAGTCCTTACTCTTATTTTGGGTCTCTCCAGGCAGTGCAAGGGCATGCTTCTCAATCATTCCCTTCCAGAACTAAAATGAACTCATTCAGTAGTCCTAGACCAGCCCTAGAGGCCTAGAACCTAGGGCAAGTCTGAATTTGGGATTGTATTCTTCCTAAGCAATGGCAGAGAACTCATACCCAGATTCCCATCTCAGTCAGTAATTATGAACCCTACCCTATGGCTTTCCCCAGGAGCTTTCCGCCTGCAAGAAAGCCATTCTTGAAGGTGAGTTTGGGTAATTTCATCCTTCTGCTACCCTCTGAGATGGCCTTTATATCTCCTGCAGCTGCAGAACAAATCAACGAGCATGTTTCAGGCCCCTTTGTGCAGTTCTTTGTCAAGATTGTGGGCCATTATGCTTCCTATATCAAGCGGGAGGCAAATGGGCAAGGCCACTTCCAAGAAAGATCCTTCTGTAAGGCTCTGACCTCCAAGACCAACCGCCGATTTGTGAAGAAGTTTGTGAAGACACAGCTCTTCTCACTTTTCATCCAGGAAGCCGAGAAGAGCAAGAATCCTCCTGCAGGTACAGTAACAGTCCCCATCAGTCTAAGCCCATAGAGGGTTACCTCTAGAATAAAGAGGAGGGGAAAGAAAGAATACTTCTCTTTAGAAACCCACAAAATAGCTGTAGGTAGACTTTTATTAGTGGAGTTGAAATGACATAACCTGAAACCTAAGAAAATGTCTAATGGGCTGCCATTTTGTGGAAGTTGGTTTACCCATTAGTGAACAGGACTGAGCCCTTTCCTCTGTTTTAGTCTAGAGCTAATTCCTGCTAAGTATCCTCTGTTTATGGGCTCCTTTTTGGACAAAACTGAATGTCTGGATCTCCAGAACCTGTGAGGCCAGAGACATCCTGGCAGGGATGGCAGTATGGGGAGCAGACAGGATATTTCTGATCCTTATTCCTGAGCTCATTATAATCTGCCTGACCAGATCAGATGCCTCTAACACCTGTATTTGAACCCACAGGCTATTTCCAACAGAAAATACTTGAATATGAGGAACAGAAGAAACAGAAGAAACCAAGGGAAAAAACTGTGAAATAAGAGCTGTGGTGAATAAGAATGACTAGAGCTACACACCATTTCTGGACTTCAGCCCCTGCCAGTGTGGCAGGATCAGCAAAACTGTCAGCTCCCAAAATCCATATCCTCACTCTGAGTCTTGGTATCCAGGTATTGCTTCAAACTGGTGTCTGAGATTTGGATCCCTGGTATTGATTTCTCAGGACTTTGGAGGGCTCTGACACCATGCTCACAGAACTGGGCTCAGAGCTCCATTTTTTGCAGAGGTGACACAGGTAGGAAACAGTAGTACATGTGTTGTAGACACTTGGTTAGAAGCTGCTGCAACTGCCCTCTCCCATCATTATAACATCTTCAACACAGAACACACTTTGTGGTCGAAAGGCTCAGCCTCTCTACATGAAGTCTGTGGACATGTAAGGACGAGAGTAAAGAGGAAAATCTTATTTTTATATGTGTCTTTGGCTTTTACTATGGGTAAAAGTATTTTCCTCGTGGAAAATAAGGCAATGAATATGACAATCAAGTGGACTACAAGTGGAAGACCTGGCCATGGGGATATGTTTGGAGTGATAGAATCATGGGGGGCAGCAGCTCTACTTCTTCTAACCGGAAGGGTAAGAGATACTGGTAAAAGCAGCAGCAGCACTGGACACAGGGCATCTAAGTCCTTGGTTTGGAGTCAGGTGTGCTTTCCAGAATCCTGGGAGGAGAGGCTGCTCACTGAAGGGAAGCAGCTTCAGTCTAGAGTAATTTGAGGATAGGAATTTCAGTCAACAGCAGCCTGTGAAGAACACTACATGGCTTCCATACGTAGGTCTGTTTCCCCATCACTTTCAGTTTGCACTAGTCCTTTACCTTCAGTCTTGGACATCCTACCTCCAACTGATCTTTATTTTGAGCAGCACAGTCCAATTCTTTAACTAAAGGTGAAGGGATCGCTGCACTGACGTTCTTCCCCTTTGAGAAAAGAATCGTAATTTTAAGAGTCTGAAGGAGTTTAGTGGTCACCTAGTCTCTCCTCCCTTGATACCTCTACTGATACTTTCTACTCAAGCATTGGGAAGCTTTTTTAGAAGAATCTTATCTTCAAAAATTCTACCTTTTTTAATGTGTGTATTTGTGGCCCTCAGAAGTTCCTAAATTCTATACAAAGAACACAAAAGTTTCTGGAGGGTGGAACCGGGCATACTGAAGTTCAAGCCAATGTAATTTGCTTTTGGGAGTGCAGAGACCTACTGCAGGTGGCAGATGTCCCACTGTCCACACACCGTGCTTAGCTACACTACTATTCTTCACAGCTTCTAGGAATTACATTTTTTTTTGGTAGTTTATGGCAGTGGTGCCTAAATATAGTTGTACCTCCAAAGGTTTCAGAACAGGAACTGGAATCCTGAGAATCTTGTGAAAATATCCTCTTATGCCTCATCACAAATACACCAAATCATCTCTAGTGATAGGACCTGGAAATCTGTACTTTCTTAAAAGGTTCTTCAGGTAAGGTTTGCTGAGGTTTATTACAAATGTACCCTTGATTTGATGCTAATGCTGTATTTAGGGCTGAAGGAAGCACACACTAAATATCTGAGTGCTTTTCAGATTCCATCTATGCTGAAAAAGAATCTAGGAGAATAAACACATTTCAATTAGCCCTTAACATCTTGCTTCAGAACTTTAGCCCACTAAAGCCCAGTAGGGCATAGGAGAGAACACTGCACCAGGATTCAGATCTGGATTCTAATTTTTGTTCTGAAAAATAGCAAGTGACACTGGCATGCCATTTAACCTCTCCGGGCCTCAATTTCCACTATAGATAGTACCTGATGTGTCAGTAAGACAACTGATGTAACTTTGCCAAACAAGTAGAATTATCCTTCCTCCTTTGTCCTGCTCTGTCCTAGCTTTTAATACTTGGTCTGCCCTAACATTTTCCTGTATGTATTTCTTTATCCCAGATATTCGAACAATTGCTAGCAAGGAAAAGTAATGACGGATTTTCATTTCCCAATATAGTCTGGCAAAGAAATGAAAGGTTTACTTCTCCTTGCTAATTCAATCTACATGGTATTGATGGAATCATTAAAAGTGCAAGCAAGCAGCGCTCTGGCTGCCATACAAGGCAGTGTAGCTACTGTTTATTCCTGATTATGGGACAAGATATAGATGAAAATCAATAATAAGACACCTCATTTTAGCCAATAGTTTAAATCTTTTCTCCTGTGTCCCTCTTCTTCAAGCAACTGAATTATCTGTATAAAATGGAAACATATCTGGTTCCCATTTCAAACGATAGTACAGATACCAAAGAGGAGACTGCCAGAAAAGGAGAGTACAAAGTGACCTCTTAGAGAGGCCCAGGCACTTGCTGAAAATTTAGGGGAAGGGTATGAGATTTCTAAATGATTGATAATCACACAGGTGACAACTACAACACAAAAAAACCATTGACAGGAAAAATGAACATAGTTCTCCTTTTTAAAGTTTCTACAAAATAGAAATGTCACAAGACACATCACAACAATGCAGTGGACCACATTTTCTTATTTATTAAAGAACAGAAATAAATTTTGCTTAAATTTAAAAAAATAACATTAAAACTTAGTTTATCTTTCCACTGAGTAAAACTGAGAAAAAGTTGGCTTTTAGATCATATATTTATTTAAAAAAATAAAATGGGAAATTGACAAAGTTACCACATTATTCTGCATGCTAACAGGATTTCCCAAGCCTGTGAGAGAATCATTTCTTGAGCAATTAAAAAAAAAAAAAAAAAAAAAAGGACTTCCTCAACAATGTAAAGATAGGAAACTTTTCAATCCAAATTCAAGGTCTTTATTACTAGTTCCACCTCACAAGCTAGTGGGATGTATCTGTGTCACAAGCTGAATTCCTCAGTAAAGAAAGCTTGAGAAGACACTAAACAAGGATGTTACTAAAAGACAATGATTTGTTAAAATTATAAAGCAATCATCTTTTGGCCTGCAAACAGTCAACATTAGAACTCTCCACCACTGCGGATCTGGCTCCCCATCACAGTATTATTCTGAATCCAGGATAATTACAATCACATGGCATTTTTTTCTGCATGCTTTCTTGGCCCAAACCCTGCATGACAACATATACAATTTACAAGATGGGACTTGAAATTCCCATTCTCACACAGGATAGTTAGGGCGTGTTACCAATAATAAAGAATAAAAGTTATACAACATTGATTATTATAAATTATATTTGTTCTTATCCACCCCCATTCTCCTTAATATGTTACTTTCTTTCCTGCAGAAAACATGATGTTCCTATATACCAATTACATCATTAATGATGATTAGAATGAGCTGTAGAGACCTTGATTCTGAAGACATGTATGTGCAGGTGAGACGCAATCTGATTGCAAACACTGACACAGTAGCGGATCAAATCAAAGAAAGAGAAAACCTGGAAAGAAAAGAGACATTCTCAGCACCCGTTTAGGCTCTCCCTAAGCTTCCTGAAAGTAAAGAGGACTGGACTCTGTTCTCTCTACAGATTCACCTTCCATTCCATAAAATAATTCAATTTCCTTGCAATCTTTCCTTCACATACAAACTCTTTGTTAGAGAGACAGATGGCAAATATTTTAAGCTTTATGGGCCTTATTGTCTTTGTCACAGTTGCTTAACTCTGCCATTGTACCATGAAACCAGCCACAGACAATATATAAATGAGTGGCCATAGCTGTGTTCCAATAAAACTGTATTTACCAAAACAGGCTATGGGCCCACAGGGTGTAGTATGCTGATTCATGCTTTTCTACTCAGTCAGAAATTTGCAATTTATGAGCCCTGCCCGATGTAGGCAGGACTAGTAAGATTAATGCAAAAAATAAAAGGCTCAAATATAAAGCCATAGAACTCTCACACAGCCCCATTTATGTGGATTTCTGACATTCCAAATCATTACAATTATATGAACGATCTTTCATGACTGGGTCATCAAAATAAGAAAACAAGCAACCTTCAAACCCTCAAACCATGAAATAAGACTTAGTACAATACTTACCAGGGCAATCCAAAGTACAATATATTCATCAATAAAGCTGTTAAAATACTGGTCCAGAAACAAAAGTGCCGGACCTATGAATGCTGTGTCATGCAAATGCATTTCACTTTTCGTCATGTGTGCAACCTATGAATAAAACAGAATAACGTAGGCATTTTCATAAGAGGACAATTGTGAACTACACAGTAAATCATATTGTGCTCAGATATCAACTTCCAATAATTATTTAGGAATAGCTGTTGAATTCCCAAAACTAAAAACCCAACAATATGAAATGCGTCTGAGAAAGAAAGGGATGTATCATGTCAACTAACCCTACAAAAGATGCTTTTCACAAGAAGCCTTAATTTGAGTGTCCAGATTGAGACTGAGAATGTAAATAAACTGAATAACCAAATTAAACAGTGGATAAAAGGGTAAAAAGTTGTATGTTTTCCAAGAACTTCCAGTAACTTCAAATTGTAGCTTCACAAAAGAGTAAAAATAGTTCCCATGTTGATATCAAGAGATTCTGATTAGAAGAGGGCAAACTCTAGGACCATTTATGAAGCTACAGAATGAGAACTATAGCCATAAATCCAAAATAAGATGAAAGTGAAAAACACAGCAAATAAAAACTCAGGTGCTTACCACAAGCTTATTAGTGATTTTAGCAGACACAAAACCAAATGTCAGTATATAAAGACAGGGATGCTTTTCAAAAAGCTGAACTGCAGATTTCTTGTAGATCATTGCAGCTAATGTAATCACTGATCCAATATGGAGAAAAGGAGAAAGGACACTTGTTCCCTGTACAGAGTGAAGAGAAGAGTTAATAGTATTCAGTACTCATCAGATACTACATGGATCTGCTGCAGAACAGTTCACAGTTCAACTCAAACTTTCAGGAACCTCATGGTGCCTGATAGGCAGCAATTTCTATAAATCACAAACTAGAAGAGCTAATGAAAAGTAGCAGCATAAATTCATTAGGCACAAACTGAGGATTTCACTTAAGAGACCAGGCTTATTTTTACAAAGCAGCTCATACTTTAAAAAACATGTGAATAAGTGTGTTTGTGTGTGTGTATGCATAAAAGTATGAATATATAAAGCATATAAATGTGGGTAAGTATATATAAAATTGAAGTTTTGAACATTAGTTTCTTTAAAGGCTAAGTATAAATTATAAATTAACAAATGATTTTATACATTTGAAATAAAAAACAAAATGACAACAAAACCAAGTCCTAGTGTAAACAAGTGTTGAAAATCTTAAGGTATACTTACTGCTATTGTTGATCCATTTTTGCCAACACCACCTGTGAAGATTACACGGAAGTAATTTGTACAGGAAAATATGGTCCCTGCTACAGTACAAAGTGCAGGAAAAATTTTCATTTGAATATTCAGCACTGGAATCTTTAATGGGTAGAGAGAGAAAACAATTAAAACATATACAAACTAAAATAAGAAAACAGTCTAATATTTGATTCATATTCCCAAAAACTTTCCATTCCCTCCAATTACATAAATACGTAAAGTAATGAAAGTGTCCTTTTCCTCTTCATTATAAGCAATATAGCAAGTCTCAAGAGTTGAGACTATTTAGAAATTAATCTCACTTCAGCCATCAACCTTAAAAAAAACAAAAAAACCAGATTCAACTTTATTAACTTGTGTCACAAGCTAAGTTAGATTCACCTAATGCATCCCAGTGGTCTTGCAACAGTGAACCAGGATGTGTTCTGGCCTTTTAATAAAAGGAGTGCACCCTGCCTTTTTCCTTGTATATGTTTTTGAATTCTACCTCTAAATCTGTAGAACATTCATAATTGTTGTGAGGAAGTATGAATCATAATAGAAATGTTGCGACTAGATATAAAAATCTGCAGAGTATAGAGAATGGAAGATAAAATTTCTATTCAGAAGAGTTCCCAACTCCAAATTGTTAGGATACAGGCAGCTAGTAAAAGCAGAAGGCAATTAAGAAGGCATTCACAATGCAGAAGAAAAAACAGGTCAAGTACATTCAAACAGATTCTACTATTGTGCATACAAAATTTTGAAGTTTAAATGTACTTTTCAGAAAAGTGAATAATATATTCATAAAGTATACTGAAAATGTGTTTATTTACCTGAAGTATGGGGGACAGAGTGGATTGATGTCATGCATTTTTGCAAACACAATATCTATCATTTAAAATGAAATACACTTGTACTGAATTTTAAAAATCATTTAAGAGTCTCTTCTTTTTCGCACCCCTCCCTTTAAATTTTGGTCTCAAATTTTGTCCAATATGGATTGAAAAGAAAGCAACAGTAAAATAAATGACGTAGTCTAGTAATAGAAACAAATGATTATAGAAACAAGATTCCAAAAGCCCCCAGTGGTTTAATAAGCCATGAGTTCTTACAATGAAAAAAAAAATTTTTTTTTTAATTGAGACAGAGTCTTGCTCTGTCACCCAGGCTGGAGTACAGCGGTGTGATCCTGGTTTACTGCAACCCCCGCTTCCCGGGTTGAAGTGATTCTACTGCCTCAGCCTTTTGAGTAGCTGGGATTACAGGCATGTGCCACTGCGCCCAGCTAATTTTTGTATTTTTAGTAGAGATGGGGTTTCACCATGTTGGCCGGGCTGGTCTCGAACTCTTGACGTCAAGTGATCTGCCAGCCTCAGCCTCCCAAAGTGCTGGGATTACAGGTGTGAGCCACCATGCCCGGTCACAATGAAAGCATTTTAATTAGGGCTGTTTACACTTTGTATGGCTAACATCTATCTACACTTTTAAAATCAAATAGCAAATGTGGCACTTCCTACTATATAGAAAACCTCAGTTAAGACTGGAAGACATAAATCTTAATGGTTGGATACTTTATTTCTTCAAAACTCTCAAGAACTCACTTTGTTGAGATAACTCTGTTACCTCTTGCAAAAATGCAGCTCTAAAAAAAATTGAAATCAAATGTTCAAGTTTAAATTGTACTGTAGCAGTGTTAAATTTTCTAAAATTAACTAGGTCAACCTAGTTCTAAAATTAACTAGGTCAACTAAGTCAAGTCCTAAACTTTATGGATTATCCTAAATGGTTATCTTCTCCCCCTAAATCTCCAACCTCTACAGTCTAAGTTCAAAACTTGTTTTCAAGAAAGGAGAAAATCAACACCATGGTTGCTTTGAACTCCAAGAGATTTTTCTGCTCTTGTTCAATAAACTAGGGACATTACATTCTCAATCTGATGCACCTGGCTGAAACTCAATACTGTGGCTAGTTTCCTGGTTCCCAACCTCTCTTCCCACCCCTCCCACTTTTGACTCCATAGAGACAAAAGATCTCTCTGGCAAAAGGGAAAATACTATACTTCCCTCAGATTCCAAAAGAAGCAAAGCATTATTCTATTACAGGGACAGCCCTGTATTAGGGCCAGGGTACTAAATGAGTACCATCTCTGTATAATAGTCATCTGTGTCATAAATGAACTGAATGAGAGTCATAACTGTATTTAAAATTTGGTGAAATTGCTTTGGGATCATAAAAATTGTTGCCCTTTGAAAGAAGAATAAACACAAACATTAGAAAAGCCAGGAAAATTAGTACATGGCTTGGACCACAAAGTAAGGAAGCAAGCTATTGACCTAGGCGCAAAGTATCATAGATTCTTAAGGTTTTCATCACTTTTGTCATATATGTTAGCTATATACACCAAAACATAAGCTCCTGAGTGTTGGATTTTGTTTGAATTGATTTTGTACACTCTCTAGAGCCCTGGTTATTGTAGGTGGCTCAATACACATTTGTTAAATGAAGATTAAAATCTCCCTTTCTCTTCCTTTCTATGTAGAACTCCTGTTTTGGGAGAGTATGAAGAAACATCTAGCCCCCACATTAGCAATGAAAAAGAAAGTGAGCTACCAAGAAAATATGAGGCAAAGTGAAGGAAAAGCTCGAGTCAAAGGAATCCCAAGTCTCACCAGGTGATCCTTTAAAAATTGGCACTACTTATAAAAAACACAAAGTGTTGCCATTCTCACCCCACGCTTAAGATCAAGGAGGGTGGCACATTCTCTCTCTCCCTCAAGTCAAAAAGAACAGGCACATTCTGTCTTTCCCAATCTTTTTCTTTCTGTCATCATCTTGGAACTTATCAAAGGTGGCCAAAGTGCATCCACTCTTTAGAAATAGCCAAAGAGCTATACCAAAGACATCTTTATGTCAGGTCTGCTTGAAGTTTCAAGTCTTTAAGAGTTGGGAAGAGTAAGAATTCCTTTGGACCATGGTGTCTGTCCTACAGCCAGGTGAAAACTCTCCAGACTCATACCATGAAGGTATGCATCCAAATAATAACAATGTAATGAAATTCACTTTTAAAAAGGTTAGACATAGAAAAAGAAAATCTTAAATTATCAGTATCTTTACCAGATTACAAAGGTCATGTTTTTTGGTTCAATAGTTTGTATTAATGCAGACTAATATCAGTTAGTAAATTTTGACTAGTTTTCTTATAAGCATGATAAAATGTCCTTACAGGCTTTGTACATCAGAGCAGAAATAAAAAGTACCATTTTGAGATTAGACACTTTCCTCCAAAGAATGTGGGAATGCCTGTTTGTAAATCATTTTAATGTAAATGAATTCCACCAAAATACAGCAAATGTTAACATAATTACAGTGTCTACAAAGGAAAATCACCCTATCAGAATTATTTAAGTGTAAAGGCATTTTAAAGTCTTGTAGTTCAAGAATGAGATATAATCAATTTATACTACATAGAACGTCTTCAGTCTGACCAAATGAATCCTGAAACCTCACCTGCAGTAGTAACACTCACCTAGTTGCCTTAACTGAATTCCAGAAAGTCCCTTATGGCTTAATACAATTTGATCAATTACTACATTTAAAAGACTCAAGCATCAGTAAAAGTAACCATGAGTTGATTATATTAAGTCTCTTCCAAATAAGAATATATTCTTCTTTGTTTTTTTTAAAGAGTGATATGATAGAACATAGTTCCAAGGCATTCTAAAAGGAATGTCTTTTGGGGAAGCAACAAACAAAAAATATGCTTTTTGTTTCTTGCAATGTATAAAACAAGCACTGACTTTTATGCATGAAGACAACTGCTTTCCTTTGGAAAAAAAAAAAAGGAAAACCACAACAACAACAATAACTATAATCTTTGGTAAAAATTCATCTCTTTGGGGAAAAAATTTGGGAAAGAATGGGTAATCCATATGTAATAGATGCAAATCACTTACCTTTACAAAACAGCTGATCTTCTGGAATCAGCCTTATGAAGACATCTGCACTGTTTTTATTTGTTCTGACCATAAACTTGCTTTCTAAATGTCAGTAAAAGCCTTCTAACTTAATGAGGATTTGGAAGGCAATTTCCATTTTATGGCCTCAATCTCAGAAGAGATGTAAATTTCATACCTGAACCCTAAGTAAATATCTTTTCTCCATTTGGCACACAAAAATGTGAGAGCTCAATATGTAGTATTTGTTCCTGTATTAACAGAATGCAATTCAAAACAGCATATTCAGTAATGAACCCTTAATGCTAAGTAAAAAGAAAAAAATAATATAGTGATCTGGGGTCAATTATGGGAATCCGTATTGGGAGTTGTTAAAAAAGAAAAAACAGAATATTTCACTAAGTCTCCAAATATATCACCAGAGAAGTCGGGTTGTTCCCTTTTGGTTTAATGATGCTAACAGTAGGACCAAAGTGCTAACAATAGGATGAAGGGGCAGGGGGAGAATCTGTTTTCCCGTTGCAACCTCACCTCATGAATCCTGAAATTAGATTGCTAGTTTACTGGGTCTGGGAACTCCATTTCAGATGTGAATCTGAGAGTTCCTCAGATAAAACATATAATTTAAAAAGGATGTTTATATTAATTACAAGACAGGACAAAACATTTGATCTTTATAAAAGAAAAAATTATATCTACTATGTACATGTGTAGATTATATGTATAAATCATAATGGAAAAAGGTAAAAAGTATACCTGAAGGAATTTACTACCAGGCATCACCTAAGAAATAAGGATATGTATATAACGTGCACAGACAACTTCATTTACAATGTTTTATGCATTTCCATATTTATAACAAATAATTAGGCACACAGGTTGAGCATCCCTAATCAGAAAATCCAAAATCTAAAATGCTACAAATCCCAAAACTTCTTGAGTGCCAATGTGATGCCACAAGTGGAAAATTCCACACTTGAGCTTATGTGACAGGTCGAGGTCAAAACGTAGGTGCACAAAAGTTTATTCAGCATCCCCAAGGGAAAAACGACCCTCCCAGCCCCCTTCATAGCTGCAATATATCTTTGTGCACAGACCCATATCCTGTCACGTAAGTACACCCACAAAGGGTAATAAAATGGCATTGTGCAGGCTGGACATTCCAACAACAGGTTCTCCCCAATGCCCGACATGGGGCCAAGAACTAAGTGCATTACTGCTTTTCAATTTTGTTTTTGTTTTTTGCTTATTCTCTGCTGTGTGGTATAAAGATATTGTTGAAAATGTCAAAAAGGACTGCAGATACTTTTTTGGTTAATAGTGATAACATACAGGTATTCTGGTGATGCTATTGTGCTGCTCCACTACCCTGAATACATTATCTTTTCACTGATATGTCTTATTTTTTGCTAAATATATCTACGTGTAAATAAGTGTTAGAAAATGATTGCTTAACAGTAGTATGTAAATTCAGAGTCAGGAGTAACACTGATGCCAAACCACAGATTATCCACATGGGTGGCTAAGATAGTAACACTTTTGCTTTCTGATGGTTCAATACACACACTTTGTTTCATCCACAAAATTATTAAAAATATTGTATAAAATTACCTTTGGGCAATGTGTATAAGGTGTATATGAAAATAAATTTCATATTTGGACTTGGTATCTCAAGATACCAAGATATCTCATCATGTATATGCAAATATTGTAGAACTTGAAAACATCTGAAATCTGAAATACTGGTCCCAATAATTACAGACAAGGGATACTTAACCTGTATAAACCAAACACTGACTTGTTTTCCAATAATCAAGCCAGAAATCCCACTTTTTGGATATTGGTATGCTGAAACTTTATGTACAACATATTACAAATAATTTTGGGGGGAAAACTTTGGTATACAAGGCTTATAAAAATAATAATCACCATAGTCAAGGGATATAAAAACTTTAGGAATGGGGGTAAGCTTTAGGCTTTATGATCTGCTTTCAGGAAAACAAAAACTATTATTTCCTTCCCATAAGGCAAAACTGTTATTAAAAAAAAGAACTAGTCTACTGAAGAGCAAAAGTAATAAAATTCGTATTTCCTACACATTAGTCTCAAAAGCCAATAGGGTCTCTATAGTGAAATCTAAGATACATAACTGAATGATATTATGTACATAACTGAATAGTTTCAGAATTTTCCCAGTTGACTGTGGATTATTTTTATTCCTTCATCTCCTCCCCCTTCACAGATTCATCTTCCCAACAAAAGATACTTAACAATTCATTTCTGGCAATAAATACTGTGGGTAGTGTATCAATTACACTTCCTCAAGCACCTAATTTTCCATCATAAAGTGAGTTAGGTAAGGGAAAAATGTTGCTCAGTAAATTTCCCTTATACTTTAAAATTAATCTGATTTTTAAGAATTGCATTAATTTAGGTCTAGTAAATCTTTTCTTTGTTAAGATTTCACCAAATGAATGATAAATACTGTATTCTGAAGGGGTGATGGTAGAAATCGGCAATTAACTGATGACCAGGGGAGTACATACCATGACAACCCAAATCTGAAAGAATACATTAAAACTATAAGAGCAGCAACAACTTTTATTGAGTGCTTATTATTTGACAGGCACTATTCTAAGTGCTTTACACAATATATTAACTCCTTTAATGCATAAAATAACTTTATGAGACAGGTACTACTAATGACCTCATGTTACAGAGGAGGAAACTAAGCCAGAGAGAGTTACGCAACAGATTAAGTTCACACAGTAGGCCATGGAACCTGGGTCAAACGCACACAGTCTGGTTCCAGAGCTTGTGTTCTTGGCCTCCATATTTTACTCCCTACCTCAGAGGTTTGTGGAAAAGAATCTGTGTTTGTAAGAGTGACTATATTTCAGGTAGACCTGGAAATCAAGGTCCAAGCTCGTTCAAACAATCCCATGGCACTGATTTCATTCAACAGGTATTTATCCTGTTTTGGAACCAGAGTTAACTTACAATCTCAAATTTGTTATTCAGCTTTAAGTATATGACAGAAAAACTAGTAGACTCATGTAGTTAAGAAAGAGAATAAAAGGTCTAATTTAATCTTGTCACTGGTTAACTTGTTATACTGTCTGCTGTTTCCTCATCTGTAAAATGGGATAACAATACTAATTCAGATTCTCAATGGCCTTCAAAAATAATAGCCCTGGAATAGTCCTAACGTTCTACATAACTTCAAGTAGTAAAATTCACCATCCTCTAAAGAGAAGTTGTGTTCTACTGTTTGGAAAAAAATAAAAGAATTTCACACATTACCCTTTAACTGGATTATCCCATATTAGAAAACACAAGCAAAAGACAACATGCATTACATGGGATACACAATGTGAACAAAGTTACCATAGATTGCCAAAAAGGTGGTCCTCCAATCACTGCCAGCAAATGCATGATTATTATGAAGATTTGCACTTCAGTCACATCAATTCTGATTAGGTACAAAAAGCCAAAAGAGCAGAATTAGTCACAACAATTTCAAGTTAATTACTTGCAAGCTTAGCAGCATTCCTCTATCATGCACAATAGAAAAAAAAAATCTCAAATATTGAGGAAAGGGGAAAAGGAGGCATCAAAAATTTGTTATGAGCAAAATCATATAAAATCCAAAGCCTTTTAATTTAATTTGATGAATTTCAAAGAGCAATAAAAACCCCTCCTTTCCAAAGGAAATTTCTGACTCATTGAAGTTGGGCTGAAACCATAGGTTAACCTTTCCCACCAAAAAAAAAAAAAATTGAGGAGGTATTAAATTTTGAGTATCAAGCAGAGGATTACATTGCACTGTTATAAAATATGAAATCTTGAAATAAGTGCTTTGTAGTATCAGATGAAATAAATGGTGTGCTTTAATTAAAGTTAACATAAATCACTAAGACTCTGTAAAACTTACTGTTCTTTAGATATATTCATTTAATGTCTGCCATTGTATAGGTGTGAAAAAAAAAACTCCTCCAGTTCTCAAATTCCTATTCTTACTAGGTTAACTACTCTGAGACTTCTGCAAAGAAGATACTGAAAGCAGCCAAGAATTAGCTTTGGGGTTGCTGAAAATAATTTTACAGTCAAGAAGAGACAAACCTCATGCACAACAGGGCAGCAGAAATTAGAAGCCTGAAAGTGTGAAAAAAAAGAACATGGGCAAAAAGATTGAGAAGCAAAACATATGCTGTTTTTCCTTTCCTCTTGTAAACTTAGCACCTTCTACAATTTTGAGATTATCATTCTTAGATTACTGGATTCAAATGCCTTCTATTTTGAGAACTTACCCTACAGATATACTTGCACAAAATGATGTTTGTACAAGGTTATTCACTATGGAATTATAAATTTATAATAGCATAATTTAAAAAAATTCCCTCAGAGGGAATAGTTATATAAATTATGGTACTTCCATAAAATAGAATATTTTACAGCTTTTAAAAAGAGTAGGGCAGCTCTCTATATACTGATATAAAAAGTAGCAAAGATATAGTAAGTGAAAATAAGTTGCAGAATGTGTACAGGCTATTTTTTGTGTAAAAAAAGAGACAAATAATATTCTACTTTTATTTTTGCCAGTAATTGCATAACAAATTTCTGGAAAGACACATTACAAACTAAGAGTGGTGGCTACCTATTGGGGAGTATAGTATAGAAACTGGGGAGCTGGGAAATAAGAATGAGGAGACTTTTCACTGTATACCTTTTTATAATGCTAGTTTTTCAACAAAGTGAATAATTTATCTATTAAAAGTAATTAGTCTAAAAGTAGGTAACAACAGCAAAGGGATTCAATTCCCAGAACAGAACAGAGCCTCCATTTCTAAAAATATGTAAAGCAGATAATCTGTAATGTGAGTTTAAGATACATAAGCTGTCATGCTGTGATAAATAACTGGGTTGAAACTAATGTCTTGCAACTAAAAAAAAATGGGTCTTTGTTTGCCCAAGAATGTTTTTTAAACAGAAGCTTATTTAGCTGCAAACATACAGTGATGTAGTTATCTTGATATACACATTGAAAAAAAAAATGGACTGAATTAGGCTAAAAAGAATCTGTAGAGCTGACCTGGTGAGTGGTGTTGCCAATAAGGGGAATTACACTCAGTAGCAGATTCAGGAGACTAAGCAGGTAGGTGTCAAAGATGATCGATTCTGTCTTGGGTGGAGGAGGGTAGACATCTTAGAACATTTTGCTGGATATATGAAGTAGCCTTTTGGAAGGGGAAGGGCCAGAAGTATAGAATTACAAAATAAAAATGGAGGGAACCTCATGCAATTAATCTTTGTACCATGGATGAATATAAAAGAGAACAGGAAACATAAAAGATCTTTACAAAGTCTCAAATTGGGATTCTTAGGGCAAGTTTTATAGAATAGTCATTTGAAACTTTTGACAGAATTTTCTTAACCATTCTAATACTGACATTGTATTAGATGAATAATGTCTTACTGTTATGGAGAGAGGGCCAGGAAAACTTACTTACCAGTTGGTAGTTAGTTAAGAATATTTTTTATTTGCTTATCTGATTTAGAAGAATATTCTGAACTCCAGGATGAGAATCTTCTGCTCTGAATCATGAGAACTGCCTATCATCACTCCTGGAAGTGTGGTTCTAATCTTTACTGTCAATGAAAAAGGGTGCATGCAGTGCAAAGTCATTCCCAGGAATGGGAACTAAAGCAAGCTAAGAGGGACAGGTGGTAGAAATGATAAACAAGAGTTTATGATTTTGTTTAGAAGACAGCTAGTTACATGACAATCCATTCTTCCACCTTTCCACTAAGAAGTCTCAGTATGGGCTCAATTTACTGTAACACATACTACAAAGAGGCTCATTTTAATCTTTTTGATCATACAGGAAATACAGTTATTTAGAGGACAGAATATTATATAAGGGCAGGGATTTGGCATGTCTGTAATCACTTCCTTTTTATTGTTATTATTATTTTAAAAATGGAGAATCGTCAGTGGTAATATTCCCAAGTGTTGGGACTATTCCTCAAAACCAAAACAAAGAAACTGACCACTACTACCACACCAAGAAAAAAACAACAAAAAACAAAACCAAAAAACCCTTCAAGACACATGGGGTATGTGGTCAAAGAGGACCCAAATGCCAGTGATTTTTTAACAAAACATATGGGAAAACAAATTTCTTATGTGTCGCATTAGATTTCTACAGCCTAAAGTTGTAGAGGGAGAAAATTAAATGATACTAACCACAATTTTCTATATCTATGAAGGTACATGAACATCTTGACTGGTGCTGCTTTAAAATAATCTCCTGGCTGGGCGTGGTGGCTCACGCCTGTAATCCCAGCACTTTGGGGAGGCCGAGGCAGGCGGATCACCTGAGGTAGGGAGTTTGAGACCAGCCTGACCAACATGGAGAAACCCCGTCTCTACTAACAATACAAAATTAACAGGTGTGGTGGCGCATGCCTGTAATTCCAACTACTCAGGAGGCTGAGGCGGGAGAATCACTTGAACCAGGTAGGCAGAGGTTGTGGTGAGCTGAGACTGTGCCATTGCACTCCAGCCTGGGCAACAAGAGCAAAACTCTGTCTCAAAAATAAATAAATAAATAATTTCCTATTTCTACTTCATTTTAATATAGGTCGTCAAAAGACAAAAAAGAATTCTCCCAGTTACTGGGGATAACCCATAATGAATATTCTCATCAGGATACACTTAAATTACTATGACAAGCCAGAAACAAACACTGTTTTGATGGCTGTCACAAAAAATAAATAAAAAGAAGCAAACCATTCATCTGATGTGGAAGCTATAAATTTGACAGTCTGAGGTCAAAATAACCTTCAACGCCCGTAATAAACTTTAGGCCAATCATTCCTTACAACACCCTAATGGTCAACTGATTAAGAGAATAAAGTGTACTAAATGAATATGAATAATTTAAACTTTTAAACAAGGGAACAGAGCATCTCTTTAGTTGGAGTGACTATCTCAGGAGGTCTTCGTCACTACAAAAAGCTTAGAAAACTCCCTGATCAAGGCAGTTATTACATCAGAAGTGCAAAATAGCTTTTAAAATGGGGTAGAACAACTGCAAAGTAAGTTAGCTAACTATGAGAAAAATTTCTATTTTGAAAGTTTCCATTTTTGTTTATCAGTGTTCAGAGAGACGCCTGACAAATGCATTTGGTTTGAATACCAGAACTCAGTTTTAATTGAGGGATGTGAAGGGATTTAAATGGCATTCTATGAAAGCTAAGCACATTAATCATCTCTCCCACAAATTTTTAATGTCTTTCCCCTCTAAAATCAGAAACAATCTATTGTTCTTCTACATGTGACATATGCATTTCAAAGATACACTTGCAGTTATTTTGTAAGTATTTTTGTTAAACTATAAATAGTAAATTTAATTGTGTTGTAGTTTGGCAACACAATTGTTTATATTAGTTTGGTTAACATAGGATATGCACTAGGGATAAATTCACAATGTCAAAGAATCCCCAATTTGTACAATTTGACCTGTGAGCTATTGTTAAAGAGAAGGATTTTGTTTAAAAAAATCATCTATTTGAAGACGTCTAGATTCTTACTCAAGGATTAGATAGCTATTAACTCCAGGTTTATAATTATCTGTAAAGGGATTTGAAGCTCTAGGTAACTTATGGATAACCAGAGCATGACATTCATTATAGATTCTACCAGAAATACCATGGGTGGGGTGAACTGTTGGTGGACTGAAATAAAGATTAGCCTAGAAATTCAATATACTGACTTTGAATATTTTACTTTCTACCCTTGATAAGGGACAAACTGGACATGGTAATCTTAGTATTAAATAACATTAACCATACAACTGAGAGATAACTTGGAGTATTTTTAATTCAAGTGTTATAAATTGGGAAAACAGACAGCAAGACAAGTCTATTTTTGAAATTAAGCTTAATTATTAAAAACACATTACCTACCACATGAATGACTATATGGATCTTCAGACTTTCTGAGAAGACTAAAAAGAAAAAGCCCATTGAATAACTCTGAGTAAGAAGAGAAAAATATAGCCAAAGGCTAGAATAGAACAAGCCCTCTAATATAAAAAGAAGTAGAGTATAGGTCTTAAATTTAAAGGGCAGTCTATCTTTATCACCTTTGAAAACAATAAGACCCAAAAGGAGAATCCTCTCACAATCTCTGAGTTAAATAAAGGGATCATGAACTTATTCTTCCTCTCTAACTGGCACAATACAAAATTTGCCAACCACTGGGGAGTCAGCTAAAACAGGTCTTAATATAGCAATAATGAAGACTTATTATATCCTTAGCACTACAGTAAGCACATTACATTCTTCACCCTTTTAATCACGACAACCACCCTAGGAGGTAGGAAATATCACCATTTTGTAGATGAGAACATTTAGAAAGGTCAAGTGACTTTTCCAAGGTTATAAAGAAAATAACCTTGAAGAGAAACCGGAGTGTTTTTCCTCTGTAGTGCTAAAACTCTTTGTATTCTAATACAATTTCACCAAAAATGCTAGAATACAACAGGAAATAGCTTATAGATAGTTTACATGCTAATAAATCAAATTCACTTAGAAACAAATTATTAAGGACAATTCTTTCTGAAGTTTTTTTCGAAACTTCATAAAAAAAGTATATTTGACAATCTCATTTTAATTATCAAATCAGTTTAAGCAATAAGTATTAAAAGCAAAAGAAAATCTCTGCAAGTTAGCAACTGGTAAAAGAAAATACAGTATATACAGAGAAAACAAAGTATTTTCAAAACTTTTTTTATGATGTTAAAATGCATTAGTTTTTAGAAACATTTTAATAGAAAGGGCTCTATAAATATAGGGTACTTTGTTATCATAGACAAACAAGGTGAAAGTAGATATCGGGTACTTTGTTATCATAGACAAACAAGGTGAAAGTAGATACAGTCAATATTCTGACTGTTAATTTCATTAAGAACATTGGTGGAAAAGACCTTTGCTAAGTATAATCAACAATAAAAAAGGGGCTATCAAAAATTATAAATCTATAAATCTAGGCAACTGCAATGAGCATAAAGCTACAGGTCTTTGGAGAAAGTACCAGAAGACAGTGTAAGGGTAAAGGGAGGCTAACGATACACTTCTTAGTACAGTCGGCCCTCTCTATCTGTGGGTTCTGCATCCAGGAATTACACCAACCACAGGTCAAAAATATTAAAAGTTGTGTCTGTACTGAACACGTACAGACTTTTTTCCTTGTCATTATTCCCTAAACATTATAGTATAACAACTATTTACTTGGCATTTACATTGTGTGAGGTATAAGTAACGTAGAATGACTTAAAGTATACAGGAGGCTGTGTATAGGTTCTATGCAAATACTACACCACCTTATATCAGGAACCTGAGTATCCCTGCATTCTGGTATTTGCAGATTGTGGAACCAATTCCTCACAGATATGGAGGGACAACTGTATTTTCCACATTCCAAGGTTATTTTGAAAAAAGATGCAGAATATCCCTCCCTATGAATTTGTCCTCAAAGCCATCATTACTGCCACTGAATAACTGGATTTACAACACTGAAATATACTTTTCAGAAAGAACTCAGCCAGGTGGGCAGATCACGAGGTCAGGAGATCGAGACCATCCTGGCTAACATGGTGAAACCCCGTCTCTACTAAAAATACAAAAAATTAGCTGGGCATGGTGGTGGGCGCCTGTAGTGACAGCTACTTGGGAGGCTGAGGCAGGAGAATGGCGTGAACCTGGGAGGCGGAGCTTGCAGTGAGCTGAGATAGCTCCACCGCACTCCAGCCTGGGTGACAGAGTGAGACTCCGCCTCAAAAAAAAAAAAAGAACCAAAGAACTTGGCCAACAAGGAATTCACTATTTCTGTATTATTGAAGCAATATTAAAATGTTTACAATTCTTTTTTTTTTTCAGGGCAGGCGACCTAATGTAGGAAACTTAATAAACCCTTGCATTGATATAATGATCTGTCAGGTTTTCATTTGAACAGTTCTCCAACATTCTCTGAACTGCCAAATAAACTGAATCTAAGCCCTATTTTTTCTTATGCTAAAGTGTGAATGATTCTGGACTATCTTACTGGGAAAACATTTCCTAACAATGTTTTTAAAAGTCATAAGGTCAAAACTGCAGTTATAAGAAAGAAGGGTGAATGCAGTGGCTCATGCCTGTAGTTCCAGTGCTTTGGAAGGCTGAGGCGGGAGGACTACTTGAGGCCAGAAGTTCAAGACCATCCTAGGCAACACAGCAAGACCTGTCTCTACAAAAAAAAAATTTAAAATTAGCCAGGTGTGACAGTGCAGAAAGGTGAGGTGAGAGGAGCACTTCAGTTCAGGAGTTTCAAGGCTGCAGTGACCTATGACTGTGCCACTGCATTCCTGCCTGGGTGACAAAATGAGACTCTATCTCAATTAAAAAAAAAAAAAAGGAAAAAGATACATTACTTTTAGCAGTACATTAGAGAAATATGTATTTACTGAAAAGAAAACAAAACAAAAAAGGAAAGTATTCAAAGAATGACTATAGTAACATGAAAAGCTAAGGATATTTAGTTTCAAAAGCACAACTAAGAGTGAAAAACATTAAGCAAAACAAACAGAAATGAGAATAGCTTCCAGCATAAATATTATACAACACCAAGACTGCTGTAAACTCAAGCAGAACTAGTACTAGACTGCTTAAAGTATATGCTAAAGAAGTTAACAGAATAAGCAGAATCTTTCCTACATTAATATAGAATCATCTCAACTTCCTTACCTAAGAAAAACTCTGCTTGCTTTATTCTGTTTTCAAAATAGAAATATAAAAAAAATTCTATTTACTGGTGGAAAGGTATTTGTTTTAAAAAATAGTACATAGAATAAAAATAATAGGCACAATAGGCAAACAGGAGAATTGACTTTAGCATCAAATCACCAGAAATACCACTTTTTAAAAATTTTATTTAATAGGGTGGATTTTTATTGCCCTAATATATTAAAATTATGTTTTCTAATAACCTGTTTGTGACATACCAACAGGAAGACTTTTGATTTTTCATGTTTTAATTATTCTGTGCATGACAAAGGTGCTGTCTTTATTGAATTCACACCATTGTACATCAGATAGCATGAATATTCTAGCAGTTACCGTGAAGTTCCAGAACCAAGGCCCCAGGGTTCCTGTGAGAAGCTGGCATATTATAATTATGATCTGGGACTCTGTAACATCGAATCTATGCATAAGGAAACAAACATTTCAAAATAACTTTACTCAGAACTTTTGCTAAAGAGCCCTACTAACACAGGTAACAAAAATAGATTTAAAAAGTAGCATTCTTCTTGCAAAGACACCTAAAGATGGAATGATACAATTTATACAGTACTATACTATCCTTATACATACATACATAGTTCTTATCCAAATCAAGATAGAAGTTAAAAAAATTAAAACTGTAATATACTGAAAAAATGACTTTTAAGTAGGCAGCTGGAAACACTAATACTAAAATCACAGAATCAACTCTAATTACCTAGTAGTGGTGAATATTACTTGCCAAATAATTACACTATGACATAAATCCCTTTAGCACCAGAACTGATCTAGACTTCCCTGTAGATAGGAATTCTTCTTAGAAGTCCCAATGTACATTTTGAAAAAACACTAATCCATCTTACGCTCCTTCCCTGTCCCAAGCCTCACCACACTCCTACCTCTGCTATCTCAAAAAAACTAGCATATATGTGGAAAGGGTAAGTGGGAAAGAATCTAATCAAGAGTAACTTCTATTTGGATATGGTTAGAGCAAAAATCAAATTGGCCATCTCCTTATCCTATTTCCTGATAATCTTTAGTCCAGAAGTTTTCCTTTTTCCTCTTTCTCTTCCCTAATTCCACACCAGCATTATAATACTCTACTACATTGGATTAGTTTACTAGTGATAAAAGTAAGTAAAACATCCAGTTCAATCACTTAAAAAGTTTGGAAACACAGATAACACACAAAACAGTAGCAGTATAGACTAGGCTTCAAATAAAAACTACTTAAATAAAAATTAAGAACTGAGGAATGCTAATGAGATAGATAGATGTCCATGATTTTACCTGGTGATCTGAGAGGCCAAACTGCAATCTAGGTTTTACATTAATACAAATGGTTGTTTTAGGACATCATCTATGGCAACTGATAAAATTAAACGAACGGAGCTGAGGCCCAAATGAACAAATCATTGCTGAAAAAAAGCTACACAGGGAAGTTGGAAACTGAAAGGAAAACCTCTGGTATTTAATAATTCATGTGATAAGTATTAGACATTTAAAGATAAATAGATTCTACGCAGGGATTAGAAAGTTTCCCAATTCTGAATCCATAGAAAGTGGATTATACATTAACAAACAACAGTTTTTTATTATCAAGAGGTCTTCAAATAATTATTCTTTAAAAATCACCTGGACAAAAAGATGAACTAAATTTGTCAGACTACCTAGTGGAATACATAGCCTATTAACTTTTTTCATTTAACTATAGAAAAGAAAGAGTGGGAAGCTACTTACTTACATAGAAATAAACATTTGGTGACAGGGTTTTTAGCTAATATAAATGTGAAACTTTAGAAGCATGAATTGAAAAATGTAATAAAAGCAAAAATTAATACTCTGCCTACTGTAATTATAAATAAGTACACTTGTAATAATATCTGTGTAGAATTAGTAGACTCACAGACTTTATAAACAGAAAGAACCTTATAGATCATCTAAAGCTTATTTTACAAATTAGGAAATGAGGCCCATGAAAGTTACGAGCCTTGCCCAAGCTGATATATAAAAAAGATAACTTAGAGATTAACATTTGAGCCAACATATATTGGCCCAAGTTCAATTTATTATTTTTTGTCTTGGAAAAAATAATTGAAGAGTATTTTGCTCCTGAAATAATTTAAGTGAGTTCTGCCTTTACAGCATAGATTTTTTTTTTTTTAAGACCGATGTTTTAGGCCGGGCGCAGTGGCTCACGCCTGTAATCCCAGCACTTTGGGAGGCCAAGGCGGGCGGATCACGAGGTCAGGAGATGGAGACCATCCTGGCTAACACGGTGAAACCCTGTCTCTACTAAAAATACAAAAAATTAGCCGGGCATGGTGGCGGGTGCCTGTAGTCCCAGCTACTCAGAGGCTGAGGCAGGAGAATGGCATGAACCCAGGAGGCGGAGGTTGCAGTGAGTCGAGATCGCACCACTGCACTCTAGCCTGGGCGACACAGTGAGACTCCGTCTCAAAAAAAAAAAAAAAAAAAAAAAGACCGATGTTTTATGTAAGTATAGTTTTATTAAAGATTGATTAGGATTTCTAAGCATTTAACTTATAGAAATGATTCTATATATATATGTCTACAAGTTATAGAATTAAAAATAACCTAATATAGGCCGGGTGCGGTGGCTCACACCTAATCCCAGCACTTTGGGAGGCCAAGGTGGGCAGATCACGAGGTCAGGAGATCGAGACCATCCTGGCTAACACGGTGAAACCCCATCTCTACTAAAAATGCAAAAAACTAGCTGGGCATGGTGGCAGCACGCACCTGTAGTCCTAGCTACTCGGGAGGCTGAGGCAGAATTGCTTGAACCCGGGAGGCGGAGGTTGCAGTGAGCCGAGGTTGTGCCACTACACTCCAGCCTGGGAAACAGAGCAAGAGTCCATCTCAAAAACAAAACAAAACAAAACAAAACAATCCAAAAAAATCCTAATATAGATAGTTTAGGTCTTAAGGGAGAAAATGTGAACTCTCCCATTCAGTATAATGGGAGATATTCAGTATAATTTAAGATATAAATATCTTAAAGAGTATTTTGCAAAGATGAGCTTCAATTCATATTTATCTTCTACAACCCAATCCTCCCATGAAATTCTAGCCTCTAACCCCATTTTCCTCCCCAGTCTTTCCTATCCAGGCTAGTCATCTCTGTCAGATCTCTACTTGCTCAATCCAGCGGCACTGTGAGAACAGGAGTCTGTCTAGACATGACAGGCACTCATATTCTCTGTGCAAGGTAGCTTTTAGCTGTGATCAGAGCAAACTGCTGGAAGACGTAGCTCATAATTTCAGGGAAGATGTATCCAAAGCACATCTGCTTTCTCAAAAGGCTAGACTTTAATGAGAATTATTTAGTTACAGATGAATTAAAATCCTGTGACTATTTTTGTTCAAGATACTATAAGCAAACTTAATAGCAATTAAAAACAGTAATAATAAAGAGGCTAAGGAACAAAAAATTCTTATCTGGCAAACATTCTATTTTATGAAGTTATTAAAAGTATAACAACCTAAATTATAAATAAAAAAGAAATTCTCATTATTTTCACTTATGTATGTAAACATCAAAATAAAACAATTCAAATAAATAAGCATGTTTAAAAATAAGATTCCTAAGGTACTTAAATCTGCTTTCACTTTTTTCTAGAAAACAGTAAGAAAATGCAAGTGATTTTAAAAAATTTCTTTACTCAAACTACATTTCAGAGCTGACCTTGTTCCCTCCTTATTAAGCAAAATAAATTTTGACTTTCTCCTCCATGCATACAAACTGCAATAAGTCTTTAGGGATATCTATATGTATTCTATAGATTCTATGTATCTATATGTATATCTCTATTTATTCTATATGCCTCCATTACATTGTTATTTTGATAAATGGCTCCCTAGTGTAGAGCACTTAGCCTGCATTTCTTTTTTTTTTTTGAGACATGTTCTTGCTCTGTTGCCAGGCTGGATGGAGTACAGTGGTGCTATCTCAGCTCACTGCAACCTCTATTTCCAGGGCGCAAGTGATCCTCCTACAGGCATGCGCCACCGTGCTTGGCTAATTTTTAAAAAATTTTTTTGTAGAGACCAGGTCTATATTGCTCAGGCTGGTCTTGAAATCCTGGGCTCAAGTGATCCTCTTTCCTCGGGCTCCCAGAATGCTGGAATTAAAGGCATAAGCCACTGTGCCTGGCCATAGCACATTTCTATGAACATTATAGCCTGCTTTTAATTTAAAAAACAAATTTGGTGCTGCTTTAATGCAAATGTAGAATTTCTGAAAATTGGATACAATTTCCCAAATTAAAACTAATCCCTTGTAATACTAAAATTCAAGTTCATATATTAAATTCAAACTAATCTTAATATATCTAGTGTTTCCCCCCGCCCCCAACCCCAAGCCTTGCAAGCACTCTAGTGTCAGTGGCAGAGTTTCCTCCTGTTTAATGCCTCTGCCTTTTACCCTAGAACTCCTTTGTTCCTATATCTTTAGCTATTGTTCTATAAATCATTCCCTCTTTTTATTCAGTATCTTCAATCTCTTCTCTAGCAGATTTCTTCTGAATGCTCAAAATTTTCTCATAAAAATACAAGACCCTCCTTCCTTTGAGCCCATATTCTCTCCTCTAACCAATGCTTCTCTCCTTCACATCACAGTCACACATTTTATAAGTAACGATATATAATGTGTAATAAATAGTAGTCTACTTATTTGTTCCATTCACTTCTTATCCCCTACAGTCTGGCTTCTGTCTCACCATTACACAGAAATTACTATGAATAGTTCACACTGCCAAATTCAATGTACACTTTTCTGTCCTCATTTTGAGTCTTGGCAGGATTTAGCAATGTTCTTTTGTGAAATGCATCCTTCTGGCTTTATATTCCAGTACGCCTCCTACTACTCTGGCTGTTCAATAAATTTCATGGGCTTCTTTCTAAGCTTGTTCTCTAAGTTTTCTCCTGTTCTCATTTTATTTGGATGTCTAAAATCCCTCACATATGTTTCTGGGTAGACTGCTCTCTTTAAATAGGTTCCTCTTCCTGTAGTGCCTTTCTCTACCTTCATCCAGCCACCCAAGGAAGGGAACTAGGAGTCATTTCAGTCTCTGCCCTCTCATTCATTCCCCACATCCAAACACACATTGTGTCCTATAGTTTCTACCTCAAAAGTCTCTCTCCAATTTATTCCTTGCTCTGCAATAGCACTGCCATTGTGTTAGTGCATGCTTCATCATTCACATTAATTATGCTGATGCTTCCTCTAACGGGTCTCCTTGCTTCTGTCACAGCCTACTACAATTTACCCTCTGCCTTACTGCCAGACTGATCTTTCTAAAAGGCACTTTTGTCATTTCCCTGCTTTAGGTCCTGCAAAAGTTCCCTGCAGATTCAGGGTAAAAGCTCATATTTCTTGGCAGAGCACAGGACCTTGATTTTCTGGATCTTCTCCAGCCTTATCTCCTGCCACTCCCTACAGGCAGGCATCTTATCATCCAACCATATGGAGTTGTTTACAGTTCTCTAAATACATACTTCATCACAGGACAACATCATGAGGGAAATTCAAAGACTGGAAGACAGAAAGCTGTGATATCAAATCACTTCTAAAAACACTATTTACTCTTCTCCTACATCCATGGTTAATTTTCTTTCCTTCCTTCAGTTCCCACACCATATGGTTGGTGATGTATTATTTGAAAGGGAAAGAGAATACATTAGGGCTGACAGATAAATAAGCTTTCAAAATAGGTATTGAAAGTGAACTGTGAGATAATAACCAACGAAACATAAACTATGTGAAATCCAGATATTATAAATTCTGCCATTTTTGAAAATAGTAGAAACACTAAAAATTAATATTGGATTAGGGCGCTGCTCTCAGAAACCATCTTCTTTTTCCTGGAAATGCATTTTTATATGTGAAAATAAAAATGGAATTAAGGTAAATAATGGTGGGGAAAAAAAGTGAATTTTTCTGTGGGAAAGACAAAGATGAGGGGCTACTGCTTTTTGTATTGCTTTTAAAATACTGGCTGGGAGGTTCTGATATCTCCTTTTAAAAAAGTATAATAGAGGGACATATGCAGAGACTATTAGGAAATAGCTATAATAATGAAGCATAAATTTTTTAATTTATTAAACTAACTTAGTGATTTGATCAATTTCTAATACTCAAATACTTATAAGGCAACATTCTCCATATGTGAAAGAGAAAACAAAAATTACCATTAAGTATTACTTACATTCCAAATCGCAATGTTCCAGAAACATACGTTTGCCAGTGCGCACAATAGAACATAAATGTCCCCGCAAAACAACAAAAAAACATCCAATCAGGGTTTGTCCCCAGCTGCACTGCAATACAAGTTCCAAGAACCACAAAAACTGCAGAAGAAAGATCACGATGAAAACCAAATAATATGAATAGCAAACAACTGAGCTGGAAATGATTTTAGATGAGACAAAAAGATATGCTGTAAATGCATAATCTTCTCTCAGTTATCTATTGTAACAGAAAAGTAGGATATAATCTGTTACATAATCTCTTACCCCATAATTTCAATCTCTCTTTTTTTTTTTTTTTTTACCAAATCACTTAGTGGAAGCAAAGTTCTTGAAGGCAACTAAAATACTTCAACATTTCTTCGAGTATTTTCCTGACTTAGAGACACTAGTACTAATGATCAGCAAATCATTACAAGGCAGACAGCCAAAAAAGAAAAACAAAGGGGCTATATAATCCCCAGACGGACCGACTTACTTGCTTCAGATTGATAACTGTCTTTTTTTTTTTAAACAGATATTGTTATGGGTGACATACATAGAAAAAGACTTCCTATAAAAGTCTAGACCTCAAACTACAACGCAAAAATGACTGCAATTTAAAATAAATAATAGGAAGCCTGCCATCCTGCCATCCTGCAGTCAGCTGGTTGTTGCCTTTCAAGACAGCCAACTACCATTTATTCAACAGAAGTTTTGAGTATTTCTTGATTTGACTCTTAAAAAATTATATGACCTTAGTTGCTTCTCCTCCTCTACTAAATAAGCTGCTGTTGGGATACAATGAAGCAATGATTTTGATATGCACCTATACCTGTAAATGTGGATTCAGGAGGTAAAACTATAAGGGGTTTTTGTTAGTTTCTTTTTAAATATTTTAAGTGCCATGTCAAACAAGAAAATAATTGAGAAACTAAATAAAACAAAAATAAAAGAGGGGAGGGATGAGTTCCTGTCAGAAAGACTAGCTGAAAAACTGTCATTTAGATTTTAAGTGTCTTTTTCCTCTCTAAAAACATAATAAACTACTATTTTAAAAACTTGCAAAACAGTGCAAATAAAGAGATATCACTTATAATCCAAACAGAGTAACTCAGTTATTGCTAGCACTTTAGTGTTTCTTTTAAAAATTGTATATGAGGTGTAAAACATGCCATATATATAAATGATTACTATAGTTAAGCAAATTAACCTATCCATCATGTCCCATAGTTACCTTTTTTCTCCTGTGGTAAAAGCATCTAAAATGTACTCTCTTAGCAAATTTCCAGTACACAATGCAATATTAACGATACTCCTAATTTGTCATAGTCTTTCTCTGAGCTTCTTATGACGTAGTTATAATCCAAGTCCATTAACATAATTCTGAATGTCTACATAACATTCATTTAAATATATGAAGACCACAAATTACCTAACTAGTCTCCCACCACTGTACTCTCATTTAGTTCATAAGAGTTTTGATGGTGACAATTATGCCCCAAGCTTTTAAAAACAAAAGATGCCAAAACAATATTTGGGGCTAAAAATAACAAGCAGAAAGTAATTTCTAAATTTCCTAACACTACCAATAATGAACAAATATTAACTAGGTTCATAGTCTTTTGAGAAATACTAAAATTTAATACAAAATTACTTATTCTCATGACTAAACATGTATTCTAACACTGCTTAGCACACTGGTTTAACCATTGTTAATAATCAATAACATTAAAAAAATCAACAATACCTGTTGATAGTGAATCACAGCCATGATCAAAAAGTTCTCCCAGAGGAGAACTACTATTGGTTCTTCTTGCCTGTTTCCCATCAATAGCATCCAAAGACTGGTAAATGAAAAGGCCACAGGCACAAGCAATATATGCCCACAGAGGTGCCTGTGAAATAAAATAAGAAAGGCAAGAGTATTCAGACACACAGTTACCATGTTTGACTAACATATTTTTACCTGCAGGTTGGAAAGCTAGTTGGAAGCTATGGGAGAGAAGATCCAAGTGCTACATAATGAAGAACTCACTGAAACAATTAGAATTGTAAAAGAATGCCGGGCGCGGTGGCTCACGCCTGTAATCCCAGCACTTTGGGAGGCCGAGGCGGGCGGATCACGAGGTCAGGAGATCGAGACCATCCCGGCTAAAAAACGGTGAAACCCCGTCTCTACTAAAAATACAAAAAATTAGCCGGGCGTAGTGGCGGGCGCCTGTAGTCCTAGCTACTTGGGAGGCTGAGGCAGGAGAATGGCGTGAACCCGGGAGGCGGAGCTTGCAGTGAGCCGAGATTGCGCCACTGCACTCCAGCCTGGGCGACAGAGCGAGACTCCGTCTCAAAAAAAAAAAAAAAAAAAAAAAAAAAAAGAATTGTAAAAGAATTAAATTTCCTGCTTTTAGAGGTGTTCAGGCAGATGCTAGATAACAACTTACAAGGGAGATTACAAAAATCCCAAGAGATTGGACTAGGTGTCTTCCATAAGATTCTTTAGATTAGAAGGGTCAATTATTGAATTTTTTCCAAAATCATATCCTTCAAAATGTTTGCAGGTATTACATGAAAAATTCCATGCTAACCTCATATGGGAAACACTGGGTTAAACACTAAACAATGTTAAATGGATTTCTTTACTACAGGACTTCTTCTAGTCCTTAATATTGCTAATACATCCTGTGAATATTCAAGAGGGGGACATAATGTCCTGCCATTTTCCAAATTTATTTGAGTTTGTAACATTTTTAAACATCTCTTCAATGGGCCATTAAATAACACTAGGAAATGATATCCAGTGCATAGAGTGTTCAGAATACTATTTTTCAAATCCACAGTCACGTTTTCAAGGAATAGCTTCTCTTTTCCCAAACAGAAATTGAACTGCTGGTATTAAATTAATTAATTAATTTATTTATTTATTTGAGATGGAGTCTTGCTCTGTCACCCAGGCTGGGAGTGCAGTGGTGCAGTCTTGGCTTACTGCAACCTCCGCCTCCTGGGTTCAAGAGATTCTCCTGCCTCACCCTCCCTAGTAGCTGGATTATAGGCATGTGCCACAAAGCCTGGCTAATTTTTTATTTTATTTTATTTTTTTTAGTAGAGACAAGGTTTTGCTATGTTGGTCAGGCTGGTGTCGAACTCTTCACCTCAAGTGATCCGCCCACCTCGGCCTCCCAAAGTGTTGGGATTACAGGCGTGAGCCAACGCACCCAGCCTGGTATTGAATTTAAATGTATATTCAAAAAGAAGAGGTCTTATTTGATTTATCCTTAAGAATGTGGAAGAGTATATTGTATCACTTTTCATTATTTTCCCCTTCCCAGGCTATAAAATACTTTTTATAATCACAAGGTAGTTTACTGTATATTGGTTATCAAGTTACACTGTGAATATTAAACACTCAGAGATGCAAATAACATTCAGTATATTCTGTACTGCAAAGGAGTTTCTCTCTGATAGAGATCTATTTAGTACCAGTTATTAAAAGGTAAGGATCTTTTCATAAACCTTTTTTGAGTTCCGTCTTTTAAGACACTGAGATTATCCAAAGGAGCTAGCACATACCTCCACTAAGCCAGAGTTATAAACCCTGAAAGCAATAAATATGATTATGGAACCATACTTTACATGCAAGCACACTGAACTGAGTAATTAATCCTGTATGACTAAGAACTCTGTCTTCTGGACTTTGGGTCTACTGCTTCTTGCTCCTAAAGGAATCCAGTAACTCTCTAGAGCTGCGCTATCTTGCACAGCAGCCATCAGTCATCTGTGACTATTTGAAATTAATTAATATTAAATAAAATTAAAAATTCAGTTCCTCAGTTACACTAGGTAGATTTTGAATGCTCAATAGCCATATGTAGCTATGGCTACTATATTGGACCTCACAGACATAGAACATGCCCATCTTCATAGAAAATTCTGCTGAATACCTCTGCTTTAGGGGACAAGAAATCTAGGGGTTTCTTGGGGTCCAAGCTTAAGATTTTAATGGGGCAAAATGTTGCTCCGGAGCAAAGATAACTAGTATATACACAATCCTAGGAAATAGTAAAATAACAATCACAGACATAAAAAGTTTCCTTGACTTTGGATTTTCCTTTCTTCCTGTGAATCTGCACAATGATACACTAATATTTATATACTTCTTCCTTGTGCACATTATTTTATACTTCTCAGAGGTATTTTAAGATGAAAGCCTAATTCAGGAATAAATATGATCCCAGTTGCCGTAAGACCCTGGGGGAGATACTGAATGAATGAAGGAACTCATGCATCATTCAGAACTCATTATGTCCTGATAAGTGTATGGGAAAGAACTGACATAAACAAATAATCTTATCACAATGTAGCAATTAACCAACTTGTAAAATCTTGCAGAGATGTTATATGAGTCAACTCAGGTAAAAAATTCCAAGAAACATATGGTTTTACTAAACTTTTGAAACAGAACTGAAGATTTTACATACATACAAATATATATATACATGCTAGTACAAGAGTAATTTTTTTCTTTTTCTGGGAGGATACATCAGAAAAACTATTAAATGTTACCTCACTTTCAGCACTGGACAGACCATCTAAATTAAGTTCGTCCAAGCTGTGGCACGTGGGCTGCACTGCATGCAGCCAAGGACAGCTCTGAATGCAGCCCAACATCAATTTGTAAACTTTCTTAAAACATTATAAGATTTTTTTTTCCCCGCTCATCAGCTATCGTTAGTGTTTTATGTGTGGCCCAAGACAATTCTTCTTCCAACATGGTTCAGGGAAGCCAAAAGATTAGACACCCCTGATTTAAACAGAAAACCAACAAAGTAACATTGAACTTAGAGTGCACTACAGACCAAATGGACCTAACAGACATTTACAGAACATTTCATTCCATAGCTGCAGAATACACATTCTTCTCATCAGCACACGAAACATTCTCCAGGACAAACCATGTGTGAGGCTACAAAACAAGTCTCAACAAATTTTTAAATATTTGCGTTGGGGTCATTTCAAGTATCTTCTGAGACTACAATGGAACAAAACTAGAAATCAATAACAAGAGGAACTTTGCAAACTGTACAAATACATGAAAATTAACAAACATGCTCCTGAATGACCAATGAATCTATGAAGAAATTAAGAAGTAAATCATTTTTTGAAAAATATAAAAACAGAAGCACAAAATACCAAAACCTACAAGATACAGCAAAAGAAGTACTAAGAGGAAAGAATAAAGCAAAATAAATGCCCACATCTGAAAAGTAGAAAGATTTCAAATAAACAACGTAATAATGCACCTCAAAGAACCAGAAAAGCAAGAACAAATCAAATCCAAAATTAGAAGAAATAAAGATCAGAGCTAAATGAAATAGAATATATATATACATATACACACACACATATACACATATGTGTGGGTTATATATGTACATGAAAATCTGGCCAGGCTTGGTGGCTTACGCCTGTAATCCCAGTACTTTGGGAGGCCAAGGCGGGCAGATCACCTGAGGTCGGGAGTTTGAGACCAGCATGGTCAACGTGATGAAACCCCATCTCTACTAAAAACACAAAATTAGCCGGGTGTGGTGGCGCATGCCTGTAATTCCAGCTACTCGGGAGGCTGAGGCAGGAGGATCGCCTCCCAGGTGAGGCGGAGGTTGCAGTAAGCCAAGATCATGCCATTGCACTCCAGCCCGGACAATAAAAGCAAAACTCCATCTCAAAAAAAACCCCCAAAAAAGTGAATATATATATCATATATATGTATATATACATATATGACACACATGGCATGTGTCATATATGTTGTGTGTATACACACACACACACACAAATGATAAAATGAAAAGTTGGTTTTTTGAAAAGAAATAAAATTGACCAACTATTAGCTATGAATAACCAAGAAAAAAAGACAGAAGACCCAAATAAATAAAATCAGACACAAAAAAAGAGGCATTACAACTGATACCACAGAAATATAAAAGATCATTAGAGGTTGTCATGAACAACTATATGCCAACAAACTGGAAAACCTAGACGAAGTAGATACACTTTTAGACACGTATAACCTATAAAGATTGAACCAAAAGAAATAGAAAACCTTAACAGACTAATAACAAATAACAAGATTGAATAAATATTAAAAAGTTTTCCAACAAAGAAAAACCCAGGACCAAATGCCTTTACTGCTGAATTCTACCAAACTTTTAAAGAACTACACCAATTCTTCTGAAACTATTCCAAAATACTGGAGAGAAAATTCTTCCTAATTCATTCTACGAAACCAGCATTACCCTGACATCAAAACCAGATAAGGATGCAATAAAAGAAGAAAACCACAAGCCAGTATTACTGATGAACACAGATACAAAAATCCTCAAGAAACTACTAGCAAACCAAATCCAACGGCGCATTAAAAAGATTATTCAACATGATGAAGGAGGATTTAACTCAGGGATGCAAGGATGGTCCAACATATGCAAATCAATAAATGTGACACATCACATCAACAGAACGAAGAACTAAGATCCTATGATCATCTCAATAGGCTCAGAAAAAGCATTTGATAAAATTCAACATCTCTTCAAGATAAAACGTCACCACAAATTATGCATACAAGAAACATACCTCAACACAACAAGGACCATATATGACATACCAACAGCTAACATCATACTGAATGGGGAAATGGTCAAAGCTTTTCCTCTAAGAACTAGAACCAGACAAGGATGCCCACTTTCCACACTCAACATAGTACTGGAAGTCCCAGCTAGAGTAATTAAACAAGAGAAAGAAACAAAGGGCATTCACATTAGAAAAGAGGAAGTCAAAACTGTCCCTCTTTGCAGATTATATGAACTTATATATGGGAAAACTTAAAGACTGCATCAAAAAACTCATAGAACTGTTAAATTCAGTAAAGATGCAAGATACAAAATCAACATACAAAAATCAGTAGCATTTCCATACACCAATAACAAACTAGCTGGAAAAAAATCAAGAAGGCAACCCCATTAACAACAGCTAAATAAAATAAAATAAAATAAAATAAAATAAAATAAAATAAAATAAAATAAAATAAAATAAAATACTTGGGAATAAATTTAACCAAGGAGTTGAAAGATCTCCACAATGAAAACTACAAAGCACTAATAAAAGAAACTGAGGAGGACATATACACAAAATGAAAAGTCATCCCATGTCCATGAATTAATATTGTCAAAATGGCCATACTACCCAAAGCAATCTACAGATTCAATGCAATCCCTATCAAAATACCAATGACATTCTTCACAGAAATAGAAAAAAAATCCTAAAATGTGTATGGAATCACAAAAACCTCAGAATAACCAAAGCACTCTAGAGCAAAAAGAACAAAGCTGGAGGCATCACACTACCTGACTTCAAAATACACTAAAAAGCTATAGTAACCAAAACAGCATGATATTGGTATAAAAAGACATACAGACCCAAAGAAATGAGAACCCAGAAATAAATCTATGTATTTACAGCCAACTGATTTTTGACAAAGATGCCAGGAACATAGAGTGGGGAAAGGATAAATAAATGGTGCTAGGAAAATTGAATATCCACATGCAGAAAAATGAAACTAGACCCCTATCTCTCACTATATTCAAGAATCAACTCAAATGGATTAAAGACTTACAAATGTGAGACCTAGTAGTATAAAACTACTAGAAAAAACACAGGGGAAATGCTTCAGTACATTGGTCTACGCAAAGATTTTATGGCTAAGATCTCAAAAGCACAGGCAAGAAAAACTAAAGTAGAGACAGCAGGGCGTGGTGGCTCACATCTGTAATCCAAGCACTCTGGGAGGCTGAGGCAGGTGGATTATCTGAGGTCAGGCTGACCAACCCCATCTCAACTAAAAATACAAAATTACCCAGGTATGGCGGTGTATGCCTGTAATGCCAGCTACTTGGGAGGTTGAGGCAGGAGCATCACTTGAACCTGGGAGGCGGAGGTTGCAGTGTGCTGAGCCTGGAAGACATCATGTTAAGTGAAATAAATCAAGCACAGAAAGATAAATACTGCAAGTTCTTACTCATATGCAGGAGCTAAAAAAAAAATGCTCATAGAAGTAAAGGGAAGAATTGTGGTTACAAGAGGCTGGGATGGGTAAGGAGGAGGGGAGGATAGGGACAGGTTGTTTAACAGAAGCAAAGTTACAGCTATGTAGGAGGAGTAAGTTCTAGTGCTCTACAGCAATGTAGGCTGAATATAGCTAACAATAATGCATTGTATATTTTCAAAAAGCTAGAAGAGAGGATCTGGAATATTAACACAAAGAAATAAATGTTTGAGGTGACAGACATAATTACCCTGATCTGATCATTATACACTGTATATATGTTTTAAAATATAACACTGTATCTCATATATAATTATTATGTGTCAATCAGAAGGAAAAAAATACTCCTAAGATTTTGGCGGGCATATATATGGGCAGGTACAATATGAGTTTTATTACTATTTCAAACATACAAAAAGTTTTTAAAAATCTGATGAACACCCTTGACAAACCTCTCAGCTTAAAAAGCATAATTGGAGTTCCATGAACAGCTCTCTCCAATTCATCATGCAATCTCCCCCAAAAGTACCCACTAACCTGAATTTAGTCTTTATTATTCCTATGTTTGCCTTTAGACTTGATTACATATATATGCAATCCTAAACAATAAAGACTTATTTTGCATACTTTAAACAATTTCTAAATGGTGTACTGTGTGTTCCACATGTTGCTTTTTCTACTCAATAAAATTTAGGGTGTGATTTGTCAGACAAAAATACTGTTAAACTTTATTACATTTGAGGAGAGAGGTTAGGGTGAGGGGTAGGAAGGAAAGGCAGATAAAAAAGGGAAGATTTTACTTTTTGTTTTATGCCACTCTTTGCATTTTTTTAACTCTGTAATTTTTTTCCCCCTTCACTTTTCAATGTCAACATAAGTTAACTGGGCAGTGAAATTATGGTCAATGTGCCGTTTTAATTTTCTTTTCACTTTTCTATGCCAAAAAAAAATCTAACAAGTTATTTTTTAGTGAGGTGAATCAAAAGCATGAAAACTAGCAATATAAAAACAAAAACAAATGAGTGTTTAAACAACTCATGATATTTCAAAAAGTTATATTGAAATCTGACACGACTCTTTCTGATAATGGCATTTCTGGTTTTCATGGGTATAATACAGGTTAACACCAACTTCCTTTTTCTGTCTTACGTGATGAGGACTAAACTGTTGATTTTTACCTTGCCCAAATTCGTATCTAAGGGGTCTGGGGAGTCATGCCCTACAAATCATAAATTCTCATCAGATGGGTTTTATTTAACCCTATATATCTTGGTTTACTTTCCAACCTGACTCTGGCATAACAATACAAGACAAGGAAGAAAATCAAAATATTTTACCCCAAAACATGTTTCTTGGTCATATTTTGAATTGGCCCTGCAAAGCTGTTCTTTGTGGGGGAAAATGTGCATCTGTAAAGAACCTCTATTAACATAGCTAGATCTTTTTCTTCCAGACTGTCCCAATCCTAAAGAGATTAACTAAGATCTGAAAGGGAAACGTTTGTCATCTATTGTCTCTAAGGACAGCCACTATAAGACTTCAAAAGAACTTTGGTCTCCACAATCTTTATCTTAACCTGAACATTCCCTTTCTATCAATCCCAGATCTTTAGACAAACTTATCCAGAAAATGTTTAAATTCAACTACAGCCTGGAAGCCCTTCCACTCTGAGTTGTCCCGCCTTTCTGGACCAAACCAATGTATTTCTTAAATGTACTTGATTGATGTCTCATGCCTCTCTAAAATGTATAATACCAAGCTGGCCGGGTGTGGTGGCACACGCCTGTAATCCCAGCACTCTGGGAGGCCAAGGTGGGTGGATTACAAGAACAAGAGATTGAGATCATTCTGGCCAACATGTTGAAACCCTGTCTCTGCTAAAAATACAAATATTAGCTGGGTGTGGCGGCGTGCGCCTGTAGTCCTGTATTCGGGAGGCTGAGGCAGGAGAAATCGCTTGAACCAGGGAGGTGGAGGTTGCAGTGAACCGAGACTGCGCCACTGCACTCCAGCCTGGCAACAGAGCGAGACTCCGTCTCAAAAAAAAAAAAAAACAAACAAAAAAAAACAAGCAGTGCTCTGACTACCTTGGGCACGTGTTCTCAGGACCTCCTGAGGGCTGTGTCACAGGCCATAGTCACTGATATTTGGCTCAGAATAAATCTCTTCAAATATTTTACAGAGTCCAACTCTTTTTGTGGATGGAGGCAAGGTGAACACAAGTATATTAACATATACCAAGTTGCAAGACAAATTCCAAATTAACTTATGACACTAAAATCAAAGCTACTAGCTAATGAAGTTTAAATACTGAGTAATGAACAGATCAAAGGGAAATTTTGGCTCTCCATATAAAAAGAGAGAAGTCTGTATTTCTACCCTAAGAATGTGAAAAATAAAAGCTAACTTATTTTCTTATCTACTAGGAGGATTGCTTTTTCTAAGAAAAGAAACAAACTGAGCTTAAACTATTATAATAATGACCTTCCTTTCTACCAGAAAGATTGGTGTCTGAAACTCTAATACATTTTTTAAAAAATCAGTAACATAAAAAATATATGGGAAGTTCGTAATACTATACATGTAGACATGAAACTTAATGATCATCCACTGGCATAAGGCCCAAAAGAATCAGAGATACAATGAAGGAGAATTTCCCTGGGTGATAAAATTTACGAAATTCTCTGACTCCAACATGATGATAAAGAAAAATATAAAAGAAATAAGGACTTAGATGAATTTGTAACTGGAAATATTATGTATCATTAGAGGAAATCACGAATGGGAAGGGGGCTGTGGAAGAATAGATTATATACCTAATCTTTTTGATCAATGAAACAATAACCATCTACTATTTTGAACATTATATGCTAGGTACCCTGAATGTATGATCATCATACCACAAAATAAGATTTAAAGAGGGTGACTTAGAAAATTTACTTATCTTACTGAAGATCACAGAGATAACAGCTTGTCATAGAAAACAACCAAGACCTATTTAAATGCATTCTGCTTTGAGCCTAATAAGGATAGCTACCTCGTAGCTAAAAATGCATCCAGGCATCTCCATTGTAGGACATTATCTTCCCTTGCAGAACAACAAGCAGCAGCTCAGTCATATTCTGATTCCTCCTAGCAGCCATTCTGAACCATCACAACTAGTGAAAAGAATAGCTTCCATTCTGGAAGTCTCCCTAAAGATTTAACTAATTCTTGGGTTATTCATACATTCCAAATCACTTAAGAACAGAGGCCAAGAAAAAGTATTACAGGGGAACACATTACCTGATATACTCTGTGGTGTTCCATAAATGACTATTAGTGGCTGAACTATCCTTGAACCTGCTCTCACTCCTTGATCCCCATCCTAGAACTAGTTTAGTACTGGAGGTCTTCCACTGGAATCAATCCACCTCCCTGTTGTTCTACTATATCTCTAATGATTTGTGTGATTTGGACCAAACCCTTCTGGGAGTAGCAGTCAAATTCTCAGACAAGCCCCAAGTGAAACAATTTAAAGGATATGTGATAAAGAATCCAAGGACACATTTAAATAATGTACTGGTTTGTGTTTTTTAAGTATCCTAACTGAGCAACAGGAAGAGAGTTAAAAAGAGGAGGGGAGCTGGGCGCAGTTGCTCACTGTAATCCCAGCACTTTGGGAGGCCAAGGTTGGTGGATCACCTGAGGTCAGGAATTCCAGAGCAGCCTGACCAACAAGGTGAAGCCCTGTCTCTACTACAAATACAAAAATTAGCCGGGCGTGATGGTGCGGGCCTGTAATCCCAGTTACTTGGGAGGCTGAGGCAGGAGAATCGCTTAAACCCTGGAGGTGGAAATTGCAGTGAGCCAAGACAGTGCCATTGCACTCCAGCCTGGGTGACAAAGGCAGACCCTGTCTCAAAAAAAAAAAAAAGAGGAGAAACCAGATTTTACATCTATAAAATCTGTATGGACTGTATTTGCAATAGTAGAAGAGGAATTAAGGGTGATGGGAAATGAAAACCTGGAAAATAACAGAAATCACATGTTCTGGGGTAAAGGTGACCCTCAATAGCCATTCACTTTAATGGCTTTTATTTAACCTATGGAAACAGACAAATTGATGAAAACAGAAAAGAATAGAGGGTTGAATGGTGGTAATTTTATCTCAAAGGACAAATAATCTGAGAAGATTACTTAAAAAAAATTACTTCAAGCTTAAAACAAGGTAAGGAATGTTGTGGCCATTACCATCTCATTTAGCTCAGAATCACTCTGAAATGTTTAGTTAGAATTACCTTCTACTGTCCTGAATTACCAGAAACTGATCAGTCTAACTTATTTAGGCAGAACAAATGCTTGTAATTCTCTCATCTACCTAACTAGCTTAGTTCATGTTTTGGTAAGGATATTTTAAAACCAAAGAAATAAATATCAATGTATCTATTCTGATAAAGAGTTCTAGTTTTGGTTTCAAGTAATGAGTACAGAGGGTAATAGAGGGTAACGGTAGAAGAGAGGCTTGGATCTGAGAAGGCCTGTGTGAGTCTTTGTAAGCAATAGCATGCATCCTTTCTTAATGGTAGCCAGAGCAGGATACAGAATAGGAAATACATTGTATTGACTTTTTCTTACACTTCCTTTGCCACAGTTGTTAGAAGAATAAGCCATATACCCGAAGTCTTCAGGCATACATGTTTAAAGGAAGAGAGAAGGGAAATTTAACACTTCTCACTAGAATGGAAAAAAAACCTTTTGATAAGGCTAGTTTACAGTCATGCCATACTAAATACCAGAGAGTTTTCTCACTGTTTTTTTTTTTTTTGCTAAGACTTTATTCTACCATTTAAAAAAATGAAAAACTTTTTTGTAAAAAATTGAGATTTAGTGACTTTAAAAGGAACATTTTACATGTTAATCCCTGCTAACATTAATTTAAGCACTAGGATCACAGTCTACCGTTTGCTTCTGGTTTCCAATAAGCAAGTGTGTAGGCTGTACTTACAAGCTTTATCACAGTGTGTGTGATATTTTAAAATAGTTGACAGCTGTCAGATTACTTTATCTTTAGTTAAAATGACCCCACGATCCCAATTACAACGTTTTTGGTATATAGCAAATGTTGAGATCTGTTAAGAAACTCTTACCTGCTCTGTAGCTGTAGGGCAGTAGAAGACTAATAAAATAGTTGTACAGATGTTTATTGACAGTCCAATGATGGTGATGAGATTTGGGGCAATCCAGGAGGGAACTCTTCTAACGAGCCATTCCCAATACCCTTGCATTAAGGGCTCAAGCAGGGACCGTCCAGCACTTTGATATCTGTGTTCTTCTAGCCGCTTTAGTTGGTGTCTTGACAATGGTGGTGTTGGTAACTGAAACAATTTATTTAATACACATCCTGTAGTACTCATATGCCCGAAGCCCACTGGGGACTCCGGGTGAGAATCTCCACATCTTTTCCTTGTTGATCGATGCCCACTCATGGATCTTGTTTTTTTTTAATATTTAAAGACAGTAATTTCCCTTCTTTTGTAGGTTTTTGTGGCTGGTGCTTACCTAAAAAATAAAATAAAATAAAAATTAAAAAATACACTTGTTGGCCACTATTTACATCTTATGCCAATATTAACAAATTAGGAAACAAAAAATCAAATTGTCAATAAAGTAGTAAGTATCAAACAGGACCAGAAAAGGAGGGACCTGATTTTGGTTCTAGTTCTTATTGAAAGTGTATAACCTCAACTTTAAGCAAAAAATAGTAAGAGACTTTAATAGTAGTATGCTTCCTATTATCTGATAGTCTGTCTGACTTTGAAGCTCATATTCTTTTTCCATCCCACACTGCTTTCAGTTGTATAATGCAACAAATGTTAGAAATCATCTCATCATTACACATATACGGAAACTGAGGTCCCAAGGCTAGCAAATTAGTATTAGTATCAGAGGAATGACTTCAATGAGTCTTAAACTAGATTTTTATTTAATGGTAATAGCTAACATTTATTGGGCATGCCCTTCATATTACAAAACTTAAGCACATTTTATATACTAACTCCTTTAATCCTCACAACCACCCTAGAAGGCAAGGACTATTAATTATCCCCATTTTTACAGAAAAATAAACTAAGGCTCAGTGAGGCTAATTAACTTGTCCAAATCACACAGCTGGTAAGTAGCATTCAAACAAACACAGGTTTTCTGTTTAAACTAAACCAAGTAGTATTCAAACAAACACAGGGTTTCTGTTTAAATTAAACCAAAAGACAAAACTTCTTATTGGTAAAAACGAATATAGACGGTATTCTCGGTGGAGATATACAACAATGAAAAAAATTAACTTTAAGACAGTATATATGTATTAGCAGAGTGTCCTGATGAACTGAGGAAGTAGAAGGAAAAAAAGTAAAAGTGGGTTAAGTGATGACTGCTAATAAAGGACCTTGAGTTTAATCCCTGAAGTATTTGTATTTCATTTAGAAAAGATTAGAGATAACAATTATAAGTAATCAAGTAGCATGAGGAAATACAAGAGTATTTTCAAGATGAATCAGAATGGAGAAAATAGAACAATTAAAAATTAGTAAGTACAGTGATCTCAATGGTTTGAAGTGGTGAGGGCCTATAGTAGGATGGTAAAAATGAAAATATGAAAGACAGTCAAATCTATAAGTAATTTCTATTTAGATGGAAGATTCAGCAGAAAGTACTTAAGAATTAGATATGAGAGGTGAGGAAACAGAAGAAAAAAAGAGTCAACAGCTAGAGATTACTGGTACTGTTGTCAAAAGGGCAAGTTGGAAAAGAAAATCAGTTTGTTATTTTTTGGCTTTTGGGGTGTAGTGGGTGAAAGGGAACTAGGGATGAGGGTAGGAATGGAATATATACATGTGACTTTTAAGTAGAGATGTTTTAGACAAAATCAAAAAACTGGAGTTTTGGTAAGAGTGAGAAGTTCAGGTCATCAACTTAAAAGCTAAAGTCTGGTTAAAAACTAGAAAGTAGAAAAGTTCTCAAAGGGATTAAGCATTGAAAGAAAAAAATGAATAAAGAACCTTGTGAGAAACTTACCATAGTGAGGAGGAGGAGGAACAGAGACCATTTAAAAAAAAAAAAAAAAGAAAGAATCTTAATAGAACAAAAAAGATTAGTGGCATAGGTATGTTTTGATCTTCTGGTTGGAAACTATCCACAAAGCAGAATCAAAGTCCCAGAAATGGTATAGGTCTAGGACATCTCGACAATAGATCTACTATCAAAACATGCTCAGTTGTCCCTTTTAACTTTTTTTTGCTGTGAGAGGATCTGGTTTATTCTGCCTTTGCAGGGTGGTCCTGAGAGTGGCAGGTTCCCCCCTGTCTGGGGTGGAGGGGAGGCAGCGCTGGAATGCAGTGAAGCCAGGCCAAGGCCCAGAGGCAGCTGTGGTAGACTGCAACATGGTGCTCCTGCTGCCCAGGATGGAAGGCACTGAACTGAGACCCGGCCATGGCTAGAGGACTATGAACCCAGGCCACATGTGCATTCTGGGAAGTGGAGCACAGGGTCACATGCCACAAAACATGAAATGTAGGCACTCAGCTCATGAGTAACCACATGGACAAGTAGGTACCAGCCAGGGGGACACTCACCCCACAGCCTGGTATGGACATGTGAACACAATGGAACAGGACTTTTTTCCTATATCCCTATAAATATCAAATTCCAAAATTTCAATGTTACTAATGACCTAAGGTGGCATCCAAAACCTCTGTCAATCACGTATCTCAATATTTGGTTTAGAAAATAGTCATTATAGTCAAGTTAATGCCCTTAAATAAATTTTCAAAAATCTCAAGAGACTCATCAGTGCCACAATTTAACCAACTGAGATGCCCTGAAATAAAAATATTTAATATTTCGCCAGGCGCGGTGGCTCACGCCACTTTGGGAGGCTGAGGCGGGCGGATCACCTGAGGTCAGGAGTTCGAGACCAGCCTGGCCAACACGGTGAAACCCCGTCTCTACTAAAAATATAAAAATTAGATGGGCGTGGTGGCAGGCATCTGTAATCCCAGCTACTGAGGAGGCTGAGGCAGGAGAATTGCTTGACCCCAGGAGGCGAAGGTTGCAGTGAGCCGAGATCGCACCACTGCATTCCAGCCTGAGTGACAAAGCGAGACTCTGTCTTAAAAAAAAAAAAAATTAATATTTCAAATCAAGGAGAGAAATCAAAGCTAATTTCTTACATTTTGAGGAATTCTTTCACACAACTGTATCACAAAGGTACTGATTAAAACTGTTTTAAAGTAATGTTTATATAATATTAAATAACTGGTGACGAGATCACTTTAGATCAAATGAGAGACCAATAACCACGAATACACTTAGCTTCATAGTAGCCAAATTTTCTATAGTCGAGCAATGATATATTTTCGTATTTGGTAAATGATAGCTCTTACGGAATTCCACTTGAAATGGGAATTAAAAATTCAGTCAATTCCATTTGTATTTTACTGTTGCAGTATTCTATTCTCTTACTGTAAAGAAAAAAAGATGAGTGCTAGCCTGCTTTTGGCACTAAATAGCTATAAGCAACTGATCCTAATGGTTTTAAGTCTGAGCATTTGGCAGGACTAGTTGATAAACTGATACTTTCCCTCTCAGTTTTTCCCCTCTGCGACCTAGATTGTTTTTTAACCTTCTATTTCTCTTTTATAAACATCTACATTTTGACAAACCTTTCCAGATCTAGCCCACGGTACAAATTTATACATGAAAAGAGGCAATGAGTTTTTGAAGGCTTTCTTTGCCAACATTGCAGCAACAATGTCTCTGTGAAGCTATTAGCAACAACACTGCAAATATAAATTCAGATACATGTAGTCTCTGACCTACAGATGGCTACTTTACTTTCAACACATTCATATAGATACAGAGTTTGCAGTCACTACCACAGGTTCATCTCTACTCTTCCTTCCATCATATCTGAGATCCAGGGGCTATGACCATGAAAACCATTACAGAAAAGACAGGAACTTCTGAATTTTAGCAAATGAAAAGCAAGCATATCTCAATGGAGCCGCATAGGGTAGGTGGCTACAACAGGAAGATCAGGACAATGTGGCGAGAAAGGAAAAATGGATGTGGGGTGGGAATACAGAAAGGAGGTAGAATATTAAAAAATTATTCTATGTTGGGAACAGTGGCTCATTGCCTGTAATCTCAGCACTTTGGAAGGCTGAGGCAGGTGGATCACCTGAGCTCAGGAGTTTAAGACCAGCCTAGGAAACATAGCAAAACCACATCTATACAAAAAAATTAGCTTAGCATGCTGGCCTGTCATGCATTCCCAGCTACTTGGGAGGCTGAGTTGGGAGGATTGCTTGAGCCCGGGAGGTTGAGGCTGCAGTGAGCCATGATCACGCCACTGTACTCCAGCCCAGGCAACAGAGCAAAACCATGTCTCAAAAAGGAACAAACAAAAAAACCCAAAAGTTATTGTAGCCACCTGAAATTTTTATATGGAATCAGGCCTATGACCAAAAGGATGAGCAGAAAATGTCCTTTTCTTACCACAGTACAAGTAACAAAAAGAAAAAAAAAAGTAAGAAATTAAAATTATTGCTGGCTTAGAAACCTAGCCACCAGTCTTAACAGTTATAAGAAAATAGATTACCAGTTTCCAATGCATTCAGCCAACATATAAATGCAGTGAATGAGGCTGACATGATCCCAGCTCCTATGTCCAGTGGGAAAAGAAATAAAAACTAGTAAACAAGCAAATAAAAAAATTACACACTGTGATAGGCACAATGAGGAAAACAAAGTGCTAAGCTAGAAAATAGCTGGGGTTACACATTTTAAACAGGGTGAAGTCTTCAAGTAGCTTCTATACCAAGCTCAGAGGAAAAGAAGGAGCCAGACGTTTTAGGGGAGGAGGAAGAATAATCCAAGAAAATGGAACACGCCCTGAGATAGTAAAGAGTTTGTCTTGCTCAGGTACGAGAGAGATCACCATGGATGGATAGGAGTAAACCAGATGGAAGAATGGGATAAAATGAAGTTTGGAGAATTAACGCAGAGTTGTCATTTTACTTGGATGTAATGGAAAGCAACTGATGTGCTTATAAAGAAACCTGTAACTTTAGAACACAGCCAAAATTATTTGTTAACTGAGAATACGTTTTCATGTACCATAATAGTAAAAGTGAATATTTTAAACTGTATAAAATTCCCATCAGCTGTAATGCTGTCAGTTCATAATAATACTGTCAAAGTCCTATAATACTGTCACAGTCCTATAGCTATTGTAGCCTTTTCACTTGTAATCAGTAACTCCGTTCCTCTGTTAAAATCTGGCTCTAGTGCTCTGCTCCCTTTAAAGCACTCATCACACTTTGAACTTTTTTTGTTTGTTTGTGTTTTTTTGGTCTTTCCCCCAGACTGTTGTGTATACTCTACAAGTGCATGGGCCAAGCCTGTCTTGTTAACATTCTTTTCCCACAAGCTCATACCATACTTAGCACTAAGTAGATAATCAATACTTATTTTAATTTAATTTAATTTAGTGAGACAGGATCTCGCTCTGTAGCACAGGCTGGAGGCAGTACCAGATCTTGCCTCACTACAAACCCCTCCTCCTGGGTTCAAGCGATTCCTGTGTCTCAGCCACAGAGAAGCTAGGATTACGAGCATGTGCCACCACACCCTGCTAGTAGGTAATCAGTACTTACTGAACAATTAACAAATATTATTCGTCTAGTATTTAATAAACACTTAGTGGTTCCAGACTCTGATGAAACAGAAAGGCTGAAATATAACATTCCATACCTTTAAGAAACTCAAAAAGGGGAGGGTGGGGTCTCAGAAACAGCTAAGTTATGAATGCTATCAACAAACTGTTTTGTAAGTCCAGAGGAGAACTAGGAAAACACATACGGTCTGACAAAGAATTTTCTTTGTGCAAGCATAAATATTTATGTGGAAAATCCAACAAAGGTAGAAAAAGTATAATCAGAGATATTTAATTAATACCTTTACTAAAAAAGTCTATCATGCAAAACGGCTGCATTTATATCAGCTGAGGATAATGGCATATGGGCTACATTATTCCTGTGTGGACTTTAGCATGGGGAATGTCTGACAAGTATCACATTAAAAAAAAAAATCTCTAACTCCTGAGCAGTGCATAAGGTAAGCTTACACAATACACAACCTGTTGTGTGAAATTCCAGAATTTCCATCCCCGCCATGTCTAAGGGTGCCAAGTTTTGATCTGCACTGATTCAGCAGTATGTTTACAGTCTTTTCACAGGTAATTGGCTACCTAAAGAAAAATACTCATGGCTACACTAGCAGAAAGGAAGGGCAAATTATAAAGAACAAGGAAAGAAAGGAAGAAAAAAAAGAAAAAGAAAACTAATAGGATCACAGGATTAAGTTCAGCATTATTTAACAAGTGATACATAGAGCAAGTTTACAAAAACAAAAGCCTTTTCAGCAGACTTGGAAGCAAAAACAGGGCTGTGTAACACAACTTAGATTTAGCGTTTTGCTGAAGTGAAATATTGCACTCCTTAAAAGAGGAAATCACTTTCTTCCCCCTTAAAAAAACACACACACACAACATAAAAATCAGCAAAAGCTTGGTATTTTATAGGTTATTTTTCTAGCCCCTTAAAAATAAACACAGCATGACCCTCAAAAAGAACATCAGCACCTTTAACCAGCTTAAAAAACAAATCTAAAGCCTAGAAAACAAAGAAATTGTGCAATAAAATGTAATTGGTGTTAATATAAGGTAGATTTACTAACTTATTTCTTAAATGTGTTGGAAAGACAAGTTGTGCAGGGGGCCTTAACTAGTTTTTCTCAGCATAAAACGAAGAGGAAACTAAATGCTTTTAGAACCTCAATCTCGAATTTTATGTGAATGGCAATGGCTCTAAATTAGTAATGCTCTAAATGCCCTTACCAAAGTCTAACTTGTGTTATAAGTCGTTCAACTCAACATCTACGGACTGGACATATTCCTAATAGTTCGAGTAGGAAATAAATCTTTATTCTTTGTCCACATACAAGACGAGACACTAACATTTGTTGAAAGACAACTATGAATTTGCCTACTGTCATACTATGGATTTACTGATTAAAAGACTTCAAGCAAAATTATATATTCAATACTAATGATGCAAAATGGCAAAAATGACACCAAAATGCCAAGCACTGAATTGGAGAAAACAAGTTAAACATGGCTAAAGATCCCGTTCATGCAGTGTTTCTGGGAATACTGGCAAACACCAGCAACTCTTTTGGTTATTTCTCCTTGCAAGAATGCTGCTGAAATAAACGCCAGCTAGCAATCTCACAGCTTATCAATATAGGCTGAAATTTCCAGAAAAGTTGCTGACCAGAAGCGCGTCCCAGCCACAAACATCAGCACCGCATTCCTAAGGGGAGACAAACCCGGCAGAGGATGCCACACGGTGTGTGGACTTGCCAGCATTCGGGCAGGAGGGTGTGGACCTGACAAGCAAGGTCCGTTCGGCACGGGTAGCGCTCCCAGCCCTCGGCCCGCTCAGCGCTGGCCCTCCACGGTTCTTCCCACCCCTACCTTGGGCTCCCACACAACAGCCCCCCGGCTCCCGCGCCGGCGCTCCGCCACCCCAATGTCTCCACAGAGGGGCAAGGGGGCAGTCTCCACAGAGGGGCAAGGGGGCAGTCGCCCCTCGCCTCCCCACAACCCCGCGCGCGAGGCCACCCTGCGCCAGGAAGAAGGACGGCGTTCGCCTCGCGCGAGTCCATACACAGCTATATCCTAATGACCCGCCCCAGAGCATCCAGTCCTCTCTCCACTGGCCCCTACAACGCCCTTCAAATCCTTCACGTCCGGTGACCGCGCTCCGCAGCCTTACCCTGACCCCAACAAGTACACCCCTAGAAATATCGCCTCCGACTCCAGCCGACTGGGTGACTGATCGGCGGCAGCACGTTCACGACACTTTCGCGATTGCCGTAAAGGGGAACAAGGTTTGAACGAGCAGCGCCGCAGGCGCGCTCCTCGGTGCCGTGAGCGCGCCCCGGGGCCGGCCGGTCTGCTCGGGAGCGCGCCCCGTGGCCCAGCCCTGTCTCCTTTTAGCATAGGGGCTTCGGCGCCAGCGGCCAGCGCTAGTCGGTCTGGTAAGGTAAGTCGAAGTAGGGGAGAAGGGACAGGCCCCAGCGCTTGCAGCCCGCTCCCTCTAGAAGGGTGCGTCAGAGGGTGGGATCTGGCAGCTCGGGGAAGTGGGCGCAGCCTGGAGCCCCCTTACCCGCGTCGCAGGCGCGCGAGACTCCTGCTGGCCCTCATTGCCTCCGGGGGCTACCTTATGCCAGGCGCCAGAGGGGGGCTGGTTGGGGCGGGAGCTGCGGGGGTTTCCGGGGGCGGGGATGAGTGCAGCTGGGCTCAGCTCCCCGTGCCCTACCTTTCTGTTCTCTTCCTTGGTTTCCCCTACTCTCCTCCTGCCCCAAGCAGTGCCTGATGCCGAGTTCCGTCTCTCGCGTCTTTTCCTGGTCCCAGGCAAAGCGGAGCGGAGATCCTCAAACGGCCTAGTGCTTCGCGCTTCCGGAGAAAATCAGCGGTCTAATTAATTCCTCTGGTTTGTTGAAGCAGTTACCAAGAATCTTCAACCCTTTCCCACAAAAGCTAATTGAGTACACGTTCCTGTTGAGTACACGTTCCTGTTGTGAGTTCTGGGTTCAGATACTTTGGTGGCTGGAGGGAGCGAGGGGGAGGGGAGAGTTTGAAATTACGATCCCTGGTGACCTTGTGTTTACACGAAGCTCAGTCTTCTGCACTCAATTCTATCGCAGCGGGTGGGTCCCACACAGAAAGGAAATTGCTGGTCCTGGGTATCTTCACAACCGTGCTTTCAAGTAGGATACATCTGAAAAACACAAAACACTGTAGAAATAATCTTTCCAGTTCTCCCAAATTTTAATTTATAAATCAGTAACCAAATGCAACTCTGTATTTTGCATTGCATTATCGGATTGTCCTCATTTCTCTTAATGTAACATTTGATGCAGCTTATAAAAAAACTTAATTTTCTAGACTCTTTAGGATTTAACCATTAGGAGAATATTATGTTTGTCAGGAGGCCAAGTTAGAGTTTAGAAAAGTAAGTATTTTTAAATTATATTTTGATTTGAGCCTGATGGTTCTGTGCATCTCTAAAAGCAGCTTAGGGCTTTCTGACCGTTCACTTGGAACTTCCAGAATTTCCTTTCTTATTTCTTAGCATTCACCACTTGGCGAAGACAGCATGAGGAATTCATTTTATTACCACGGGTATTTAAATATTTGTTAAAAAATTGTAATCACAGTTTTGATTCATAGAACTTCAAAGAGAGCAGAGAAGATAGGTTAGGTTAGAGATGCAAGACTTTTTCTTTTCTTTTTTTTTAATGGAGTATCGCTCTGTTGCCAGGCTGGAGTGCAGTGGCACGACCTTGGCTCTCTGCAACCTCCGCCTCCCGCGTTCAAGTGATTCTCCTGCCTCAGTCTCCTGAGTAGCTGGGATTACAGGCGCCCGCCACCACGCCCAGCTAATTTTTGTATTTTTAGTAGAGACAGGGTGTCACCATGTTGGCCAGGATAGTCTCAATCTCCTGACCTCGTGATCCGCCCGCCTGGGCCTCCCAAAGTGCTGGGATTACAGGCGAGAGCCACCGCCCCCGGCCTGCAAGAACATTTTTATAAACATTCTTACTGCCCTGTGAAATTTATTCCTGCATACTCTCAATTATTTTGAAAGGCTTTTTGAATTATGAATCATTGAAATTCTAATTTTGTTGGTTTGGCAATTACTCAGCAATGCTTTCAGGTTTCAAAGGCAAAAACACATTGACAATTAGTCTTCCTCACCTAGTCCATGCATTTAAATTCCTCAGTTGTCATTCGCAAACTGGTAAACCATTTCAAGCCCTGCTTCTATAAACTGTCAGTTTAAACAACTGGGACTCTCAAAGCCTAAGGAGATACGAATCCAAGATAATTCGTACATAGAAAAAAATCATACATAAAGTTGTACTCCATACCTGTGGCCTTATGACTACATAATTAATAAATCAGCTATCATTATTATATTGTATGCTTATTCTACTCCACTCCAAGGAACAACTGTTTGAGTACTGTAACTCAGAAGCTAAGTAAATTGCCTGAAATCATAGAGTTGGGTAGTAGTAAAGGTAGGACTTGTGTTTAGAGATATCTCATCTCACAGCTGTGTTCTTTACATCACATGGACTTGCAATTGCTTTATTTTGCTTAATAATCTATTATTTTTTTCCTCATGTCTCTCTATAGGAGAAGACGCAATGATATTTCTTTTTTCCTCTTTAAGATAGTGAAGGTGTTGGATGTGAGAATGCATATGAAAATTTATATCCTGGAATTAAAACATTATTTAATTCCAGATGGTACAACATCATTGTAAAAAACTCAAGTGTCAACTCATCAAAGAAAAATAACCTGTTAACAATGCTGTAGCCTAGTATTCTGCCCATGAACAATATTGGCGTGTTGACTTAAAACTGTACATGTTTAAAATTGTGTGGATTGAGAGAAAAACTTCTTATTTTCTTTGTGTCGGTTTTAGGATTTACAAAAGGTGCAGGTATGAGCAGGTCTGAAGACTAACATTTTGTGAAGTTGTAAAACAGGTAATTCATTTTTCACATTATAAGAGGAACAAGTACATACTGATCATCTCTGAAAATAAGTATCTTATTTAATCCTTGAATAAACCTCTATGAAATGGGTATTATTTTATACTATTTAACAGATAATACTAAAAGCTACCATTTATTATGCACCAGCAATCTGTTAGGTTCTTTGCTTGTGCTATCAGTATAAGCTGTACAAAGACTACTCAGCACAGTCCAATAGAACTTTTCCACAATCATGGAAATTTTTTTTTTTTTTTTTTTTTTTGAGATGGAATCTCGCTGTCGCCCAGGTTGGAGTGCAGTGGCGCGATCTCGGCTCACTGCAGGCTCCGCCCCCCGGGGTTCACACCATTCTCCTGCCTCAGCGTCCCGAGTAGCTGGGACTACAGGCGCCCACCACCTCGCCCGGCTAATTTTTTGTATTTTTAGTAGAGACGGGGTTTCACCGTGTTAGCCAGGATGGTCTCGATCTCCTGACCTCGTGATCCGCCTGCCTCGACCTCCCAAAGTGCTAGGATTACAGGCGCGAGCCACCGTGCCCGGCCAATCATGGAAATGTTCTAAATTTTTACTGGAGTGCAGTGGCACGATCTCAGCTCACTGCAACCTCCGCCTCCCAGATTCAAGTGATTCTTCTGCCTCAGCCTCCCAAGTAGCTGAGACTACAGGCGCCTGCCATCACCCCCGGCTAATTTTTTGTATTTCTAGTAGAAACGGGGTTTCACCGTGTTGGCCAGGATGGTGACACGTGGCTTTTGAGCATTTGAAATGTGGGTAGTGTGACTGAGGAATTAAAAATTTTATTTAATTTTAATCTATCGAGATTTTAATTTAAATAGTTACATGTAGCAGTGGTTGCTATAGCAGATGGTACAATCTGTGTTGATAACATTATTCCATTTTTCTTTGTTTTTTTTTGTTTTTTTGTTTTTGAGATGGAGTCTTGCTCTGTTGCCCAGGCTGGAGTGCAGTGGCACAATCTCAGCTCATTGCAACCTCTGCCTCCCTGGGTCAAGCGATTCTCCTACCTCAGCCTCCATTCTCCTACTTCAACCTCCCGAGTAGCTGGAATTACAGGCGCACGCCACCATGCCTGGCTAATTTTTGTATTTTTAGTAGAGACTGGGTTTCACCGTGCTGGCCAGGCTGGTCTCAGAACTCCTGACCTCGTGATCCGCCTGCCTCGGCCTCCCAAAGTGCTGGATTACAGGCCTGAGCCACCGCACCCAGCCTCACATTATTCCATTTTTCAAAGGAGAAACTGGTTCAGAGAAGTTATGAAGCTTGCTGAAGTTCACACAATTTTATTAAAAAAAAAGTTTTGAGCAGAGGAATACTTTAGGAATGTTAATTAGGTAATGCAGGTGGAATGGGTGAAGGGGAAGGAAAAGCAGATAGGCCAAGAGAATTGAAAGTCAGAATCACATGGTTACAGTGTGAACTGGGAAGAAGAATGGTTTAAATGACTTGTAGAAATAGAATTGCCATCACTTGGTGACAGCATGTGAGGACTTTATAAGAGAGAACCTAAGATTCCTCTGAAGTCTTAGAATCCTCATAACCTGAAAAAAATGGTAATGTTGTTTACTGAAATAGAAAAATCATGAATAGTTTTGGGAAATAAAAGGATTTTGCTTTGGCTGTTCATTCAACAAATAATTGAGTGATTACTATGGGTAAGGTCCTCTGCTATGCTTAGGTAGAGAAGTGGAAGGATCTTATTCCCTAAAGACACCGTCCTCAATTTTCATACTGTAGAGACAATGAGCTCTAAAAGATGTGAAAGTCAAGTGTTCTCAGAGAAAGGGGTGCTTATTTCTACATACAAAGGGCTTAGGTAAAGTTATCTGTGGAAGATAGCATTTGAGCTTTTGAAGAAAAAGAAGGATTTAGACATGTAAAACAAAGGGGGAGGAGGTTTTGCTACTAGCAATGAGGTGGACAAAATATTTGAAAATCTCTTTTACCAATACACCTAAATGCTGAATAAATTACATTAGCTCATTAAATTCATGACAGGTCTTCTACGAAAGACAGGGAAATCTCCAGGGCTAAAAAGTTAAACAACAACAATAAAAAAGCTGAAACTAGAGTAGTATACTAGCAGTGTGTTTCCTTTGGGGGCATTTGGCTGATAGCAGAAGTAGAGCACAATCAGGGACAGGTGACAGGCTGCTCTCTACCCAAAGCAGAGAGATAGAATTCATATCCCTGTAACCTCCCAGGCACATGCTTCAATGTCAATGGGTGCCATTCCATGGTAGTTGAGGTAAATGGTACCTGTGTTTCAGGGGGTGATGTTTTCATAGAATAAAGTTTAAGTATTTCCACTTGAAATTGTACAACTCATGGTATTGGAGAAGCACCTTGCCCCACATTCAGCCAGGACCCACAAAAGTCTACACAGTCAGTCATAGGTGGGCCAGAAAAATGTCTCCCTCCTGGCAAAGGGAGATCACAGAGAAATTTGTTCCTTTTCATCACAGCTCCAGGTGGGGGAATAAAGATACCACCTGAAAACTTGAAACTGGAGGGTCTGCCATCACTCATTCAAGGTTCAAATTTACATATCTACATGATCTAAAAAACCAGAAGCCAAGAAATTAACATAAAGTTGGCCCGGGTTGGTAATGTGCCATACTGTCTGGAAAAAACAAATACGGATCCTCTCTGTAATGACTCACCCTTAGTTAAGCCTTTTAAAATACTCCCAGATTTTAAGATTGTCCAATATAGGCTCAGAGTCAAAAACTGTAAAACATATGTGTAAGGGACAGCTAAACTGACATAGACTCCTAAGGACTTATAGGAATGATCAGAAACAAATTAACATTTAAAGAGATGAAAAATGAAAAAATTAAAGATCTTAGAAATGATTCAAAATTATGTAAATTAAGAACTCTTGTCCTGGAAACCTATGCTGGGGAAAGCACCAATAGGATTTGGCAAGGACTTGTCATGATTAACTGAATAGATGAAGAAAAAAGATATTGATGGGATGTTAAGGACTGACAAGGAAAAAGGAAGAGAAAAGAGAAGATTATGAAATGCAAATGTGTATATTTAGCAACAAATCAGATGGCCAGAGTAAATGACAAATACCAATAAAAAATGGCTGAGATTTCATTCTTTGGAAAGTCAGTCTCAGATGAGGAAGCTGTAAGTATTCACAAAGTTCATGGAAAACACTAAATTTCTTTAGGTCATCAAAAAAATATGAGAAGATACTCCTTCAAACATGAAATTATTCTCACATTCATAGGAGTATTCTAATTTAAAAGTATTCTTATATTTTTAAAAATTAAAAAAATTAAAAGCATGAATTTGTACCAATGTTTCTTAATTCACATTATTGACTCATTATTACTTAACAACATCCTTAATCTGGAATTCAAGGAAGAAAGTGGTGATGTGGGGTATGAGTGTATTTAGGCCCTCTGTCTCCGCCCCTGCTCCTGCTGCCCCAATGTAGGAGCTGGAAATATAATAGTGAACAGAACAGTTGTTTCCTGTTCTCACAGAACTTAAAGTTTAGTGAGGATGAGAAAACCAAACAAGCAAGTTAAATGTAATGAGTGCCCTGGTTGGGGAAGTAAAGGGTGCTGTTAAAAACAAAGCAGGGACACTCAGCTGAAGCTGGAAAGATTGAGCCTTGAAAAACATAAAAGTTAACTGGGTAGGTAGTGTTCTAGTCACCATGAATGTCTGAAGGTGTGCTAGAGAGCATGACACATTTGAAGATCTATAAGAAATATGCTCTGGCACTGTGGCATAGTTGATTGGGCACTAGAATCAAATTGCTTGAGTTTGAATCGTATCTCCACCACATCCAGCTCTATGACCTTGGGCAATTGTCTTAACCTCTAATTCTGTTGAGGAAAGTACATTATTTCATGTATTTAAGGTGTTTAGTAAACACTGCTAAGGCATAGTAAATGCTAGGTGTTTGCTTTTGTAATGATGAGATAATGATAGCTAGAGCAAAGAATTGAGAACCAAGCATGGCCCAGAGGTGAATATAGAAAGATAAGTAAAGACAGACCGGGCATGGTAGCTCACGCCTATAATCCCAGCACTTTGGGAGGCCAAGGCAGGTGGATCACTTGAGGTGAGGAATTCGAGACCAGCCTGGCCAACGTGGTGAAATCCCATCTCTACTAAAAATACAAAGATTAGCCGGACGTGGTGGCAGATGCCTGTAATCCCAGCTACTCAGGAGGCTGAGGCAGGAGAATCTCTTGAACCTGGGAGGCTGAGGTTGCAGCGAGCCGAGATTGTGCCACTGCAGTCCAGCCTGGGTGTCACAGTGACACTCTGTCTCAAAAAAAAAAAAAAAAAGGTAAGTAAAGACAAGACAATGCAAGGACCTTATGGACCACGTTAAGGAGCAAAGACTAAGGGTATAGGGGAAACCATTGTAGGAGAATAAGGGGATCAGATTGGTATTTTGAAGTTAGAAGGATTACTTTGGTTTTAGAGTGGAGTCTAGATTGGTTTGGTCAAGACTGGAGGAGGATTGAGTAATAATAGAAAAACTAGGCTGGCTGGGTGGCTCATACCTATAATTCCAGCAATTTGGGAGGCTGAAGTGGGAGGATTTCTTGAGCCCAGGAGTTTGATACCAGCCTGGGCAACATAATGAGACCTCATCTCTACAAATAATAAAGTTAGCTGGGCATGGTGGTGCGTTACTTGTGGTCCCAGCTACTTGGGAGGCTGAGGTGGGAGGATCACTTGAGCCAGGGAGGTCAAGGCTGCTGTTAGCTGTGATTGCACCACTGCACTCCAGCCTGGGCAACAGAGTGAGGCCTTGTCTCAAAAAAAAAAAAAAAAAGAGGAAGAAAAACCACCCAAAGTGTTTTTCCTGTTCTCTCACTCAATAATCAACACAATACTTCTCTGATCATCAAGAAGTATGGAGATTTCTCTCCACCAGCTGACACCAATTGGATATCCCCTAATTCAATTCTGATGGTATCTACCTAGAGATAGCATCAGATCGCACTGGTTGAGGGCTCAGTCCCACTAGACTACCTCCCAACTTCTGACACCAATCACCAGCTGGGGTTGTCTTACCCATGTTTCTAACTGACTGGCTATAAACTAAGGTTCTCACTACCCCATCCTTGTGTTTGATTAATTTGCTAGAGTGGCTCACAGAACTCAGGGAAATGCTTATATTTACCAGATGCATAAGGCAAGGGATATGGAAAGGGGCACGGAGCTTCTGTGCCCTCTCTGGGTATGCCATCCTTCAGGAACCTCCGCATGTTTGGCTATCTAGAAGCTCTCTGAACCCAGTCCATTTGGGTTTTTATGGGTGCCTCATTACACAGGCATGATCAACTTAAGTTTCATCCTCTCTCTCTGCCTTCCTGGAATTGGGGATGGAGGACTGAACGTCCAACCCTCTAATTATGCCTTGGTCTTTCCTGTGACCAGCTCCCATCCTAAAACTATATGGACTGCAAGCCTTATTAGCATATAAAAGACACTCCTATTACCCTGGAGATTCCAAGCGTTTTAAGAGCTTTTTGCCAGGAAATGGGATGAAGACCAAATACATATGTATTTCACAATATCACAGGTACCCCTTAGGAAGTTATAATTGACCAAGAGATGATGGTGGTTTGGGTAAAGTAGTGACAGTGAAGATGGAGAAAAAGGGTAGATTTGAAATAAATTTGGGAGGTAGTATAAACAGTACTTGGTACTTTCCATGGGAAGATGGGACAAGAAAGCAAGTTTCTAGCTCTGTCACGTGGGTGAATCTTGGTTGCGCTCACTAAGAAAGGGAAGGAGAGCGAGTATTGGGGTATGGCATGAGGGATGATTTCAGAGGTGAAACAGCTTGGGGTGGTAAGTACAAGGCTGTGGGCATGGATGGCTAAAGTAGGATGAGGAAACTCTTGTGAATTATCTTTTCTAATATGTTTTCTCTATTTCAGAAAACCTGTTAGAAATGTGGTGGTTTCAGCAAGGCCTCAGTTTCCTTCCTTCAGCCCTTGTAATTTGGACATCTGCTGCTTTCATATTTTCATACATTACTGCAGTAACACTCCACCATATAGACCCGGCTTTACCTTATATCAGGTAAGTGAAATGTATTCTTTGTATAGGAGACTCTTTATGTCTCATTCTTATTTTAACATTGAAGTCAACATTTAATGTCAACCTTTTAAAAATCAGATTTTACATTGGCATTACAACAATAAAGGGAATATAAAAAGGAACTTGAATTTGGCTTTTTCTTTGTGATAGAGAAATGTAGAGACAGCCCAATAAGATTCAGTTTGTGAACTGGTTCTTGAACTGTGACTCTTTAGTGCCTTGTTTTCTAAGTAAGTATTTGAAGTTGTTTCAGAATATAGAATTGGAATTATTCGCCGCTTAAAATTAAAAAATAAATGCTACAAACAATAATAATGATATGAAAAGATAATGGAAATGACAAACATGTCTTAATATGCTTACTGCGTACGAAGTAATTTTCTTTTTTTTTTTGGAGATGGAGTCTAGCTCTGTCACCCAGGCTGGAGTGCAGTGGCATGATCTCAGCTCACCTCACTGCAACCTCCGCCTCCCGAGTTCAAGCGATTCTTCTGCCTCAGCCTGCCGAGTAGCTGGGATTACAGGCGTGCATCACTACGCCCAGCTGATTTCTTTTTTTTTTTTTGCATTTTTAGTAGAGATGGGGTTTCACCATGTTGGTCAGGCTGCTCTTGAACTCCTGACTTTGTGATCTGCCCACCTCAGCCTCCCAAAGTGCTGGAATTAACAGGTGTGAGCCACTGCACCCAAACTTTTTTTTTTTTTTGAGATGGAATCTCACTCTATCGCCCAGGCTGGAGTGCAGTGGCACAATCTCGGCTCACTGCAACTTCCGCCTCCCAGGTTCAAGTGATTCTCCTGCCTCAGCCTCCTGAGTCACTAGAATTACAGGCGCACACCACCACGCCTAATTTTTGTATTTTTAGTAGAGATGGGGTTTCACCATGTTGGTGAGGCTAGTCTTGAACTTCTGACCTCGTGATCTGCCCGCCTTGGCCTCCCAAAGTGCTGGAATTACAGGCGTGAGCCACTGTGCCCAGCCTCGTAGAAAGTAATTTACTAAGCATTCTTCATGTCCTAAATAGTTGAATCCTTACAACAACTGGATAAGGTAGAAACTATGATCCTCATTTGAGAGAGAAGGAAATGAGGTCCAGGGAGGTCAAGTTATTTGCTCATGGGCAAATAACTCAGTGTTGGAACCAAGAATTAAACCTGGACAGTTTGACTCTAGAAGCTAGGCTCTTACTTTTTATGCTGCCTAGATATTTTTGACGTATTAAGTATCAAAATTTATTGATAACATTTTTGAAATCTCACAACGAATGAAGAATGGGTAGTCAGTTGCATATACTATGTTCATAACCCTCTTTTTTTACACTTGATCTTAGCCAAAAGGCCAAGAAGCTATAATAACCCTCTTTTTTTAAAATTGCAATAGCAAAACGTAATTATTACAACAAATTTTAAACAATACTAGAGTGATTATAAAAATGAAAAGCAAAAATCCCTTCCTGACACCTTCCAGTTTCTACACCCTAGAGACAATTCATAGTTTGGTAGATTTCCTTCCAGAGTTTGGTTTATCTTGTTATCATGTATGTACAAAACTCTTTCTCTTTTTTTCTCGTTCTTTCTCACTTTTTTGGGTTTTTTATTTTGTTTCATTTATAAAAAGTGATAGGATGTTGATAAAGAAATTGCTTACTTATTCTTCCTTCCCTTTTTTTTGGCTGTTACAAACAGTACTATAATGAAGGTTTCATTACATACAACTTTACATACTGATGTTGATATGAGGTAGATTTCTAGAAGTGAGATTGCTAGATAGGTAATAGGGCATCTACATTTTTCATTTGACATTTCCAAATGTATCTTTAGAATTGTTGCATCAGTTTATGCATTCACAAAAAGGATATGAGGAAATCATAATTATATGAATGGTTTCTGAGCTATTGAGACTTAAACTTCTCTATAAAAGTTAAATAAATTACATAGGGCAGGGAGATGAAGGAAACATAATTATTAAAACGTTATTATTAAATATGATTAAGCAACTACTAGTGTTTTAATCTAGATGATTTCACCTGGAATATAGTTAGGTCCACCCCTGAAAGTATTCAGCCTCTATATGATGCTTTTGAAACATCTGTCTCTTCACAGAGATGCCAAATTTTGTTGCTATTGTTGAGTAATATTTTTTGTTTTGTTGCTGTTGTGGTTGTTTCATTTATTCATTTGTTTACCTTCAGAAAAATAACCTTTCCAACACAGAAAATAGTAATCTTTTAAAGAATGATAAATTGGAAGATTAAATTTATCTTTTAAAAATGTCAAGAAAAGATCTGGGCATTACTATCTACATGTTGTTTCCACAGTGGTATGGCGTGGCACAAAAGATATAAACAAATTGGATGCAGTTTGGGAAGATTTACAGAACCCAAAAATGTTTTAGAATTTAAGGTTCCAATTCGAGAAATAATTTGATAAATAATTACCACTCTGCTAGTGGAATATGTAGCCTAAGGAGCCACACCATTCTTTAGTAACTCCGGAAGGTACATATTTAAGATTCATGAGGGTCTTTCACAGTATTTTTTTTCTCCATCTGAGAACTTGTCTGCTTTCGTTTTGAAAAACTTTTAATACAGCCAGCCCCCTATATTCATGGGTTCCACTTCTATACATCCAATCAACCACAGATTGAAAATGTTCTGGGGAAAGAAATTCCATCAAGTTCCAAAACTTGAGTTTGCCAGGTGCCAAGTACTTCGTTGAATCCACAGGAATGAAGTGATGTGTATTAGATATTATAAGTAATCTAGAGATGATTTAAAGCATATTGGAAAATGTGCATAGGTTATATGCAAATACTACACCATTTTATGTTAAGAGACTTGGGCATCCCCAGGTTTTGTTATCTGATGGAGGTCCTGGAACCAGTCCCCCACAGATACCGAGGGACTACTGTAATATAAGAGGCCACTTAGTTCTTTTTCTGAGTTTCACTTCCTTGGTGGTACTGCATGTGATTTTCTTTAAAAAGCACCCTAGACACTTCCTTTTCTGTTCTGCCTCTTCTGCTTTTTGATTTTTCTGCTAATGAACTTAGTATTACCCTGAGGTCTTTCTCCAACATTCTGACATACATATTTAAACTCTAGTACTTATTTTTATTTCTTGTAGGCTCATTTCCTTCATCTGCAAAATGATTAAGTTAAACTAGCAAGTCTGCAAAATTCTTTTCAGTTCCTAGATCCTATCCAAAAGGTTTAGCTGTTAGCCTGGGCAACAGAGCGAGACTCTGTCAAAAAAAAAAAAAAAAAAAAAAGAAACGAAGAAAATGGTTTAGCTGTTAACAGCCCCAGTGGACATAACCAAATGTAAATTTCACTTCAAAGACAATTTTGCTATAAGTGTGCTTCAGGTGTTCTCTTAGTTGGTTCAAGTAGTGGATGCCCAAGGGAGTGACTAGCCACTGGGGTAAGAGAAGAAATATTACAACATCTATGTATATTTTTAATCTAAAAACATTTAAACTTTGCCAATATTTAACGTACAGAATAATGATAACATATATTTTGATGTTAGATGATCAGATATTTTTTGGTGATGCTGTGACCACTGAGATGAAGTGCTATGATAATGAGGTGATGGGCATGGCTGTTTTCATTTGTAGGCCAGTGTATGTCATTCTCTCCTGAGCCAAAGGAAGGAACACTCTTAGCCAACCATCTTGGAAATGCATGCCTTTGTTAACTTACATGTATCATTTGAAGTATAGCTATGAAAATTATGGATTTTTCTAAGAATAATACATATACATTGTGGAAAATTTGAAAAGTAGCAGGAACAAAAAACCCTTTATTCCCTCCTCCTGAAGATGGTCAAAGAGTACCAAAATCTTTTGTATGTAAAAGATAAATTTATTATTTTATAATTGTTTCTTTACAAATACATTATTTTTTGTTTCTCTATTTTCACTGCAGATTTTTTTTTTTTAAGAGAAAGACTCATGGAATTGGAAAGTTAGAAGGAGCAATCCTTACAATTCATGTTTAATACTTTCCATTTCCTAACACCCCTAATCTAAATGTTTACTATATGTTATGGATTCTTACCAGCTATAACTTTCTACTTCTTTTTTATCCCCATGCATTGTCTTAGTTGAGACCCTAATTATCTCTTTCCTGTAGTATGTCAATTCAAGGCCAAAGACACTGTCTTTTTAATCTTTGTAGTAGTTTTAAGAAGGGGAAAGAACTAATATTTAATGGGTATCTCCCATTAGCCTGCTACTGTGCTAGATACTTAACATGCATTACCATTACATTTCATCCTTACAGTGATATGATGAGCTGGGAGGGAATGAATAGCTCCATTTTGCAAATTAAGGGAACAGTTTTAGGGAGATAAAAGGATGAACCTAAGGTCCTGCAGTAAGTAAATGGTGGGGTTTTAATCTGCCCCGGTGTGTTGCATACTGCCCTGAAAGACAGGCATGCAGGTGGATACATTGCAATGCTGTGTGGTAAGTGAGTTTATAGAAGTTCAGAAAGCATGCTATGTGAGTCACTATCTGCTAGAGGAGTTATCCAAGGTTATAGAGAGGAAGAGACTCAAAACTGTCTTGAATGTAAGCTCCGCGAGGGCAGGGGCTTTGTCTATTTTACTTATCACTGTGTTCCCGTTTCTGAAATGGTGTCTGGCACATGGTAAGTGCTTGATAATACTTTTAAAAATTGATCAGTAGGTGAATAGGCGTTAATTGAATACAGACATAGTCAACAAAAGGTGCAAAAAGGCAGTTGTGAAAAGCCTGTGGTGTTTAGGGAATATTCTGGTGGGACAGATAAATCCATCTGCCTGAATGATGGTAGGTCAATAACATAGTCTTAACATACCAAGGACAGCTTTTTAAAAATCAATATATATTGATTTCTACTATGTGGAAGAGAAATAATCTTAAAATGATGTGAGTAAAAGGTGAAGTAGGCAGATATTTGTGAACTCAAATTGTCATGTTCTCTGTATAAAATGATATGAGTTGAACTCATGGATTTATAAAAGATAAGAGGTTTGAATTAACTCCTGATATTCTTATCCCTTAGAAGAAATATATGTGTTTATCTAGTATGAGAAATCCACATACCTTCCTTTTTTTCTTTCAGTGACACTGGTACAGTAGCTCCAGAAAAATGCTTATTTGGGGCAATGCTAAATATTGCGGCAGTTTTATGTAAGTAATGAAAGTGATTTTAACATGATAATAGCCAAATTGCTACAGTATTTTCTTCTTTCAACACTGGAGTGTTACTTGTTTTACTTTCTAGTTATACTTGAGAGTATGTTATCACTAAATAATTGATCATAATTATGCTCCTTTTAAAAGAAAAACACTTTTCTAGAAATGCGGACTTATGGGAATAAACCTTTAAAAAAATATGTGTCGGATTATTCTACTATTCATTCAAATGGAAGTTGTTAAGTCTAACCAGATATTCCTTGAGGACTGTAGTGGACTTCTTAAGCAACCAGTAAGGAACAAAGAGTTGTGGATGCAGCTGACCACCGCTAATCCTAACTAAATTCCTTTGGGATAAACAGTTTAGATGTTTGAGAATAAAGATGGAACCATGTTTTGATTTTTGAGCAACATTCTAATGCTAAAGGGATAGAGTTGCTACTGAAGTATTTCATATCCCTGTTTATTTTGAACCAAATTTTTATTAATGGTTTACTCACATAATATTTTTCCATCAAGTGTGATTGTTTTAAATATTTGCATTCTTCTGTATGTTTATTATTTGCTTAGGTCAAAAATAGAAATCAGGAAGATAATTCAACTTAAAGAAGTTCATTTCATGACCAAACTCTTCAGAAACATGTCTTTACAAGCATATCTCTTGTATTGCTTTCTACACTGTTGAATTGTCTGGCAATATTTCTGCAGTGGAAAATTTGATTTAGCTAGTTCTTGACTGATAAATATGGTAAGGTGGGCTTTTCCCCCTGTGTAATTGGCTACTATGTCTTACTGAGCCAAGTTGTAATTTGAAATAAAATGATATGAGAGTGACACAAATAAGCTTTTGGGTTTTTTGCCTACGCCCATTTTATCTATATTCTATAACTAGTGCTGATTCTGATGCTAATCATAAAAACATTTTGTGTTTTATATAACTGTTTGTAAATATGAGACCCATGGAAGGCAAATGATTTGCTTAGTCACTGGAGGGATCAGTAGTTCCATAATACAACCTTAAGGTTCTCCAACATCCACAGCATGAGCCAGGCACACAGGTATGTGCCTACAGTCCCAGCTATCTGGGAGGCTGAGGCTAATGGATCACTTGAGGTCAGGAGTTGGAGTCCAGCCTGTGCAACATAGAGAGACCCCATTTTTTAAAAGCAAAAACAAAACTACAGCTATTTTGTTTTTTTTTTTCTTTTTATTCTCTCTGATTAATTTTAAAAGGAAAATCTGTGATTCTGGATAGCAGTGACCTTTGTGAACTCTTCATTGGCAACTTTATTTCTTGATTATTTATTACTTTGTTGTTTTTTGGATTATCTTTTCCCAGGCATTGCTACCATTTATGTTCGTTATAAGCAAGTTCATGCTCTGAGTCCTGAAGAGAACGTTATCATCAAATTAAACAAGGCTGGCCTTGTACTTGGAATACTGAGTTGTTTAGGACTTTCTATTGTGGCAAACTTCCAGGTTTGTGTTTTAGCCCAGCATAGGTATTTTCCTTAAGTACATAAATATATATATTAAAAGGGAAACCTGAAGCATTCAGTTACATGCTGTTGTTATTTCTTTACCTTAGCAAAATAGAAATCACTTCCTTTAAATTATTTGACCCTATTAGAAATAGCTACTTGCACAACTAGAAAAATTCATATTTAAAAGTCTGAACAAATACAAATTATTTTAACTTTTTTAGGATCCACAGGACAATTATTAGAGTCTTCATTACTACTTAGTTGGAGATTACTTCAACTCACTACTGAAACAAAATTGATATAAATTAGAAGTGACACAATTACAGATTTTAAAAGTTTTGTTTTTAATATGCCTAACAATTTATAATCATTTACCTATTTTATCTACTTGTTTGGATGTTTTCATTGATTGCCTGCATTCCTAGGTGTCCTGCCTTGTATATGAGGAAATGAAAGGAAGAACTGTAGGTCTTCTAGCTTTTTCTCAGGAAAAATAATGTCAAATACTTAATGTTAAAGTAGTGGTCAACCTTTATCAAATATTTTTCAATTCTCCACAGAGAGAGCAGTAGGAAAGAAACATTGGGCTCAACTCTGAATACAAGTAAAAGTGGGAATTCATAGCTGTGGAGCAGGGTGTAGTGGTTAGTGGATGGAAAATTACTAAGCTGGAAACGTAAGGGTTAAGAAGGGATTCTGGTTAAACTGCCTTGGTTTGTTTTGTGTGCTATAAAAGAATACTTCAGGCAGGGTGATTTATAGGAAAAGGGGTTTATTTGGCTCATAGTTCTGCAGGTTGTACAAGAAGCATGATGCCAGCATCTGGTTATGATGAGGACTTCAAGAAGCTTACACATGATGGAAAGCAAAGCAGGAGCTGGTGTGTGCAGAGCTCACATGGCAAGGGAGGAAGCAAGGGGGTGGTGGTGCCAGTCTCTTTTTAACAACCAGCTCTCACAGGAATGAATAGAGTGAGAACTCATTCACCACCCCCAACCCCCCACATCAGTCTATTCATGAGGGATCCACCCCTGTGACCCAGACACCTGCCATTAGGCCCCATTTCCAACATTGAGGATCAAATTGCAACTTGAGATTTGGAGGGGTCAAATAGTCAAAACCATAGCACTGACCTAATAGGATTCTTGGTGAAGGCAGGCCAGGGTGATTAGACATCACTTGAGGGATGGTAGAGGTGATATATTTATGGTGATCAGATACTGAGAATGGATGATTACGGCTAAACTGAACAAGATTCTTGCTAAAATTGGACAATGCAGAGATGAACATGGCAACCCAGAAGTCAGGACCTAGTTGACAAGAAAGTTCAGAGGAACCTGAGCTGGGTTTGGTGAAGGACAGAATTTTTGTCACCTGACAGTAACTCATGTAATTCCACTGACATTCATGTTTGCTAGATATGGGGGTGCAGCGGGTGTGCACAGGTCAGAAAAAATGGACCCTGGAGAAAATTTAGTTTTGCTGGACATTAGTTCCCAGCAGCCACTTTATACTATGAAAGGATAACAACAATTTGGGTGGACAACTAGCTAGCTGTCTGTGCCACAAATAGAGTTCTGCCTTCCCTAATCAGTTTCTGTAGCTCATTATTAAAAAATGTTTTGGAGAATTTCAGTGTGAGGATGGTGATTGTCTGTCTCTTGGTCAATTTAACAATGTTTCTCATCACTTTTATGGTAAACATGAATCTCCAGTATTTGTTTACACAGCCCAGCAAATTCCAATAGCAGTTCTTGATAGCACCCACACAAGCCGCCTTTCCACTTTTATCTCAATTACTTAAGGTAGCCTATATACTTTCTTTATTGTTTTGCTTTTAGCTTTTATTCTAATTTACCTTCACAAGAGTACTTATGGCCGTGTAATTTTGACTAAATTACTTTTTCTCTTTTGTTAACATCTCTTCATGCAACTTTAGATGCCCTCTTCATCTTTCACTGACGGCTTTATTGCTGGGCCCTGTTTATAACCAGACCTTGTAGCATTACCCAAATATCAAACAATTCTCTTTCCTTTCTTTTTTTTTTTTTTTTACCCACTGCTATACTAATGAGGATCTCCTTCCTTTCCAGAGTAAACGTTTACTACTTAATTAAAGTGGTGAGTGCACTGCTTCCTCCTCCACTTCCCCCTTTTCTTTTATGGAGACAAACTCTAGGTGATTTATACGGGAAAAATTTTACAAAACCAGGTCTATAAATGGTTTTACCCTTGCAGGTATTGGCTTGGAAGAGAGGCTAGCACTGTGTTTTAAATGGAGTCAGGACTTAATGGTTTTACTTCTTGAATATTTTTTGAAGACATTCACTTCTTTCCATTTCTGTCTTTACTTCCCTCCTTACTGTCTTCTTCTCAACTAGCTTAGATTTCATCATCTCTCATCTGAACTACTGCCATAGCCTCCTCAATGGTTCCTGTGCATTCACTCTTACATTCCTTGAATCATTTCTTCATATTGCAGTAAAAGTGATCTTTTGGAAACGTATATACATCTCATTTTGCATCCCTGTGTCCTTGCTTAAAGTTCTACAGGTTTAAAAATTATGTGAAAAGAGATACAATTCAAGAGAGAAAAAAATAATTTGCTAAACCACCAAACTGCCTAACTAACTCAAAGATCTTGTATAATCTGGCTGATGTCTACCTTTCAAGCCTAATTTTGCATTGTCCCCCTTCTTAATATCTCCATTATATATATCACTAGCCTTTTTGTGCTCCTTAAATAGGACAAGCTTATTTAATTTCCTCTCACATACTGTTTCCTCTGTTTGGTAGGCCATAACGCCCTTTATATCCATGGTTGTAAATTTATTATTTTTATTTTTTAGTTGATGTATTTCTTTATTAATTATAAGCACAATGGTTTCGAAACGTTCACCATTGTATCTCCAGCACCTAGCTTAGTACTTAAGACAAACATGCTTTCATTAATTATTTAGTAACTTATTGAGAGAGGTTAAAGGGACTATGCAGGATTGGAAAAAATTCTCTTATTGCTGTGGTTGCCTGCATTTAAAGAGATGCCTAATAATTGCTATAAGATGGTATTTGAAAAATCTAACTTAAAAAATAAAAATTGAATTTCTTTTAAAACAAATTTGTATATGTTGTTCAGAAAAATAACTACATGGTAAGTGTCTTCACTACCTACTTAGAGGAATTTTTTTCTTCATACGAAATTTATCAAAGGAGAGTAGTAAAACTTTAGTAAGCAGAAATCTGTATTAATTTTCTAGTGCTGCCATAATAAAATATCAAACTGGGTGACTGAATAGAAATTTATTCTGTCAAAGTTCGGGAGGCCAGAAGTCTGAAATCAGGGTGTTGGTAGGGTTGATTCTCTTATTGGAGGCTCAGAGGGAGAATCTGTTCCTGGCTTCTGGTGATTACCAGTAATCCTTGGTGTTCCTTGGCTTATAGCAGTGTAACTATATATAACCAATCAAGCTAGAGCCAAGGGAGAATATTTTAATTTCTTGAGTCTTTAAATTTTATTTACAGTTAAATTGAATTTAAATGGAAACTCCCTATTCCCAGCACTGCAGTCCATCCTAATCTTTTCTTATTGCACTATGCTTTTCCTATGACCCTTTTCACCATCAGACACACTGGAATTTCCTTATTTCTGAAGTTTATATTTATTGTTTATGTACCTTTACTAAACTCAGAGCTGGATTTTTGCCTGTTTTGTTCTCTAATGGATCTGAAGATTTAGAACAGTGCCTAGCACCTAATAGGCACCAAGTAAACATATTATTAAATGAAGAAAATAATAAATGAATAATTCCTATTATATTTTCAGTGGAGGTATATGAAATAGTTTGGTATTACTATAATCCTTAGGTTTAAACTGAGTATTATGAGAGAAAATTACTTCAGAAAGTAATTTGTTTGTAGAATTGGCCGAGCTTCTCTACTCAGTGAATGTCCTATTGAAATCTCTGGGTTGTGCTTTTAAATGTTGTGTTGCCAATGTGTTCTGAGTTTCTTTTATTGACGTATTTCTTCTCTCTATCTCTCAGAAAACAACCCTTTTTGCTGCACATGTAAGTGGAGCTGTGCTTACCTTTGGTATGGGCTCATTATATATGTTTGTTCAGACCATCCTTTCCTACCAAATGCAGCCCAAAATCCATGGCAAACAAGTCTTCTGGATCAGACTGTTGTTGGTTATCTGGTGTGGAGTAAGTGCACTTAGCAGTATCCTTCACTGTACAATGTGGCTACACTTGGAAAGGAATTGAATGACAAGATTTAAGTAAACACTATTGGTGCAGTATAAGAAGCCTTTTTGTCTTTTTTTTTTTTTTTTTTTTTTTTTTTTTTTTTTTTTTGTAGGAGAGATTCTTAGGTTCACAATCCTAAACTAAAGAATTTGAAATATGGAATTCAGATTGTACATAGTGCCTCAGTAATTGAGCTAGGAACAAAAATGTTGAGCCTGATCATACTCACTTCAAAGAAATGAGGGATGAGTAAATGCCCTTTCTGAGAACCATTATCTAGTTAAAGATTATGATAGAACTGCTAATTTTCTGAGCAAAGAGGTGGGGTTTGACTGTGAGAACCATTTTGTTGTGACCCTCTGAGCAGCACATTTTTAGTTTTACAGTACCACTGCTGTGTAACATTAAGTCTTTAAGAAAATGGGTTTAGACCTTAGCAATAAATGTGTGAGTAATCCTTTTAGACTGTAAAGTGATTTTTGTTCTCTGAGATCGTCTCTGAGATTCTTCCTTGACTTATGTTTTTATAGTGCTGACTTGCTCATCAGTTTTGCACAGTGGCAATTTTGGGACTGATTTAGAACAGAAACTCCATTGGAACCCCGAGGACAAAGTAAGAACTTACAGTCTATAAACTTAGTTTTATATTAAAGATGGTTATTTTGATTGATCTTGATATGTTTTTCATTTCATCAGTAACAATGAAAGTCTTCTGGTAGAATAATCAGTTCTGTATTAAAATTATTTTCTTGATATGGTAGGGTTTATGTAGAACCTTCCATATTCTCCTGTCACCTGTGATCTGTAGATATTGTCAAAATATGAAGAGCATTGCGATGGCAGAAGAGTTTTCTGAGAAATTGACTCCCCTAAATGTGGGTATAGTATATAATATAGCCAACCGAGATCATTTATGTTTTGAATACTTGTTTTCTGAATTGAAAAGACATCTTCTCCCACTTTTTGTTATCTGGAAATTGATTATGGACTCTGCATTTAGGATTCAATATAGTGGATATCTGAATGTAGATATAACATCTGGGACTCTGAGAATAGAGGAAGAGGAACATATACTAAAGAATAAAATGAGTTCATCTGTTTTCACAAACCACTTGGTGGTGTTTTATATAAGAATTAGCCCCAAATTGGGCATGTTTGTGAAAATGAATGAATGAAATAATTTACTAGATTTTCCCAATTGTAACCCATATATTATTTAATATCGTAAACACAGCACTTACTAAGTTTATTCTGAGCATTGTTAAACTTTTCTTAGTTGCATATTATGAATCTTATGGCTTTGGGTAAGGCAATAGTAATTTCTCGATTGTAGAGTAAAAATGATCCTGTTCTATCTTAGCTATTTAATTGGAAATTTTATTCGCTCCCAGTGAAACAAATAGAGTGTCATTTAGGAGGATTTCCTAATGCTGGCTCTTTAATTCTAGAGATATTATATGCCTGGTAAGTCAAGGGTTGATTTTCAGAAGCTCCATTATTTTATAAGAATTGTGTGTTTTTTATTTGAAACATAGTATATAGATCGTTTAAATGAAATTTCACAAAACTATTCTTTTTTTCCCATCACTCAGGGTTATGTGCTTCACATGATCACTACTGCAGCAGAATGGTCTATGTCATTTTCCTTCTTTGGTTTTTTCCTGACTTACATTCGTGATTTTCAGGTAAGAAGGCACAATATTAGATTTATTCAGTCAGACTTCCTTCTCTTAGTCCAGGAAGGTAGACTAAGAGAACTTTCCATAGGCAACTCTCCCGCCTTTTTGAAAATTAACTGTTTGTGATTTGGTATCATAAACAAGTGATGTAACTTTTCAGGTGAATTGTTTCTGTGTTTAAAGAAGTAGTGTATTGCTAGCAAGATTTAGCCTTGAAAATGGGGCTATAAAATAAATTTCAGAAATTCTTACATAGAATTTGTTATCGATTCTGTGTACTTTTACATAGGTCATTCTCAACATTTAGTTTTACTGATTCTTAGTAGAAACCAAAGAAAAACAGGGAACTTTATGAATTGAGAAGCTTGGTTTTTCCAGATTTTAATTGGTACAAAGAGGATACCTTTGACAGTAAAACAGCTGTCTCACTACCATTAGAATTGATTTACATTCATAATCACAAGGTAGCCTATAGAACATATTGAAGGAGTGATCTCTCTTTAAGGAGCAAACTTCTATATATAATTTTCTTTTCTGTTCCAGAAAATTTCTTTACGGGTGGAAGCCAATTTACATGGATTAACCCTCTATGACACTGCACCTTGCCCTATTAACAATGAACGAACACGGCTACTTTCCAGAGATATTTGATGAAAGGATAAAATATTTCTGTAATGATTATGATTCTCAGGGATTGGGGAAAGGTTCACAGAAGTTGCTTATTCTTCTCTGAAATTTTCAACCACTTAATCAAGGCTGACAGTAACACTGATGAATGCTGATAATCAGGAAACATGAAAGAAGCCATTTGATAGATTATTCTAAAGGATATCATCAAGAAGACTATTAAAAACACCTATGCCTATACTTTTTTATCTCAGAAAATAAAGTCAAAAGACTATGATATCATAGTTTTTTATACCTTATTTAAGAGAAACAACCTGACGTGCACCAATCAGTCTGCACATCCCAACCCTTCACATTTTATAAATTATTGTAGATCATGTTTTGTTAGGAGCACTTTTATGAGAGACATTTTCCATGACTAAATAATCAGCATTAGTCAGTAAATCCTTTAGAACTGGGTTTTGAAATGGGAGTTTTATCATATTAAATCATTTCTTGTAGTCTTACATTTTTTGTTGTTGTTCTGGAATCTACCTGTAAAGGAAAGTAGACCTGGATTCATGTGGGCTCTTCCATGGCTTAAGTGTTGCCCAAGAGATTTTGTAGGTAACGATTTTTTTTTTTCTGGCCACAATGCCAGATACTAAGCTAATTGGTCTATCATACACATGCTTGCAGTAGTTTCATGAAGTTTAGTCTCTGGCGTGAAATTTTAATCACCAATGAAGGAGAGAGGCACCTGTAGGTAAATTTACTTTAGTCATATTTTATATAAAACAAGGGTTAGTATTCATGTAACATTGAGAAGTTTGGGAATAACAGCAGATATGATTAATAAAAGTCATAACCATACTCAAGAGCTTCTTAGATTTTCATTTATGGCAAGTTATAATTACATGTAAAAGTAGTCTTGAACAGGTAAATATTGAGCCTTTTTAATAGGATGTAACCTTTGTAGAGCCCAAATTCTAAAGAACAAAATTGGCAATCCAATTAAACTACATGCAAAATAAGTGTGATACATGCATCTACAAAAACAGTGTTCTCATTTTTTCTGGGTATGCAAATGATTGGATTGTTTCTCCTTGGATCTCTGTATGTACAGGTAAAGAATAGTTTACAGATCCCTGCTGAAATTAAAAAGAAAAAAATGCTCATTTGGAAAGTGCCCAGTGATGAACTGGTTTGCAGAATAATCTTTGAAGAAGATTAATCAGGTTTTTATCTTTTTAGAAGAGATGGTTCCCTGGCCAGAAGAAAAGGTGGGGAGAAAACATTTAAACTGTCAGTTGGAGCAATTCAAGGAATAATGCTTATGTGATGGAGACCTCAATTATAAATTAGTTGCTAGATACAAGAATCAGTAAATAATATTTCTGAAGTCTTCTGGACTAATAAGACAGAAAGGGAATAAAATACTATGCCTATATTAAACAGCAATAAACCTGGGAGACATTTCCATAAGCATTGATTGACTAAATGCTGACATTGCTAGAAATAATTTGGATACAAACCATAAAAAAGTATCATGCCTTTGAAAAGCACGGTGTAACACACCTGCAAAATGTCATTTAGTCCTGATTCCCGTATCAAGGAAACTATTATTTAAGTTATGAAGCATGATAGTATGGGGAGAAGGAAATTGACAGAGTCAAAGTTTATAAAATTATAAAATTTGTATGGGGAAAGTGGCTCAGGGAAAAACATAGACTTTGTCCATTCCTAGAACACGAGGCTTAGCGATACATACCAACATATTAAATAAATTATTTTAAGACAAAAAAATACTTTCATAATATTTGAATCCCATTAGTTAACTTTTACCCTTAGAAATAACATAGGCTAAAAATGTTAATACAGTTGGCTTGCATTATCCATGGCTTAGCTTTCTGCATTTTCAGTTATTCGCAGACAACCATGGTCTGAAAATATTAAGATAATTTCAGAAATAAACAATTCATAATTTTCAAATTATAGGCTCTTCAGAGTAGTGTGATGAAATCTTGTTGCCCTCCTGCCCAGGATGTAAATCATCTCTTTTTTCTGCATATCTGTGCTGTAGACACTACCCATTCATTAGTCACTTTGTAGCCATCTCAGTTATCAGATGGACTGTTGCAGTATCTCAGTCCTTGTGTTCAAGTAGCCCATATTTTATTTAATGCCCCAAAAGCACAAGGGTAGTATGCTGGCATATTATTATAATTGTTCTATTTTATTATTGTTGTTCACGTCTTACTATGGCTAATGTATATGTTAAACTTTATCATAGATATATATATATTAAACTTTATCATAAGTATATATGTATGTATAGGGAAAAACAGTATATAGAGGGTTTAGTACTATCTGTAGTTTCAAATAATCCGCTGGAGGTCTTGGAATATATCCCTACTGATAAGCGGACACTGCTGTAGGCTTGTGGAGGGATTATAAGAGAATTTGGAATGTGTGTTCATCCCTAACTGTAATGCTGAAGTGACAGAAGACAATCATACCATCAAAATATACCTTGCCTCCATTGTCAGATACAATAGCTTGATTGAACAGATAAGGCATTTCTCTTCAATTCCATCAACATTTTTGAGTTGAATATTTAACTTTTAAAGTAAGAGGTCTTAAGCTAACAAAATTGGCAGATACTGTGAACCGATAGTGAAAAATCTGTTTCCTTTTTGTCCTGGGTATACTGCAAGACTATATTTCCTAGCCTCATGTGCAGTTAGATGTAGATGCAAAACTGAATTTTAGAAAGTGGAGTGGATGTATTTGCTATTTTTATATTAAGGTTTTGAGAATTCATAATGTTTTCTCCCAGTTTTTTCTCTTTGTACCAATTGGATATTGATTACAAGCTTGTAAGAGATGGTGGAATCAGCCGGGCACAGTGGCTCACACCTGTAGTCCCAGCGCTTTGGTAGGCTGAGGTGGGCAGATCACCTGAGGTCAGGAATTCAAGACCAGTCTGGCCAACATGGTGAAACCCTGTCTGTACTACAAATACAAAAATTAGCCAGGCGTGGTGGTGTGTGCCTGTAATCCCAGCTACTCAGGAGGCTGAGGCAGAAGAATCACTTGAACCCGGGGGGGCGGAGGTTGCAGTGAACTGAGATCGTGCCATTGCATTCCAGCCTGGGCGACAGAGCAAGACTCCGTCTCAAAAAAAAAAAAAAAAAAAGGTGGAATCACAAGGTAGAAGGACCCTGAACGAGTCTACTTTTAATAAGATTTTAGAAAATCAAACCTGAAATCTAATATAATTTAGGAACTTGATATTCGTTCATCCAAGTTACTAAGATTATATTGTATTTTATAGTAAGATGTCATATATTTTAAGTGCTCAATGAATTTGTGAAAGAGGAAGATAACTTTTATCTTTCATTGTCCAGTAAAGACTTGCTGGAAAATGAAAGTTCAGTAAATAGTGGCTTATTAGTACCCTTGTAAGTCTAGTGTTGAAAATATTTCTTGGTTTTAAACAACCAGTGTGCTGATTTTAGAAAGGGTGTGTTCATTTATTGGGAAGCTAAGAAAAATAACAGACCTGAAACAAAGGAAAAGTCATTCTGAGGCATTATGGTTTAAGAACTGTGTCCTCCAAAGGGAATGATAATATGACTGAGAGTTCACCTGAGGCACAGAAAGCCACGGACATCAACAGATTACAAGTAAAATGCCCCAGAAATTCTAAAATACGCTATTGTGATTAGTGCAAAGAAAAATCTGTTCTTTCAATAACTGGCAGCTTAGCTGAAAAGCAAACAAAACAAAACAAAAAAACAGAAACACTAGAATCTTACCAGGGCTGATATCCAGATTTCTGTTAAAAGGAAACTTTGTTCACTCAAAATATTTGAAATGGCCAGTCACAGTGGCTCATACCTGTAATTCCAGGGCTTTGGGAAGCCAAGGCAGGAGGATCGCTTGAGGCCAGGAGTTAGAGACCAGCCTGGGCAAAATAGCAAGACCTGCATCTCTACAAAAAAAAATACTAAAAATTAGCAGGACATGGTGGTGTATGCATGTTGTCCCAGCTGCCTGGGAGGCTGAGGCAGGAGGATCCCTTCACCCAGGACTGTGATCACACCACTGCACTGCAGTCTGGACAACAGAGTGAGCCCTTGTCTCATATATGTGTGTGTGTGTGTGTGTATATATATATAACACACATATATAAAATACAATTTTATATATATAATTGAAAGGAGGGAGGAAGTGAATCAAACTACAGCTGCAACAAAGCCCAGCTGCTCTCAACTGTACATCAGATTGATTCAGTGTCATATTCTGAACCTAACAAAAGGAGCATGCTGTTTTCTGGTGTTAACTATTACTTCTTTTCATACTTACTGTCCTTTTATAAAAAATATACAGCACACAGTTAAAAATTATAAGACATGCAAAGGAGGAAAAAAGTTTGATCCAGAGAGGAATCAGTCAGTAGAAGCAAATTGAAATTGTCCATATGTTTGCATTATCAGAGGGTGATCATAACAATAAAAGTGCCTAAAGATCTAGTAAAACAAAGTGGAAAACATACATGAAGAGATAGAGAATTTCAGCAGAAATATGGAAACAACAAAACACAGAAATCTAGAAATGAATATGATCTAAGTACACAGAGAAAAAATCAATAAAGACAAAGCAATTGAAAATATACAAATGGAAAAGCAAAGAAAAGGGGAGTAAAATTATAGAGTGTGTGAAATTTGAAGGAAAGTGAAATGGCTTACCATCCTTGTAATTGAGTCTCAGAAAGGGAAGATTGAAAGAATGATACAGAACAAATATTTGAAGAGATATTTACTAAGAACTTTTTCAAAGTTGATGGAAATTCACACACAAAATCAAGTTGAAAGTGAGTTTTTTGAAATAAGATTGATAAACACCTGGTAAGACATATACTGGGCTGAATAATATCACTCCAAAATTCGTGTTCACTTGAAACTTCAGATGTGACCTTATTTCAAAATAGGGTCTTTGCAGATGTAATTAGTTATGACGAAATCATACTAGGTTAGGGTATCCCGAAATTCAATGACTAGTTTCCTTATAAGAAGGCCTTGGCAGAGATACAAAGTCCATGTGAAAATAAAGGCAGACATTGGAGTGATGCCAACTTTAAGCCAAAGATTGCCTGCAACCAGAAGTAAGGAAGAGGCAAAGAAGACCCCTTCTCTAGAGCCTTGAGAGGGAGGCTTGATTTCAGACTTCTAGTCTACACAACTGTGAGAGAATAAATTTCTCTCGTTTCAAGCCATCTAGTTTACGATGTTATAGCAGCCTAGGAAACAACCTGATCAAATTAAAAAGAGGAAACACAAATTAATAATGTTTAGAATAGAAAGGACATTAGTCTATTAACATTAAAGATAATTGCATGTTATGAACAGCTTTATGCCAATAATTGAATAACTTAGATGGACAAATGCCTTTTGAAACACACTTCTCAAAAATGATGCAGGATACAAAATATGAAAAAAGCTCCATATTTATTAAAGTGAATTGGTAAACATAAATGTTACCAAAAAGAAAACACCAACTCCTGATTGCTCCAATGGAGAATTACATCAAATGTGTAGGTTAGAGATAATATTAAACTCTACAGAGATTCTTTCAAACATTAGAAAACAAAACAATTTTGAATTTATGAGGCCAGTATAACCCCTGTATTAATCCATTCTTACATTGCTATAAAGAAATAACAGACTGGGCAATTTATAAAGAAAAGGAGTTTAATTGGCTCCTGATGCTGCAGGCTGTACAGGAAGCATAGCGGCTTCTGCTTCTGGGGAAGCTTCAGGAAACTTACAATCCTGGTGGAAGGCGGAGGGGAAACAGTTACATGTTACATGGCTGGAGCAGGAGGAAGAGAGAGAAGGGATGTGCTGCACACTCTTAAACGACAAGATCTCATGAGAACTCTCTCACAAGAACAGCACCAAAGGAATGGTGTTAAACCAGTCGTGAAGGATCCACCCCCGTGAACAAGTCACCTCCCACCAGGACCAGCCTCCAACACTGGGGATTACAATTGAACATGAGATTTGGATGGGGACACAAATCCAAACCATATCAATCCCACTACAAGACTTGACAAAATAGTACAATAAAAGAAATTTAAAAATCAGTATTTCATGTGAATATGGATGCAAAAAATACTTAAAAAGAAATAGAATTTAGCAGTGTAAAAGGTTGTATATATGTTAGGCTTAACCCAGCAATATAATTCACCACATAGCAAAATGAGAAAAACCATGTGATTATTGTCAACAGATATAAAAAAGTAATTTGACAATTGATAATATGCATTTCTATATTAATGAATAATTGGAAAATGAAACATAACATATTTACAATAGCATAAAACAGCCATATACTTAGGAACCATTCAGTGACACACATGTAAGACCTGTAAGACCTTTACACTACAAGTTACAAAACACTGTTGAGAAGAAATTTAAAATACCTAAATAAATGGAAAGATATGTCACTAAATATATTGGACGACTCAATATTGTTAGGATTTTCAATTTCTGCTTGGTGGTTTATGAATTCATTGTAACCCCAAGCAAAATTCCAACAGTATATTTTAAATAAATTGACAAGTTGTTTCTAAAATCTGGAAATTCAAAGCATTTAGAATAGCCAAAGGAATCTTCAAACAGGTGGAGGACTTACTGTACCTGGTTTCAAGATGTATTATAATGTTGCAGTAAAAGAGATAATATAGTATTAACATAGATAGACAAATAGACCAATAGCACAATAGAGTCCTGAAATAGACAAATGCATATAGTCAATTGATCGTCTTTTTTAAAAACATGACTTGAAATTGGAATTTGTATACATTTCTGGTTGGTAAAGTCATAGAGTCACTCTGAAAAATTGACAGGGTTTTTTTTTTTTTTTTTTTTAAAAACTATAAATCTAGAATTACCAAATTAACTGCAATTCCATAGGATATGTTTTTACCTAAGAGAAATGAAAACAGAAATTCACACAAAGACATGTACCTGAAATTTCATAGCCTTATTCATAATAACCCCAACCTGGACATAAGTTTTCCAGAAAAGAATAGTGGTTATATACATTGTGCTATATTCATGGAATCAAATGCTAATCAATAAAAGGAAAGAAATAACATGCAAAAACATGGATGTGAGGTGGAGAAAGATGGCTGAATAGAACCCTCTAGCAATTGTTCACCCTGCAGGAATGTCACACTGAACAACTATCCAAGCAAGAAAGCACCTTCATAAGAACGAGAAATTCAAGTGAGGGAGTTCACCAGTACCTCACCAGCAATAATTGAGGTGATGGATCACAGTTTTAGCATAATAATGAGGAAAAATGCATTGAAGAAGGTAGGAAGGATGTTCTTAACATTGCCTATAACACTGCTTCCCCAGACTCAGGCAGCATAGCAGGAAGAGAGAATCTCTGTGCTTGGGGGAGAGTGACATGAGTGGAACTTTGCATAATAACTCAGTGCTGCCTTGTAATAATGAAACGGCACCAGGCAAAATTCTACCAATGCCCATGGAGGGAGCACTTAAAATAGCCCTGGGCTAGAGGAGAATTCACTACCCCAGTAGCAGGAACCCAAGACTTGGTCTGCTTTGCCACCAACTGACTAAAGTTCCCTGAGGCCCTGGATAAATTTCTCTGACAGCTAGGCCATGTTAACTGCAGTTCTTGAGCAAGCCCTGGTGCTGTACTGCTTTCAGAGGCTGTTTACTTTGGCTTGATTCAGCAAGGGACCAGCTGCAGTGACCATGGGAGTACATGGATCACCCATCCTCCAACTCCAGGAAGTGCAGCACAGGAGAGAGACTCCTGCTTTGGGGAAGGAGAGTGACAGCCCAGCCTCAGTAAAATAAAGCAATGGCAGAAATCCTGAAGCTTCTGATTCCAGACCATTACTCCTGGATGGTGCTTCTACACTCATCTGAGGCCAGAAGAGAATCTACTGCCCTGATGGGACCCAAGTCCCTCCATGCTTCACCTTCCTTTGACTAAATTATCCTTGGGTTTTGAATAAAATTCAGTGGCAATCAGACAGTAGCAGCTGTTGGCCTTGCACAAACCCAGGTACTGTACTGGTCTGGCAGACTGGACCTCGGTTGTTATGCAGTATCAGCTTTGGTGGCCCTGACAGTGCTTGCATTAACCCTCCCCCAACACCAAGAAGCCAGGCCTAGAGAGGGACTCATTTGGCTTGGAGGAAAGACAGAAGAGAGTAAGGATTTCTCTGAGAACCCAAGGAATTCTCCCTCATTTCTAAATTCATTAGGGCTAGGAGTCTGCAAGTGTCACAGCACACTTAGGTTTAGGGTACCCTCTACTGCTGAAGTGGATGCAGTTAACAGCCACTTTGAACTCTTGGAGAGCCCTCTGAAAAAGAAGTTATAAGCAAGGTCAGACTGTGAAGACTGGAATAAATACATAAATCTGCAGTGCATGCGCAGACATTTAGGAATGTCCAAAAGCATCACAGACATCCAGGAAAATATGGCCTCACCAAATGTACTAAATGAGGCACCAGTGATCAATCCTAGAGTGACAGAGATATGTGACCTTCCAGACTGAGAATTCAATATACATATATTTTTTTGGAAACTCAGTAAACTACAATAAAACAGAAGGAAATAAGGATTCTTTCAGAGAACTGTAAAAAAGTTTGAAATAATTATCAAAAACTAAACAAATCTTGGAGCTAAAAATTCAGTTGACCATCAGAAAAATGCCTCTATGTCTCAACAGCAGAATTGATCAAACAGAAGAGAAAATTAATGAGCTCAGGCTATTTAAAAATACACAGAGGAGAGAAAAATGGAAAAAAAAGATGTTTATAAGATGTAGAAAACAGCATCAAAAAGCAAATACAAGTTATTGGTCTTAAAGGGGATATAGAGAAAGCAATTGGGGTAGAAAGTTTATTCAGACATAATAGAGAACTTTCCAAACCTAGATAAAGATATGAATCTTCAGATACAAGAAGATCAGAGAACACCAAGAGAATTAAGCCTGAATAAGAATACCACAAGGCATATAGTTAAACTCTGTTTCAGGGACAAAAAAAGGGATCCTAAAAGCAGGAAGAGAAAAGAAGTAAATAATGTATAAGGGAACTCCTATACATCTGGAAGCAGACTTCTCAACAGAAACCTTATCAATCAGGAGGAAGTGGGAAGACATATTTAAAGTGCTGAAGGACAACAAAAAAACTTCCACTGAGAATACTGTATCCAGCAAAGATATCCTTCAATCATAAAGAACTAGACTTTCCAGACAAACAGAAGCTGAAAGATATTTGTCACCACTAGACCTATCTTACAAGACAACCTAAAGATTTTTTTACTCTGAAAGAAAAGGGCTCTAATGTGCAACAAGAAATCATCTGAAGATGGAAAACTCACTGGTAAATCTAAGCACACAACATTCAGAGCACTCTAATGCTGTAATTGTGTATAAGATGCTAGAAAGTTTAGCATGAAAACTAAAACATAAACCTACCAAAAGTAATATTGCTTAAGAAATAGGCAATATAAAAAGATACAGAGACAACAAAAAGTCTAAGAGTAGGGGTAATAAACTTAGAGCTTAGAGTTTTTTAGTATTTCCTTGTACTGACCAAAGTTAAGGTGTAATCAGTTTAAAGTAACTTATTATAAAACACTTTTTTAAAGCCTTATAACCACAAAGCAAAAACTCATAATACATTAATATCAAAGCCAAAGAATTAAAATATATTACTTGACAAAATCACTTTTACACAGAAAAGATAGTAAGAAAGGAAGAAATGATTTACAAGACAACCAGAAAGCAACAAAATGGCAGGTGTAAATTTTTCCTAATAATATTAGAATTGAATTTAAAGGGACTAAATTCTCGATTTGAAAGAAATGGAGTGGCTGAATTTTTTTTTTAAAGACCCAGGTATATGCTGCCTGCTAGAAACTCACTCCATCTATAAGGACACACATAGACTGAAAGTGAATGGTTGAAAAAAGATATTTCATGCAATAGGAAATCAAAAATCTCAGAAGTAGCTACTATGCTTAGATAAATTAGGCTTCAAGTCAAAAACTAAAAATTAGAGACAACATCAATGTAAGGATAAAGTGGCCAATTTACCAAGAGGAATTAGCAACTGTAAATATATATGCAACCATTATTGGAGTAATTAAACATATAAAACATATATTAATTGGTTTAAAGGGAGAGGTAGACTGCAGTATAATAAAAGGCGACTGCAGTGTCCCATTTTCAGCAATGTACATGTCATTAGGACAAAAAGAAACAGTAAACTACACTCTAGACCTAATGGAACTAGCAGACATTTATAGAACATTTTTTCTAATAGCTGCAGAATACACATTCTCATCAGCACAAGCAGAATTCTGCAGACTATATGTTATGACACAAACCTTAACAAATTTTTAAAAAATCAAACTAATATCAAGTATCTGACCACACTGGAATAAAACTAGAAAGCAATAACAAGAGAAACATTGGAAACTATACAAATACATCAAAATTAAACATGTTCCTAACAACCAATAGGTCAGTGAAGAAATTTTAAATGAAGTTTAAAAATCTGTTGAGACCAATGATGATGGAAACACAACATACCAAAACTATGAGGATACAGCAGAACAGTACTAAGAAGGAAATTTATAATAATAAATGCCAAATCAATAAAGACTCCAAATAAATAACCTAATGGTATACCTTGAAGAACTAGACAAGCAAGAACAGGCTGGAGTGGAGTGGTATGATCTCGGCTCACTGCAACCTCCACCTCCCGGGTTCAAGCAATTCTGCCTCAGCCTCCTGAGTAGCTAGGATTACAGGCATGTGCCACCATGCCTGGCTAAATTTTGTATTTTTAGTGGAGACAGGGTTTCACCATGTTGGCCAGGCTGGTCTCAAACTCCTGACCCCAATTGATCACCTCGGCCTCCCAAAGTGCTAGGATTACAGGTGTGAGCCACCATGCCTGGCCCAGTCAATAAAATTGAATATCATATTAACGTTATCAAGGACAAAAACCATAGATCATGTCAATAGATGCCAAAAAAAAAAGCATTTGATGTAATTCTACATTCCTTCATGATAAAAACAGCAAACTGGGTAGAGAAGGAACATACTTAAACACAGTAAAGGCCATGTATGAGAAACTCACAGCATGATATTGACAAACAGAAAAATTGGAAGCCTTTTGTTCCAAGATCTGAAACAAGACAAGATACCCACTTTTAACAATTGTATTCAGTATCACACCAGAAATTCTAGCCAGGGTAATTATTGAGGGAGAAGAAAGAAAGGACATCAGAATTAAAAAGGAAGGTCTTAAATTTTCATTATTCACAGATGATGTTATTTTCAGAAAAACAAAGATTCTGACAAAAATCTGTTAGAACTGATAAATTCAATAAAGTTGCAGGATACAAAATCAACATGCATGTCCGTGAATAATGTAATGGCATTTCTATATTTCAATAAAGAGCTATCTGAAAAACTAAGGAAGCAGTCCCATTTATAATAGCTCCAAAAAATTAAATACTTTGGAATAAATTTAACCAAGGAGGTTAACAGAATTTACAATGAAAACTATAAAATACTGATGAAAGAGATTGAAGCAGATACCAAAGAAATTGAACGATATCACATGTTCATGCATTAGAAGAATTAATATTGTTAAAATGTTTATACTAACCAAAGTGATCAACAGATTTAATGAAACCAGTGTCATTCTTTATAGTGGGAAAACAATCCTTAAATTTGTATGGACTCACAGAAGACCTGAATAGCCAAAGCAATTGTGAACAAAAGTCACAAAAGTCAGATGTAACAAAGTAACAAAGTCAGATGTATCACATTATGTTACCTCAAAATATACTACAAGGCTATAGTAAACAAAATAGCATAGTACTGGAGCAAAAACAGACACATAAACCAGTAGAATAGAATAGAGAGTCCAGAAATAAATTCATACATTTACAGTCAGCTCTTTTGACAAACAAGCCAAGACCATACATTAGGGAAAGGATGGTGCTTAAACATAAGATACGAAACTACTAGAAGAAAACTGGGCAAATGTTTCAGAACATTTGTCTGGGCAAAGATTTCTTGAGTAAGACCTGACAGGCAACCAAAGCCAAAATTTAAAAATGGGATAACATCAAGCTAAAAAACTGCACAGAAAGAAACAACGTGAATAGACAACCTACAGAATGGAAGGAAATATTTGAAAACTAGTCATCCAAAAAGGGATTAATAACCAGAATATATAAGGATTTTAAATAACTCAATAGCAATAAAAAACAAATATTTCTATATAAAATAGGCAAAAGATTTCAATAGACATTTGTAAAAAGAAAACACAAATTGTCAACAGATACATGAAGAAATGCTCAACATCACTTATAATCAAATCAAATGAAATCAATTTGATTTGACATGCAAATCAAAACCACCATAAGATATCACCTCACCCTAGTTAAATGGCTTTTATCAAAAACAAAATAAATGCTGCCAAGAATGTGGAGAAAGAAAATGCTTATACACTGTTGAAAACGTAAATTAGTACAGTCACTATGGAAAATACTATGAAGCTTCCTCAAAATACTGAAAATAGAACTACTATACTATCCAACAATATTACTGGTGGGTGTATATTTGAAAGAAAGGAAATCAGCATACCGAAGAGATACCTGCACCACTATGTTAATTGTAGCACTATTCATAATAGCTAAGATATAGAATCAACCTGTGTGTTCCATCAGTGGATGAATGAAGAAAGAAAAGGCAGTATATATACACAATGGGATATTATTCAGCCTTAAAAAGAAAAATTGTTCTGGCTTGGTGGCTCTTTCCTGTAATCTCAATATTTTGGGAGGCTGAGATGGGAGCATCACTTGACCCCAGGAGCTCAGGACCAACTTGGGCAACACAGTGAGATCCTGTGTCTACAAAAAGTTAATTATTAGTCGGGCATGGTGGCATGTTCCAGTAGTCCTAGCTATTTGGGAGGCTTAAGTGGGAGAATTGTTTGAGCCTAGGAGGTCGAAGCTGCAGTGAGCCATGATTAACTCACTTCACCCTAGCCTGTGTGACAACAGTGAGATCTGGTCTTGGGAAAAAAAAAAAAACACACACACAAAACAAAAAAACTGTTATTTGCAGCAATAGGGATGAGCCTCGATGACGCTAAGTTAAGTGAAATAAGCCAGGCACGGAAAGACAAATATTGCATGTTCTCACTCATGTGGGTGCTAACACAACTGATTTCATGGAGGCACTGAATAGAACGGTGGTTACCAGAAGCTAGGAGTAGTAGTGGGGGGGGTTGAATGAAGACAGGTCAGTTAATGGGTAGAAAAGAACAATTAAAAGGAATAATTTCTAGTGTTTCATAGCACAACAAGGTGAAATAGTTAACAATAATTTATTGTATATTTTTAAATAACTATAAGAGAAGATTTGGAATATTCCCAGCACAAAGAAATAAATGTTTTGGGTGGTGGATATCCTAATCACCCAAATTTGATTATAACATATTGTATGCTTATATCAAAAGTATTCATAAGAATTAAACATTAAAAAGTAAAATGAAATTTTAAAAACATGGATGAAATTTTAAAATGTAATGAATGTAGCTAGAAATTATATATGTAATTTCATTCCTATGATATTTTAGAAAAGGCAAAAATATCTGTAATTATACAAGGTAAAACAGTGTTTGTGCCTGGGAATGGGGGAAGTGACTGCAAAGGAAATTTTTGGAGTTATGGCTTGCTTTTACTTCTTGATTGTGATAGTGCTTACATTTTCGTATTGTAAGAAAAAATGTAACTCTACTTATGATAGATGCTTTTTTTGTGAGTTTTATTTTAATTAGCTTTGTGTTGAAATATAAAAGTCTTTTAGAAGGCATCAAAGAGCTACACAGGTACTGGTGAATCGTGAGGCCAACCTTTACAAATAAATGAAGCCCAAAGAAGTGAGCCTATCATTGATGCAGCTTTTTTCTCAACTTGTGGCAATGCCAGTTTTGAAAGCAGATGCTAAGAGGATGCAAAACCATGCACCACTTTCAGAAGACTCATGGTAGAATTACAAATGTTGAAATGATTGGGAAGGAGATGAGACTTTGGCAAACAAGCCCAACTTTCAGCTGGGACTCCTAACAAGTGTAAGGCTGAAGTGGTTGTATATTATTTCTTCATAGAGTATGAATTCCAACTTCAGATATTATTTCTTGAATAAATCAATGTACTCCTGGATTTCTAGTTTCTGTAGCCCATCTGCCTAACAGAAGCATGAGTAAATTATCTCTGGTGGAAGATAAAGTCATCTAGAGTTGATCTATACGTTTTTGCATTTCATCTGATAATAAAATATCTGGCAACCACTTGAGTATATGGGAAAACAAGACTTACCCAAAGAACCATTTTATACCCCCAAGGAAACCCAAATAATGGAATTAATAAACATGGATGTTAAAATGAAATAACAAGATTGACAAATACGTTTTGCAGAGAACTGGAGGTCGTACAAACGATCAAATGGATATTCTAGAAATAAAATTTGGCAATTAAAATTAAGAAACTAGTGTATCCATTTGAAAACACATTAGACATAGAGGAAAGAGTAGTAGTAAAGTGAAAGATTTGTTGGGGAAAATATTTAGGTGGAGTTGCAGAGAGACAAAAAAATGATTTTAAATGAAGCATTATAAGAGATGCATTGGATATAATGAGAAATATTTTATTTCTCATTATAATATTTGAAGAATATTTAATTGAATATAAAATTTGAAGAAGTGGAGTGAAGAAGGATGGTGGAGACAGAATAGGGTAAAACAGTACTTAAAGAAATACTGGCTAAAGAATGATACAAGACCAAAGAAAGAAATCCCAAAATTCAAAAAAATGTTATAAAGTAATGTCAATGAAAGTCAACCATACTGAGTTACAGCATACTAAAATTACTAAAAATCAATGTCAAGGAGAAATTCTTTAAAATAATGGAAGAAGAGATACATTATCATTAAGAGAGGAAAATAAGACTCAAAAGTGATTTCCTAACGGAAATAGCAGAAAGTAGAAGGTAATGAAGGTAGTGATTCATTCAGAGACCTAAAAGAAGATATTGCCAACTTAAATCTGTAAGTCAAATATATAGGAAGACATTTTTGGGTCTAAAAATTGCAAGGGAGAGGCAGGTCATCATGGCGGACAGGAGGTAGGACTAGATTGCAGCTCTGACTCGGATGGACAGAACAGTGTGCAGAGGCTCACATTGTGAATTTTAGTGCCAGATTGACTGCAAGAATGAACCAGCAATCCTGAGAGGACCCACAGAACCTCTGAAGGAAGCAGACTGCTCCTGCAAGACCCACAAGACACTCCAGATCTTGTGAGTGCCCCAACTGTGGAAGTGGGAAAGGGAGAGTCTCCTCTTCTGAACACACACCCCCACTGGAGAAACTGAAGGTCTGTTTGCAGAAGGTTTCCTACCTTAACCTGGGGGTGAGTCAACTTAGCTGAACAAAATACAGGGGTAGAGGAAGCAGCAGAAAGGCCCTGGGAGCTTGCCAGGTTCCCAAGCAGGCCAGTCCTACCTGGCACCACAGGAATCCATCAGGAGGGTGGCCAGAGGAGTGGGGCGAGGTGGGGAGATAAGCACCATAGGGAGAAGGCAGTTTCCAGCTGAACTTTGTAATAATTTGAATGGATTGAGAAGTTTCCTGGCCAGAACTCGGGGGAAGGGTGTGAATCCAGTGTGCAGACTCCACAGGCAGGGGAAGAACCAAGCCCTTTCGCAACTGGGAGGCAGGTAGCCTGGAGCAAGTTCTCAAGCCTGGCTTGCCTACCACCTGGTAACAGACTCGGGGCTGTTAGGGGGTGCATGGTGGGAGTGAGATCGGCACTTTGGTTTGCATGGAAGCTGGGTGAGGCCTGTGACTGCTGGCCTTCCCCCACTTCCCTGACAACCTGGATGACTCAGCAGAAGCAGCCATAATTCTAGGAAACAACTCCATTGACCTGGGAACCTCACTCCCATCCCCCACAGCAGCTGCAACAAGACCCACCCAAGGAGAGTCTGAGCTCAGACACACCTAGCCCTGCCCCCACTTGATGGTCCTTCCCTGCTTACCCTGGTAGCTGGAGACAAAGGTCATATAACCTTGGGAGTTCTAGGGCCCCACCCACCATGGGTTCCTCTCCATACTACCACAGCTGATGCTGTCTGGAAAGCACCACCTCCTGGCAGGAGGCCAACCAGCACAAAAAGAGCATTAGACCACCAAGCTAAGAACCTTCATGGAGTCCATTGCACTCCCTGCCACCTCCACCAGAACAGGCATTGGTATCCATGGCTGAGCGATCCATAGATAGTTCATATCACAGGACTCTGTGCGGAGAACCCCCAGTACCAGCCCAGAGCTGGGTAGACTTGCTGGGTGGCTAGACCCAGAAAAGAGACAATCACCGTACTGCTCACAGGAAGCCACATCCATAGGAAAAGGGGAAGAGTGCTACATCAAGGGAACATGCTGTGGGACAAAAGAATCTGAACAACAGCCTTCAGTCCTGGGCCTTCTCTCTGACAGCCTACCCAAATGAGAAGGAATCAGAAAACCAACAAGCCTCTTTAACACCCACCCCCAAAATCACGCTAGTTCACCAGCAATTGATCCAAACCAAGAAGAAATCCACGATTTACCTGAAAAAGAATTCAGGAGATTATTAAGCTGATCAGGCACCAAAGAAAGGTGAAGCCCAATGCAAGGAAGTCTAAAAAAATGATATAAGAAATGAATGGAGAAATATTCCAGGAAATAGCTTAAAGAATAATAAAAAATTCAGGAAACATTGGACACACTTATAGAAATGCAAAATGCTCTGGAAAGTCTCAGCAATACAATTGAACAAGTAGAAGAAATAAATTCAGAGCTTGAAGACAAGGTCTTCGAATTAACCCAATTCAACAAAGACAAAGAAAGAAGAAAAAGAAATTATGAACAAAGCCTCCAAAAAGTCTGGGATTATGTTAAATAAGCAAACCTAAGAATAATCAGTGTTCCTTAGGAAGAAGAGAATTCTATAAGCTTGGAAAACATATTTGGGGGAATAATTGAGGAAACCATCCTTGACCTTGCTGGAGATCTAGACATTTAAATATAAGAATCACAAAGAACACCTGGGAAAATCACCACCGAGGCACATTGTCATCAGATTATCCAAAGTTAAGATGAAGGAAAGAATCTTAAGAGCTGTGAGACAGATGCACCAGGTAATTTATAAAGGAAAACCTATCAGATTAACAGCAGTTTTCTAAGCAGAAACCCTACAAGCAAGAAGGGATTGGAGCTCTACCTTCAGCCTCCTCAAACAAAACAATTATCAGCCAACAATTTTATATCCAGCGAAACTAAGCATTATATAAGACAGAAAGATACAGTCTTTTTCATACAATCAAATGCTGAGAGAACTCACCACTACAAAGCCACCACTACAAGAACTGCTAAAAGGAGCTCTAAATCTTGAAACAAATCCTGGAAACTCATCAAAGCAGAAACACCTCTTTAAAGCGTAAATCACATGGGACCTATAAAACAAAAATATGAGTTAAAAAGCAAAAACAAGCAACAAAAAAACCAAAGTACCCAGGCAACAAATAGCACAATGAATGCAATGGTACCTCACATCTCAATACTAACATTGAATGTAAATGGCCTAAATGCTCCACTTAAAAGGTACAGAACTGCAGAATGGCTAAGAACTCACCAACCAACCATCTGCTGCCTTCAGGAGACTTACCTAACACATAGGACTCACATAAAGTAAAGGGATGAAAAAAGTATTTCATGCAAAAGGACACCAAAAGTGAGCAGGGGTAGCTATTCTTCTATTAGACAAAACAAACTTTAAAGCAACAGCAGTTAAGAGAGACAAAGAGGGACATTATATAATGGTAAAAGACCTTGTCCAACAGAAAACACCACAATCTTAAACATATATGCACCTAACAGTGGAACTCCCCAATTTATAAAACAATTAATAATAGGAACACTGACAGCACTAGACAGGTCATCAAGACAGAAAGTCAATAAAGAAACAATGGATTTAAACTATACCTTGGAACAAATGGACTAAACAGATATATACAGAACATTTCATCCAACAACCATGGAATACACATTCTATTCAACAGCACATGGAACTTTCTTCAAGATAGACGATATGGTAGATCATAAAACGAGCCTCAATAAATTTAAGACAGTTTAAATTATATCAAGCACTCTCTCAGACCACAGTGAAATAAAACTGGAAATCAACTCCAAAAGGAATCTTCAAAACCATGCAAATACATGGAAATTAAATAACCTGCTCCTGAATGAGCATTGGGTGAAAAACAAAATCAAGATGGAAATTTAAAAATTCTTCAAACTTAACAACAATAATGACACAATCTATCAAAACCTCTGGGATGCAGCAAAGGTGGTGCTAAGAGGAAAGTTCATAGCCCTAAACAGTGACATCAAAAAGACTGAAAGGAGTACTCAGACACAGGTATGCAGTGTAAGAGCAGCTAGGGGACTGCCTGGCTCAAGTGGTCAAAATGCAGCCCTGAGAAGCTAGCGCTGTTTGCTTTTATTCAGTGCAGGCACAATGCCAAAAACCTGAAGCCAACACAACCTGCAGGTAATTAACATTTATTGTTCCCCTTTCAGGAAATGTCACACACAGGTCATTTCCTGGTCAATATAAGTAAACAAGCTTGATCAGGATAAGTTCCCCTACACTCCATTGTACCTACTCCTTGCCCTCTGCCTCAGGGTCAGAAAACAGCTGCCTTCAGCTATTATCCCCCAAAGCTATGCAGAGCCTTCTGACCTTTCAGAAGGCCTGCTCCTTTTTCTATAGTTTCTCCCACCACTCTATACTAAATTTCACTTTACCAAAAATATTGAAGTTAGAGAAAAAAGTTAAATGACCATGAGATAACAGAAAAATTCTTAATTTGGTATATTAAGCAAAACAACTGGCACTGTTTCTTAAAAATGTCGATGTCATAGATCATAAACTTACATTTCTGAGTATAATCTTTTAGACCATGGGAGCCCAATGCTCCCACATCAACAACTTAAAAAATAAAAATTTCAAAAATTATGTTTTTAAATAAATTGGAAAGTTGTCAAGACAATGGATTTTGAAACAATTGGAATTCCAGAAAGAGAGTGACCTTGTAATTGCCATTTTGTACCCTGTGGGTTATTCACTGATTCTGGTCATGAACTGATCATAAGGTTTGTCTCACACAAAGGGACTCTATTGAGTAGATGGGACATAAGCAAAACTTTTAACATCGCTTGCCTGAGATGGAACAACAGATTGGAAAAGTGAGCTGCTTTACATAGATTCAATATTAGTTAATGATATGTCAAGTGGACAAAAAAGTACAGAATATTTGAACAACTTGTTTCATAAATGCAATACAATTCATACTTGAAAACACTATTTTTTTCTCCATGTCCTTTGTCATTTCAAGAATGTAATATAAGTAGAATCATAACCTTCCCCAGTGGTGGAGGTGGGGCCTTGTGGGAAGTGTTGGGCCATGGGGGAAGATCCCTTGTGCACGGATTTGTGCCATTGTTGTGGTAGTGGAGGATCTTATTGTTAAAAAGAGCCTGGCACCATTTCTTCACCCTGTCACTCCCTCTCTTGCCCTGTAAAATGTGTGTTTTTCCATCACCATCTACTGTTAGTGGAAGCTTTTTGAGGTCCTGACAGGAAGCAGTTGCTGGTGCTGCACTTGTATAGCCTGCAGAACTGTGAGCCAAATATACCTCTTTATAAATTACCCAGTCTCATGTGTTTCTTCCTGGCAGTCCAAAATGGACTTATGTGGAAAATTGGTCCCAAAGCATGGGACATTATTATAAAGATACCTGAAAATGTGGAAACTGCTTTGGATCTGGGTAATGGACAGAGGTTGGAAGAGTTTGGAGGGCTCAGAAGAAGACAGGAAAACGACAGAAAGTCTAGAATTTCTTAGAGACTGGTTAAATGTAACTACAATGCTAATAGAAATATGCAAAGTGAAGGCCATGCTGATGAGGTCTCAGATGGAAATTAAGAACTTACTGGGAACTGAAATGAAGGTCACCCTTGTTACCCATTAGCCAAGAACTTGGCTGCATTATGTCCATGCTGTAGTAATTTGTGGAAGGTTGAACTTAAGCGTGATGACAAAGGGTAACTGGCAGAAAAAATGTCTAAGCAGTGAAGCATGCAAGAAGTAGTGTGGCTGCTTCTAACAGCCTATGATCAGATCTGGGAGTGAAGGAATGACTTAAAGTTGGAACTTAGAATTGAAAGGGAAGCAGAGCATAAAAGTTTGGAAAGTTTCCAGTCTGTGTGTTAGAGAAGGAAAGAGTATTTTCAGAATGTAAGTGGCTGCAGAGGAAGATCTCACTAGAGAGATTTGCATGACTAAAAGGGACCCACATTCTAACATTCAAGACAGTGGGAAAAAGGCCTTGAAGTCATTTCAGAAGTCTTTCAGGCAGCTCCTCCCATCACAGGCCCAGAGGCCTATGAAAAAAGAATGGTTTCAGGGGCCAGGCCTAGCACCCTGCTGCCCTGCACAGCCTCAGGGCACTGCTCCTTGAATCCAGGCCACTCCAGCTCCAGTGATAGCTATACGGCCCCAGATACAGCTTGGGCTGCTGCATCAGAGGGCACACATTTTATGCTTTGGCAGCTTCCATGTGGTGGTATCTGCAGGGGTGCAGAATGCAAGCATGCACAAGAGTGGTGGAGTCTTGGCAGCTTCCACCTAGATTTCAGAGGATGTATCGGAAAGTCTGGATGCCCAGGCAGAAGCCTGCTGCAAGAGAGCCTCTGCTGTGTCTCTACACAGCTTCTCTGTGTGGGGGCTCCAATTCCACATTTCCATTTCCCCAAGGAGTCAGCACACAGAGTACCCACCAGGGCACTGCCTAGTGAAGCTGTGGGAAGAGGATCACTGCCCTTTAGACCTGAGAATGATCCAGCACCGGCAGCTTGCATCCTGAGCCTGGAAAAGCTAAAGGCACTCAACTCCAACCCTGTGGTGACAGCAGCTACAAGGGCTGCACCCTGTAAAGCCACAGGGGCAGAGCTGCCCAAGGCTTTGGGAACTCACACCTTGCACCAGAGTGCTCTGGATGTGGGACATAGAGTCAAGGATTTTATTAGAGCTTTAAGGTTTAGTGTCTGCCCTGCTGGGTTTGGGACTTCTGTGGGGCCTATTGCTAGTTTTATTTGGCCAATTTCTCTCTTTTGGAATGGGAATGTTTACCCAATGCCTGTAGCACCATTGTATCTTGGAAGTAAATAACTGAAATAACTGGTTTTTGACTTTACAGACTCATAGGTGGAAGCAACTTGCCTTGAGTCTCAGATAAGACTGGACTTTGGACTTTGGAGTTGATGCTGGGATGAGTTAAAACTAGGGGACTATTGAGAATAGTCCCCCAGTGTGAATTTGCAGTGTGAAAAGGGCATGAGATTTGGGGAGGCCAGGGGTGGAATGATACAGTTTGGATGTTTGTCCCTTCCAAATCTCATGCTGAAATTTAATCACCATTGTTGGAGGTGGGCGCTAGTGGGAGATGTTTTGGTCATGGGGGTGGATCCCTCATGAATGCCTTGGTTCCATCCTTGTGGTAATCTGTGAGTTCTCACTCCATTAGTTACCACAAGATCTGATTGTTAAAAAGAGTATTGCCCGGTAGGGCATGGTTGCTCACACCTGTAATCCCAGCACTTTGGGAGGCCAAGGCAAGCAGATCGTGAGGTCAGGAGATCCAGACCATCCTGGCTGACACAGTGAAACCCCATCTCTACTAAAAAAAAATACAAAAAATTAGCCAGGCATGGTGGCACGTGCCTGTAGTCCCAGCTACTCGGGAGGCTGAGGCAGGAGAATTGCTTCAACCCAGGAGGCAGAGGTTGCACTGAGGCGAGATTGTGCCACTGCACTTCAGCCTGGGTGACAGAGTGAGACTCCGTCTCAAAAAATAAATAAATACAAATAAAAAGCAGACTTGCCCTTCCTCTAAACTTTCTTACTCCCTCACTTGACATGTGACATGCCTGCTCCCCCTTCACCTTTCTTTCTTTTTTTTTTTTTTGTTAATTATACTTTAAGTTCTGGGGTACATGTGCACAAAGTGCAGGTTTGATAGGTAGGTATACATGTACCATGTTGATTTGCTGCAGCATCAACTCATCATTTACATTAGGTATTTCTCCTAATGCTATCCCTCCCCCAGCCCCCCAGCCCCTGAAAGGCCCCAGTGTGTGATGTTCCCCGCTCTGTATCCAAGTGATCTCGTTGTTCAATTCCCACCTATGAGTGACAACATGCAGTGTTTGGTTTTCTGTCCTTGTGATACTTTGCTGAGAATGATGGTTTCCAGCTTCATCCATGTCCCTGCAAAGAACATGAACTCATCCTTTTTTATGGCTGCATAGTATTCCATGGTGTATATGTGCCACATTTTCTTAATCCAGCCTATCATTGCTGCACATTTGGGTTGGTTAAAAGTCTTTGCTATTTTGAGTAGCACTGCAATAAACATACATGTGCATGTGTCTTTATAGTAGCATTATTTATAATCCTTTGGGTGTATACCACGTAATGGGATTGCTGGGTCAAATGGTAATTATAGTTCTAGATCCTTGAGCAATCGCCACACTGTCTTCCACAATGGTTGAACCAATTTACACTCCCACCAACAGTGTAAAACATTCCTATTTCTCCACATCTTCTCCAGCATCTGTTGTTTCCTGACTTTTTAATGATTGCCATTCTAACTGGTGTGAGATGCTATCTCATTGTGGTTTTGATTTGCATTTCTCTGATGACCAGTGATGATGAGCATTTTTTCACGTGTCTGTTTGCTGCATAGATGTCTTCTTTTGAGAAGTGTCTGTTCATATCCTTTGCCCACTTTTTGTTGGGGTTGTTTGTTTTTTTCTTGTAAATTTGTTTGAGTTCTTTGTAGATTCTGGGCATTAGCCCTTTGTCAGATGGGTAGATTGCAAAATTTTTTTCCTATTCTGTAGGTTGCCTGTTCACTCTGTTGGTAGTTTCTTTTGCCATGCAGAAGCTCTTTAGTTTAATTAGTTCCCATTTTTCTATTTTGGCTTCTGTTGCCATTGCTTTTGGTGTTTTAGTCATGAAGTCCTTGCCCATTCCTGTGTCCTGAATGGTATTGCCTAGGTTTTCTTCTAGGGTTTTCATGGTTTTAGGTCTAACATTTAAGTCTTTAATCCATCTTGAATTAATCTTTGTATAAGGTGTAAGGAAGGGATCCAGTTTCAGCTTTCTACATATGGCTAGCCAGTTTTCCCAGCACCATTTATTAAATAGGGAATCCTTTCCGCATTTCTTGTTTTTGTCAGGTTTGTCAAAGATCAGATGGTTGTAGATGTGTGGTGTTATTTTGAGGCCTCTGTTCTGTTCCATTGGTCTATATCTCTGTTTTGGTACCAGTACCATGCTGTTTTGGTTACTATAGCCTTTTAGTATAGTTTGAAGTCAGGTAGCATGATGCCTCCAGCTTTGTTCTTTTTCCTTAGGATTGTCTTGGTGATGTGGGCTCTTTTTTGGATCCATATGAACTTTAAAGTAGTTTTTTTCCAATTCTGTGAAGAAAGTCATTTGTAGCTTGATGGAGATGGCATTGAATCTATAAATTACTTTGGGCAGTATGGCCATTTTCACAATATTGATTCTTCCTAACCATGAGCATGGAATATTCTTTCATTTGTTTGTGTCCTCTTTTATTTCACTGAGCAGTGGTTTGTAGTTCTCCTTGCGGAGGTCCTTCACATTCCTTGTAAGTTGGATTCCTAGGTATTTTATTCTCTTTGTAACAATTGTGAATGCGAGTTCACTCATGATTTGGGTCTCTGTTTGTCTGTTAATGGTGTATAGGAACACTTGTGATTTTTGCACATTGATTTTGTATCCTGAGACTTTGCTGAATTTGCTTATCAGCTTAAGGAGATTTTGGGCTGCGATGATGGGGTTTTCTAAATATACAATCATGTCATCTGCAAACAGGGACAATTTGACTTCCTCATTCCCTAATTGAATACCCTTTATTTATTTCTCTTGCCTGATTGCCCTGGCCAGAACTTCCAGAACTATGTTGAATGGGAGTGGTGAGAGAAGGCATCCTTGTCTTGTGCCGGTTTTCAAAGGGAATGCTTCCAGTTTTTGCCCATTCAGTATGATATTGGCTGTGGGTTTGTCATAAATAGCTATTATTTTGAGATACATTCAATCAATACCTAGTTTATTGAGAGTTTTTAGCATGAAGGGCGGTTGAATTTTGTCGAAGGTCTTTTCTGTGTCTGTTGAGATAATCGTGTCATTTTTGTCATTGGTTTTGTTTATGTGATGGATTACATTTATTGATTTTCATATGTTGAACCAGCCTTGCATCCCAGGGATGAAGCCAACTTGATCGTGGTGGATAAGCTTTTTGATGTGCTGCTGGATTCGGTTTGCCTGTATTTTATTGAGGATTTTCGCACCAATGTTTATCAGGCATATTGGTGTAAAATTTTATTTTTTTGTTGTGTCTCTGCCAGGCTGTGGTATCAGGATGATATTGGCTTCATAAATGAGTTAGGGATGATTCCCTCTTTTTCTATTGATTGGAATAGTTTCAGAAGGAATGGTACCAGCTCGTCTTTGTACCTCTGGTAGAATTCGGCTGTGAATCCGTCTGGTCCTGGACTTTTTGTGGTTATTAGGCTATTAATTATTGCCTCAATTTCAGAGCCCGTTATTGGTCTATTCAGAGATTCAACTTCTTCCTGGTTTAGTCTTGGGAGAGTGTATGTGTCCAGGAATTTATCCATTTCTTCTAGATTTTCTAGTTTATTTGCATAGAGGGGTTATAGTATTCTCTGATGGTAGTTTGTATTTCTGTGGGATCAGTGGTGATATCCCCTTTATCATTTTTTATTGCATCTATTTGATTCTTCTCTTTTTTCTTCTTTGCTAGTCTTGCTAGTGGTCTATCAATTTTGTTGATCTTTTCAAAAACCAGCTCCTGGATTCATTGATTTTTTTGAAGGGTTTTTTGTGTCTCTATGTCTTTCAGTTCTGCTCTGATCTTAGTTATTTCTTGCCTTCTGCTAGCTTTTGAATGTGTTTGCTCTTGCATCTCTAGTTCTTTTAATTGTGATGTTAGGGTGTCGATTTTAGATCTTTCCTGCTTTCTCTTGTGGGTATTTAATGCTATAAATTTCTGTCTACACACTGCTTTTAAAGCAGTGTTAAAATGTGTTCCAGAGATTCTGGTATGTTGTGTCTTTGTTCTTACTGGTTTCAAAGAACATCTTTATTTCTGCCTTCATTTTGTTATTTACCCAGTAGTCATTCGGGAGCAAGTTGTTCAGTTTCCATGTAGTTGTGCAGTTTTGAGTGAGTTTCTTAATCCTGAGTTCTAATTTGATTGCACTGTGGTCTGAGAGACAGTTTGTTGTGATTTCTGCTCTTTTACATTTGCTGAGGACTGCTTTACTTCCAATTATGTGGTCAATTATAGAATAAGTGTGATGTGGTGCTGAGAAGAATGTACATTCTGTTGATATGGGGTGGAGAGTTCTGTAGATGTCTATTAGGTCTGCTTGTTGCAGAGCTGAGTTCAGGCCCTGGATATCCTTGTTAAATTTCTGTCTCATTGATCTGTCTAGTATTGATAGTGGGGTGTTAAAGTCTCCCATTATTATTGTGTGGGAGTCTAAGTCTCTTTGTAGGTCTCTAAGGACTTGCTTTATGAATCTGGGTGCTCCTGTATTGGGTGCATATATATTTAGGATAGTTAGCTCTTCTTGTTGAATTGATCCCTTTATCATTACGTAATGGCCTTCTTTGTCTCTTTTGATCTTTGTTGGTTTAAAGTCTGTTTTATCAGAGACTAGGATTGCAATGCCTGCTTTTTTTTTTTGCTTTCCCTTTGCTTGGTAGATCTTCCTCCATCCCTTTATTTTGAGCCTATCTGCATCTTTGCACGTGAGATGGGCTTGTACAGCCTGCAGAACCATGAGCCAAATAAACCTATTTTCTTTATAAATTATGTAGTCTCAAGTGTACCTTTATTATGTGAGCCAAAATATCTGACACAGGTCTCATTCAATTTACAAAGTTTATTTTGGCAAGGTTAAGGACTCACCTTTAACACAGCCTCAGGAGGTCCTGACAACATGTGCCCAAATGTTCAGGATACAGCTTGCTTTTAAATATTTTAGGTAGACATAATACATTAATTAATATGTGTAAGATTCACCTTGGTTCAGTCTTTACATATTTCATCCATGTTATCCATCTCTTATTCTCTTACTGTGTTTATAATATTTATTTTATCGTTCCTGTTTTCAACATCTTTATCAACTGTGTATCTGTTTATATTGTCTATTTTTTCCTGAACTATTGGTGACATTGTCTTTTTTCTTAGAATGTCTTGTAATTTCTTTTTTTTTTTTTTTTTTTTGAGACAGAGTCTCACACTTTTGCCTGGGCTTGAGTGCAGTGGTGTGATCTTGGCTCACTGCAACCTCTGCCTCCCAGGTTCAAGCTATTCTCCTGCCTCAGCCTCCCGATTAGCTGGGATTACAGGCACCTGCCACCATGCCTGGCTAATTTTTTGTATTTTTAATAGAGATGGGGTTTCACTATGTTGGCCAGGCTGATCTCGAACTCCTGACCTCATGATCCACCCGCCTAGGCCTACCAAAGTGCTGGGATTACAGATGTGAGCCACCACACCTGGCCGTCTTGTAATTATTAAATGTATATTGGAGATAGTATGTAAGGAATTACAATTTTAGAACACTTTATTACCTGAGGAAGTAACTCTGTATCTTTTAACAATTACATCTCATTTCCTTTACCTCCACTTCAGCCTTAAGTAACCATTAATTTACTTTCTGTCTCTTTAGATTTATTTATTCTGGACTTTTATATGAGTTTAATCATACAGTGTGTGGTGTTTTCTGAATGGCTTCTTTTCGTTAGCATAATATTTCAAAGTTTATCCAAGCTGTAGTATGCATCAGTACTTCTTTCCTTTTTATGGCTGAATAATTAATTGCATGGTTATAAGTTATACCACTTCTTTTTAAATTTATTCATCACTTCAGGGACATGTGGGTTATTTCTACTTTTTAGATATAATGAATAGTAGTACTATAAACATTTGTGTGTAAGTTTCTATGTGGATATACATTTTCATTTTTCTGAAGTATTTACCTAAGAGAGGGACTACTAGATCATATAGTAAATTTATATTAATTATTTGATGAAATGTAAGACTGTTTTCCAAGTCAGCTAGGCCATTTTACATTCTGTGGTGTGTGAATGTTCTGTTATCTCCATGTGCCCACCAACACTTGTTAACTGGCTTTTAAAAAATAATATATTTTATGTTTTAGAGTGGTTATAGGTTCACAACAAAATAAATGGTAAGTACGGATATTTCCCATATACTCCCTGTCCTCACACCTTTAGAGCTTGCCCTGTTATTTATCAACACCTCTAACCAGAATGATATCTATGTTAAAATCGACGAACCTACTCTAACACGTCTTTATTACCCAAAGTCAATAGTTTACATTAGGTTTCACTCTTGGTATTTATTCGGTGGGGTTTGACAAATGCATGACATGTATCTATCATTATAGTACCATAGAGCAGCAGTTCTTAACCATTTTGGCACCAGGGACTGGTTTTGTGGAAGACAATTTTTCCATGGACTAGGGTGGGGCATGGTTTCAGGATGAAACTGTTCCATCTCTGATCATCAGGCATTAGATTTTCATTAGGAGCTCGCAATGTAGATCCCTTACATGCACAGTTCACAATAAGATTCACACTCCTATGAGAATCTAATGCCACCACTGATCTGACAGGGCGTGGAGCTCAGACAGTAATGCTCACTCCCCAGCAGCTCACCTCTTGCCCTGTGGCCTGGTTCCTAACAGGCCATGGACCAGTACCAGTTTGTGGCCTGTGGGTTGGGGACCCTTGCCATAGAGAATACTTCTTCAGCCCTAAATATTCTCTGCTCTGTCTATTCATTTCTCCTCTCCTCTAAACCATGGCAACCACTCAATTTTTTACTGTCTCCATAATTTTGCCTTTTCCAGAATGTCCTATATTTGGAATCATACAGTATGTAGCCTTTTCAGATCAGGTTCTCTCACTTAGTAATATGTTTTTAAGGTTATTCATGTCATGACTTGCTTCCTCATTTCTCTTTAGAAATGAATAATATTTCATTGTGTGGATGTACTAGAGTTCAGCCTTTTATCTACTGAAGGACATCATGTTACCCTTCAAAATTTGTCAATTATAAATAAAAGAGCTATAAACATACATGTGGATGTTTTTATGTGCACATGGTTTTCAAGTCCTTTAGGTAAAAACCAAGGAGCACAATTGCTGAATGTTATGGTCAAAGTGTGTTCAGTTTTATAAGAAACTGCTAAACTGTCTTCCAAATTGGCTGTACCATTTTCCATTTCCACCAATAGTGAATGGGAGTTCTTGTTGGTCCACGTTCTCACAGTATTTGATGTCAGTATTTTTGGATTTGGTTATTATAATAGTTGTGTAGTAGTAGTGGAATCTCATCATTTTAATTTGTAATTTCCTAAAGACACATGATGTCAAGCATCTTTTCAGATGGTTTTTCTACTATGTGTACTTTCTCTGATGTGCTGCTTCTTTAGGTCTTTCATCCATTTTTTAAACAGTTTTTTTAATTGTGTTATTAGAGTTTTTTGTGTATTTGTAGAAATAATAGATTTCAAGACAAAAACTATAAAAGGAGACAGGGTTATTTTGTAATGATAAAGGGATCAATTCAGCAAGAGAATATAACAGTTCTAAATATATATGCACTCAACACTGTAGCACCCAGATATATAGAGCAAACATTATTAGAGACCATGAGAGAGATAGATCCTAATACAATAGTAGCTGAAGACTTCAGCACCCCACTTTCAGCATTAGAGCACCCAGACAGAAGATAAAGAAACACCTGAATTAATCTGCACTATAGAATAAATGGATGTGATATATATGTACAGAACATTTTTTTCAACAGCTGCAGAACACTTTTATCTCAGCACAGGGGTCATTTTCAGGGATTGAACATATGTTAGGTCACAAATCAAGTCTTAAAACATTCAAAAAATTGAAATAGTATCAAGCATCTTCTCTGACAATAGTGGAATAAATCTAAAAATAACGAGGCATTTCAGAAAATATACAGACACATAGAAATTAAACAATGTACTCTTAGGTCAATGAAATTAAGAAGAACATTGAAAACTTTCTTGAAACAAATGATAATGCAACACAACATAGCAAAACTTATGGAATACAGCAAAAGAAGTACTAAATGGAACTTTATAGCTATAAGTGCCTATATATTTTTTTAAAAGCCTCAAATAAATAACCAAACAATGCATCTTAAGGAAGTAGAAAACCAAGAGAGGACCAAAATGAAAATTAGTAGAAGAAAAGAAATAATAAAGATCAGAGCAGAAATGAATGAAATTGAAATGAGGAAAATTATACAAAAAATAAACAAAAAAGTTAGCTATTGGAAAAGATAAAATTGAAAAACCTCTAGCCAAACTAACTTAGAAAAAAAGGGACAAGACCCAAATAAAGTCGGAGATGAAAAAGGAGACATTACAACTGATAACACAGAAATGTAAAGGATCATTAGTGGCTACTATGAGCAACTATGTGGCAATAAATTGGAAAATCTAGAAGAAAGGGATAAATTTCTGCACACATACAATGCACCAGGCTTGAACCATGAAGAAATTCAAAACCTGAACAGATCATTAACAAGTAATGAGATTGAAGCTATAATAAAAAGTTTCCCAGTAAAAAAAAGCTCAGGACCCGATGACTTTACTGCTGGATTCTTCCATATATTTGAAGAAGAACTAATACCAATCGTACTCAAACTATTCTGAAAAATAGAGGAGGAGGGAATACTTCCAAACTAATTCTATGATGTCATTGTTACTCTGTTTCCAAAACCAAAGACACATTTTTTTTTTAAAAAAAGAGAAAACTACAGGCCAATATTCCTGATGAACATAAAGACCATATACAACAGACCCACAGCTAGTATCATGCTGAATGGGGAAACTGAAAGTCTTTTCTCTAAGATCTGGAACACAACCAGAATGCCCACTTTCACCACTGTTGTACAATGTTGATATTACTGGAAGTCTTCACTAGAGCAATCAGACAAGAGAAAGAAATAAAGGGCATCCAAAATGGAAAAGAAGAAGTCAAATTATCCTTGTTTTCAGATGATATGATCTTACAGGTGGAAAAAACTAAAGACTCTACCAAAAAAACTATTAGAACTGATAAACTAAATTCAGTTTAGTTGCAGGTTACAAAATCAACATACAAAAATTAGTAACATTTCTATATGCCAATAGTGAGTAGTCTGAAAAATCAAGTAAGTAATCCGATTTACAATAGCTGCAAATAAAATTAAATACCTAGGGATTAGCCAAAGAAATGAAGGATTTCTACAATAAAAAGTATAAAACATCGATGAAAGAAGTTGAAGAGGACACAATAAAATGGAAAGATGTTCCATTTTCATGAATTAAAAGAATCAACGTTGTTAAAATGTTCATACTACCCAAAGCAATCTACACATTCAATGCCATTTCTATCAAAAATACCAGTGACATTCTTCATAAAAATAGAAAAAAAAGTTTTAAAATGTATATGGGACCATAAAAAACTCACAATAGCTAAAGCTAAACTAAGCAAAAAACCCCAGAACTTGAGGAATCACTTTACCTGACTTCAAATTATACCACAGAGTTATAGTAACCAAAACATCATAATAATAGCATAAAAACAGTCACATAGAACTGTGAAGCAGACTAGAGAACCCGGAAATAAATCTACGGTGAACTTTTATTTGTTGACAATGATGCCACATGTGTTAGTGAAAGGACAGTCTCTTCAATAAATGGTGCTTGGAAAGCTGGATATCTATACGTAAAAGAAGGAAACTGGACACTTATTTTTTGCCATATAAAAAAATCAGGCTGAGTGTGGTTTCTCATGCCTGTAATTTCACTACTTACGTAGTCAGAGGTGGGAGGATAGCTTGAGCCCAGGAGTTCAAGACCTACTTGGGTAACATAGGAAGACCACCAAAAGAAAAAAGACCCAAAAAAAAGTTTGAATAAAAAATCAAAATTGATTGAAGCCTTAAATGTTAACACTTCAAACTATGAAACCACTAAAAGAAATTATTGGAAAAACTCCCCAGGACATTGGATTGAGCAAAGATTTTTTGAGTAATATGCCATAAGCACAGAAAACTGAAGCAAAAATGAACAAATGAGATCACGGCAAGTTAAAAAGCTTCTGTAAAACAAAGGAAATGATCAGCAAGTTGAAAAGACAACACAGAATGTGAGTGATGTGATTATTATACATTGCATGCCTGTATCAAAATAGCTCATGTAACCCATATATGTGTGTGTGTGTATATATACACACACACACACACACACACACACATTCTCTCTGTATATATGTGTGTATATATATATATATATATATATATATGCCACAAAAATTAAATATAAAAAAATTTTTTTTTTGAGATGGAGTTTTGCCCTTGTTGGCCAGGCTGGAGTGCAGTGGCACGATCTCAGCTCACCACAACCTCTGCTTCCCGGGTTCAAGTGATTCTCCTGCCTCAGCCTCCCAAGTAGCTGGGATTACAGGTATGCGCCACTACGCCTGGCTAATTTTTTTTTTTTTTTTTAGTAGAGATGGGGTTTCACCATGTTGATCAGGCTGGTTTTGAATTCCCGACCTCAGGTGATCCACCCGCCTCGGCCTCCCAAAGTGCTGGGATTACAGGCGTGAACCACTGCATCCAGCCAAAACATTTTTAAAGAACTATCACCGGCCTATATCACACTGCAGCTGCCTTAAGGAAAAGCTGTCAGAATGTTTTCCATGTGGTTCCCTGACCATGCCACTTCTCACTGGGTAGGAACTCCTGATCTGGGACCCCAGACAGGACAATTGCCCTGCCCCATCCTGATCAGTCAGTAGGGGCTCTTTGCTTCTCTGTGTAAGAAATCCCAGAGACAACCCACAGGATCTCTGTCATTGCTGCTGCAGCAGTACTTCCCCTTTTATCCTCAGGCTGGGGAAAGAGTAAAGCCTCTGATGTTTGCTTGCACCTCTAGCACTCCACAGCTGCCATAAAGAGAGGAACCCAATCTGTCTACCCTGTAAGCCCCCACTTCCTACTCTTTACCAGGCAGGACCTCTGCCTTGGGCCCACAGCACAGCCATTTTATCCCTGGCTGAACATTCCCATTGGCAGTGGCTTTGTGTCTCTTTGAGATGGAGTTCACATAGGCAACTAACAGCCCCTCTGTCACAGCTGCTGCTGCAGTGTATGCCCTTGCCGCCATCAGGCTGGGGAAGGAACAAAGAGCCTGAGTGCTTTACTCACACCTCCAGCATGCCATTGCTGCCCTGTGGAGAAGAGGACATACTATCTTCCCCATGTTCCCCCTGTCCCCCTTGCCCTTCACCAGGCAGGGCCTCCCAGCTTGGGCCTGATATGCAGACACCCCAACCTGGGCTGATTATTCTGATTGGCAATGGCTCTACGTTTCTCTGGGGTGGAGCCCCAAGAGACAAGTGAAAGGCCTTCTGCCATTGCCACTACCAAGGTGCCTGGACCTGCTGCCTCCAAGCTGAGTTGACAATAAAAAGCCTGAACTCTCCAGTGCTGTGGTGTGCACCCTGGGAGTGCCAAGTGAAGATCTGTAAACAGCACTTAAGTGGGAAAGGAGCTCAAACTCTTAAAGCACTGAGAGGGAGCACAGCTCCAAGTGCGAGGAAATATAGAGGACTCATATGGCTGAATAAGAGCCTATCACTGGCCATTGCATTAAGCACCATCTACTGGATCACAGCCCAAACTTCAATACCAAAAATACTTTATGAATATACTCCCCTGTGAAACCAAGGACAAGATTTCAGCCACAAAAAAAGCCCCAGGCCTCCAAAAACCTGCAAAAATGAAGCCAACTGTCTATACTCAAATTATACCACTCTTAAGGGAACATTATTGCACACAGATGAGAAAGAACCAGCACAAGAACTCTGACAACTCTAAAAGCCAGAGTGTATTCTTACTTCCAAATGATCATAGTACCTGAATAATGGTTTTCAACCAGAATGGAATGGCTGAAATAGTGTAGAATTCAAATCCGCCTTGCAATTAAGATCATCGAGATTCAGGAAAAGTTGAAACCGAATGTAAAGCATCTAAAGAATGCAGTAAAAATGATTTCATAGATTAAAGACAAAATAGCCATTTTAAGAAAGAACCAAACTGATCTGATAGAGCTGAAAAACTCACTACAAGAATTTCATAAAACAATCAGAAGTATTAAGAGCAGAATAGACCAAGCTCAGAAAGGAATCTCAGAGCTCAAAGCCTGGTTCATTGAATTAACTGAGTGAGACAAAAATAAAGAGAAAAGAATTTTTTAAATGAACAAAACCTCTGATAAATATGGGATTATGTAAGGACACTGAGTCCATGATTCATTGGCATAATGAAAAGGGAGAGAGAGTAAGCAACTTGGAAAACATATTTGAGGATGTTGCCTACAAAAAATTTTCCCACCTCACTAGACAGGTTGACACTCAAATTCAGGAAATTCAAAGAACCTCTGTGAGATACTAATTTATGAATGAAAGATAGTTAGTTGACTCAGTTCTACATGGCTGGGGTTATAAATGAAAGATAGTTAGTTGACTCAGTTCTACATGGCTGGGGAGGCCTCAGGAAACTTACAATTACGGCAGAAGGGGAAGCCAACATCTTCTTCACAAGCTGACAGGAGAGAGAGAAGCATGAAGGGGGAGGAGCCCCTTATAAGACAATCAGATCTTGTGAGAACGCACTATCATGAGAACAGCGTGAAGGAAACTGGCCCCATGATCCAATCACCTCCCACTAGGTCCCTTCCTTGACACATGGGGATTTTGGGGATTACAATTCGAGATGAGATTTGGGTGGGGACACAGAGCCAAACCATATCACCACACAAAATCTCAAGAAAATCAGAGGTTTTTCTTTGAATGAATGAATAAGAGTGATAGATGACTTGCTAGACTAATACAGGAAAAAAGGGAGAGGATCTAAATAAACACTATCAGAAATGACAAAAGAAACATTACCATCAACCATACAGAAATACAAAAAAAACCCTCAGAGACTATTATAAAAACTTCTATGCACACAAACTAGAAAATCTAGAAGAAACGGATAAATTCCTGATTGCATATAAACTTACAAACTCCAAAGACTGAACCAGGAAGACTTTTGAAACCCTGAACAGAACAATAACAAGTTCTGAAATTGAATCAGCAATAAAAAACCTACCAATGAGAAAAATCCCTGACCAGAGAGATTCACAGCTGAATTCTACCAGATGTATAAAGAAGAGCTGGTATGAATTCTACTGAAACTATTGCAAAAAGTCAAGGAGGAAGGACTCCTCTCTAACTCTTCTATGAAGTCAGCATCATTCTGATACCAAAACCCAGCAGAGACGCAATAAAAAGGAAAACTTCAGGCCAATATCCCTGATGAACATAGATACAAAAATTCTCAATAAACTATAAGCAAATCAAATCCAGCAGCACATTATTAGCTAATCTTCCATGATCAACTAAGTATTATTCCTGAAATGCAAGGTTTGTTCAACATACACAAAGCAAAAATTTGGCTAATCACATAAAAGGAACTAAGAACAAAAAGCACCTAATCATCTCAATAGACACAGAAAGTTTTTAAATAAAAACTCAACATACCTTCCGGATAAAAACTCTTAACAAACTAACCATTGGAGATATACACCTCAAAATAATAAAGGCCATTCATGACAGACACACAGTCAGTATCATAATGAATGAGTAAAACCTGGAAGCATTTCCCTTGAGATACAGAACAAGATAAGTATGACCACTCTCACCACTCCTATTCAACATAGTACTGGAAGTGCTAGCCAAGACAACCAGTAAAGAGAAGAAAATAAAAGGCAACCAAACATGAAGAGAGGATGTGAAACTATATCTCTTCACAAATTTAATTCTATACCTAAAATCCCCATCGTCTCTGCCCAAAGTCTCCAGATACTGGTAATCAACTTCAGTAAGGTTTCAGGATACAAATCAATGCATAAAAATTATTAGCATTCCTATACACCAATAACTTCCAAGCTGAGATCCAAATCAAGAATGCAATCCTATTCACATTATTATTTTCCTAGCCACAAAATAAGTAAAATACTTAGGAATACAGCCAACCAGGAAAGTGAAAGATCTCTACAATAAGAATTACAAAACACTGCTGAAAGCAGTTGGAGATGACACAATAGAAAAACATTCCATGCTCATGAACAGGAAGAATCTGTATTGCTAAAATGGCCATACTGCCCAAAGCAATTTATAGATTCATTGTTATTCCTACCAAATTACCAACAATGTTTTTCACAGAATTAGAAAAAACTATTTGAAATTTTTATGGAAACAAAAAAAGCCTGAATAGCCAAATCAATCCAAAGGAAAATAAAGACAGGTGGAGGAATCACATTACTCGACTTTAAAAGTATACTGGTAGCCTACAGTAATAAAAATAACATGTCACTAGTACAAAGACAGACAGATAGACCCATGGAACAGGTCAAAGAACCTACAAATAAAGCCAGACACCTACAATCATCAGATCTTCAACAAAACTGACAATTACAAGCAGTGGTGAACAGACTTCCTATTCAATAAATGGTGCTAGGATAATGGGCTAGCCATAAGCAGAGTATTGGATCTCTCCCCTACCTTTCTCCATATACAAAAATAAACTCAGGATGGATTAAAGACATAAATGTAAACCCTAAAACTATAGAAACCCTAGAAGAAAAACTAGGAAATACCATTCTGGAAATAGGCCCTAGCAAAGACTTCATGATAAAGAGCCCAAAAGCAATTACAACAAAAACAAAATTTGATAAAGGGGACCTAATTAAACTAAAGAGCTTCTGCATAGCAAAAGAAACTATTAACAGAGTAAACAGACAACTTGCAGAATGGGAAAAAATATTTGCAAACTATGCATCTGACAAAGGTCTAATATCCAGAATGTATAAGGAACTTAAGAAGCCAAAAACAAACAACTTCATTTAAAAAGTGAGAAAAGGACATGGACAGACACTTCTTACAAGAAGATATACACGTGGCCAATAAGCATATTTTAAAATGCTCAATATCATGAATCATTAGGGAAATGCACATCAAAAACACAGTGAGATAGCATCTCACACTAGTCAAAATGGCTATTAATTAAAAGTCAAAAAATAGCAGGCAAAGTTACAGAGAAAAGGGAATACTTATACATTGCTGATGACAAAGTAAATTAGGTCAACCAATGTGGAAGGTAGTCTGGATATTTCTCAAAGAACTTAAAATAGAAGTACCATTTGACTCAGCAATCCCATTACTGGGAATATACCCAAAGGAATATAAATTATTCTACCATAAAGACATATGTGTCTTTACTAAATAGCACTATTCACAATAGCAAAGATGTAGAATCAACCCAGATGCACACGAATTGTAGATTGGATAAAGCAAATGTGGTACATATACACTATGGAATACTACACAGTCATAAAAAATAATGAGATCTTGTCCTTTGCAGCAACATGGATGGAGTGGGAGGCCATTATCCTAAGCAAGTTAATGCAGGAATAGAAAACCGAATATCACATATTCTAACTCATAAGTGGGAGCTTAAACATTGAGCACACATGGGCAAAAAGAAGAGAACAATAGACACTGGGTCCTACTTGAGTGTGGAGGCTGGGAGGAGAGTGAGGACTGAAGAACTACCTATTGGGTATGATGTCAATAGCTGGGTGACAAAATTATCTGTACACCAAATCCCCAAGAAATGCAATTTACCCATGTAACAAATCTGCATGTACAAACAAACCACATGTACACCTTGAACTGAAAATAAATGCTGGGAAGAAAAAAGAAGAAACATACCCAAACAGAATAAAGACTATATATGATAAGCCCACATCTTACACTACACTCCAATTGTAGAAAGTTGGAAGACTTTTCTCTAAGATCAGGAACAAGACAAAAATGCCCACTCTATTCAAGGTATAGCATTAGAAGACCTAGCTAGAGTTGTTAGACAAGAGAAAGAAAAGGTGCCCAAACAGGAAAGGAAGAAGTGAAATTGTCTCTGTTTACTAATGACATGACCTTGTATATAGAAAACCCTAAAGGCTCCAACAAAAAGTTAGAAATGAAGTTTATAAATGAATTCAGTAAAGTTGCAGGATACAAAATCAACATTCAAACATTAGTAGTGTTTGTATACACTAACAATAAAATATTTGAAAAAGAAATCAAGAAAACAATCTCATTATGATAGCTACAAAATGCTTAGGAATAAATTTGATAAAGGAGGTGAAAGACCTCCGCACTGAAAACTGTAAAACATTGACGACGTCATTGAAAAAGACACAAATAGATGGAAAGGTATTTTATGTTCGTGGATTGAGAGAATTAATATTGTTACAATGTTCATACTACCCAAAGCAATCTACAGATTTAACATCATCCCTATCAAAATTCCAATGGCATTTGTCACAGAAATAGAAGAAATAATCTTAAAATGTGCACAGAAAGATAAAAGCCCAAATAGCCAAAGTAATCTTGAGGGAAAAAAAGCTGCAGACATAACACTCTTTGATATCAAAATATATTATAAAGCTGTTGTAATAAATACAGAATGGTACTGGCAAAAAAAAAGATGTTAACTATTGAAACAGGATAAAAGCTCAGAAATAAACCCACGTGTTTAAAGCCAATCAACTTTTTACAAGAATGGTGGTTTACAGAGGCTGGCACGGGTGGGGGCTAGTGGAAAGGGGGAGAAGGAGGAAAGGGGAAATGTTAATGAAAGGATACAAAGTCCCAGTTGGACAGTAGGAATAACTTTTAGAGATCTATTGCACAGCATATTGATCATAGTTAATGTATTATACATTTCAGTTGATAAAAGAGTAGATTTTTAATGTTCTCACCAGAAAAAAAGATTACTAGATGAGGTGATGGATATATTAATTAGCTTGATTTAATTTTTCCACAGTGTATTATACATATTTCAAAATATTACATTGTACCCCATAAATGTATATTATTATTTGTTAGTTAAAAATAAGACATAAATTTTAAAAACATCATGTTTTTGAAACATTTATCAAATAAAAAATTAGTTAAGAATAAAGGCTTTTATTTTTAAAAACGAATAATATGGAGGTGGTTCCAAGATGGCCGAATAGGAACAGCTCCAGTCTACAGCTCCCAGCGTGAGCGACGCAGAAGACAGGTGATTTCTGCATTCCCAACTGAGGCACCAGGTTCATCTCACTGGGGCTTGTGGGACAGTGGGGGCAGGACAGTGGGTGCAGCCCACCGAGTGTGACCCGAAGCAGGGCAAGGCATCGCCTCACCCAGGAAACACAAGGGATCAGGGAATTCCCTTTCCTAGCCAAGGGAAGCGGTGAAGGATGGCACCCGGAAAATTGGGTCACTCCCACCCTAATACTGCGCTTTTCCAACGGTCTTAGCAAATGGTACACCAGGAGATTATATCCCGTGCCTGGTTCAGAGGGTCCCACGCCCACAGAGCCTCACTCATTGCTAGCACAGCAGTCTGAGATCGATCTGCAAGGTGGCAGTGAGGCTGGGGGAGGGGCGCCCGCCATTGCTGAGGCTTGAGTAGGTAAACAAAGTGGCCAGGAAGCTCAAACTGGGTGGAGCCCACTGCAGCTCAAGGAGGCCTGCCTGCCTCTGTAGACTCCACCTCTGGGGGCAGGGCATAGCAGAACAAAAGGCAGCAGAAACCTCTGCAGACTTTCCCTGTCTGACAGCTTTGAAGTGAGTAGTGGTTCTCCCAGCATGCAGTTTGAGATCTGAGAATGGACAGACTGCCCCCTCAAGTGGGTCCCTGACCCCCAAGTAGCCTAACTGGGAGGCACCCCCCAGTAGGGGCAGACTGACACCTCACACGGCCGGGTACCCCTCTGAGACAAAACTTCCAGAGGAACGATCAGGCAGCAACATTTGCTGTTCAGCAATATTCACTGTTTGGCAGCCTCTGCTGCTGACACCCAGGCAAACAGGGTCTGGAGTGGACCTCCAGCAAACTCCAACAGACCTGCAGCTGAGGGTCCTGACTGTTAGAAGGAAAACTAACAAACAGAAAGGACATCCACACCAAAATCCCATCTGTACGTCACCATCATCAAAGACTAAAGGTAGATAAAACCACAAAGATGGGGAAAAAACAGAGCAGAAAACCTGAAAATTCTAAAAATCAGAGCGCCTCTCCCGCTCCAAAGGAACGCAACTCCTCGCCAGCAATGGAACATAGCTGGATGGAGAATGACTTTGATGAGTTGAGAGAAGGCTTCAAACGATCAAACTTCTCCAAGCTAAAAGAGGAAATTTGAACCCATTGCAAAGAAGTTAAAAACCTTGAAAATAGATTAGATGAATAGCTAACTAAAATAATCAATGTAGAGAAGTCCTTAAATGACCTGATGGAGCTGAAAAACATGACACAAGAACTACGTGATGAATGCATAAGCTTCAGTAGCCGATTCGATCAACTAGGAGAAAGAGTATCAGTGATTGAAGATCAAATGAATGAAATGAAGTGAGAAGAGAAGTTTAGAGAAAAAAGAGTAAAAAGAAATGAACAAAGCCTCCAAGAAATATGGGACTATGTGAAAAGACCAAATCTACATCGGATTGGTGTATCTGAAAGTGACCCGGAGAGTGGAACCAAGTTGGAAAACACTCTGCAGGATATTATCCAGGAGAAATTCCCCAACCTAGCAAAGCAGGCCAACATTCAAATTCAGGAAATACAGAGAATGCCACAAAGATACTCCTTGAGAAGAGCAACTCCAAGACACATAATTGTCAGATTCACCAAAGCTGAAATGAAAGAAAAAATGTTAAGGGCAGCCAGAGAGAAAGGTCGGGTTACCCACAAAGGGAAGCCCATCAGACTAACAGCTGATCTCTCAGCATAAACTCTACAAGCCAGAAGAGAGTGGGGACCAATATTCAACATTCTTAAAGAAAATTTTCAACCCAGAATTTCATATCCAGCCAAACTAAGCTTCATAAGTGAAAGAGAAATAAAATACTTTACAGACAAGCAAATGCTGAGAGATTTTGTCACCACAGGGCCTGCCCTAAAAGAGCTCCTGAAGAAAGCACTAAACATGGAAAAGAACATCTGGTACCAGCCACTGCAAAAACATGACAAATTGTAAAGACCATCGATGCTAGGAAGAAACTGCATCAACTAACGAGCAAAATAACCAGCTAACATCATAATGACAGGATCAAATTCACACATAACAATATTAACCTTAAATGTAAATGGGCTAAATGCTCCAATTAAAAGACACAGACTAGCAAATTGGATAAAGCGTCAAGAACCATCACCGTGCTGTATTCAGGAGACCCATCTCACATGCAGGGACACACATAGGCTCAAAATAAAGGGATGGAGGAAGATCTACCAAGCAAACAGAAAAGAAAAAGAGGCAGGGGTTGCAATCCTAGTCTCTGATAAAACAGACTTTAAACCAACAAAGATCAAAAGAGACAAAGAAGGCCATTACATAATGGTAAAGGGATCAATTCAACAAGAGCTAACTATCCTAAACATATATGAATCCAATACAGGAGCACCCAGATTCATAAAGCAAGTCCTTAGAGACCTAGGAAGAGACTTAGACTCCCACACAATAATAATGGGAGACTTTAACACCCCACTGTCAACATTAGACAGATCAATGAGACAGAAAATTAACAAGGATATCCAGGAATTGAACTCAGCTCTGCACCAAGCGGACCTAATAGACATCTACAGAACTCTCCACTCCAAATCAACAGAATATACATTCTTCTCAGCACCACATCACACTTATTCCAAAACTGACCACATAGTTGGAAGTAAAGCACTCCTCGGCAAATGTAAAAGAACAGAAATTGTAACAAACTGTCTCTCAGACCACAGTGCAATCAAACTAGAACTCAGGATTAAGGAACTCACTCAAAACCACTCAACTACATGGAAACTGAACAACCTGCTCCTGAATGACTACTGGGTACATAACGAAATGAAGGCAGAAATAAAGATGTTCTTTGAAACCAATAAGAACAAAGACACAACATACCAGAATCTGTGGGACACATTTAAAGCAGTGTGTAGAGGGAAATTTATAGCACTAAATGCCCACAAGAGAAAGCAAGAAAGATCTAAAATTAACACCCTAACATAACAATTAAAAGAACTAGAGAAGCAAGAGCAAACACATTCAAAAGCTAGCAGAAGGCAAGAAATAACTAAGATGAGAGTAGAACTGAAGGAGATAGACACACAAAAAACCCTTCAAAAAAATCAATGAATCCAGGAGATGGTTTTTTGAAAAGATCAACAAAATTGATAGACTGCTAGCAAGACTAATAAGAAAAGAGAGAAGAATCAAATAGATGCAAAAAAATGATAAAGGGGATATCACCACTGATCCCACAGAAATACAAACTACCATCAGAGAATACTATAAACACCTCTATGCAAATAAACTAGAAAATCTAGAAGAAATGGATAAATTCCTGGACGCATACACCCTCCCAAGACTAAACCAGGAAGAAGTTGAATCCCTGAATAGACCAATAACGGGCTCTGAAATTGAGGCAATAATTAATAGCCTACCAACCAAAAAAAGTCCAGGACCAGACGGATTCACAGCCAAATTCTACCAGAGGTACAAGGAGGAGCTGGTACCATTCCTTCTGAAACTATTCCAACCAACAGAAAAAGAGAGAATCATCCCTGACTCATTTTATGAGGCCATCATCATCTTGATACCAAAGCCTGACAGAGACAACAAAAAAAGAGAATTTTAGACCAATATCCCCGATGAACATTGATGCAAAAATCCTTAATAAAATACTGGCAAACTGAATCCAGCAGCACATCAAAACGCTTATCCACCATGACCAAGTGGGCTTCATCCCTGGGATGCAAGGCTCGTTCAATATACACAAATCAATAAACGTAATCCAGCATATAAACAGAACCAAAGACAAAAACCACATGACTATCTCAATAGATGCAGAAAAGGCCTTTGACAAAATTCAACAGCCATTCATGCTAAAAACTCTCAACAAATTAGGTATTGATGGGACGTATCTCAAAATAATAAGAGCTATTTATGACAAACCCACAGCCAATATCATACTGAATGGGCAAAAACTGGAAGCATTCCCTTTGAAAAGTGGCACAAGACAGGGATGCCTTCTCTCACCGCTCCTATTCAACATAGTGTTGGAAGTTCTGGCCAGGGCAATCAGGCAGGAGAAAGAAATAAAGGGTATTCAATTAGGAAAAGAGGAAGTCAAATTGTCCCTGTTTGCAGATGACATGAGTGTATATTTAGAAAAATCCATCATCTCATCCCAAAATCTCCTTAAGCTGATGAGCAACTTCAGCAGTCTCAGGATGCAAAATCAATGTGCAAAAATCACAAGCATTCTTATACACCAATAACAGACAAACGGAGAGTCAAATCATGACTGAACTCGCATTCACAATTGCTTCAAAGAGAATAAAATACCTAGGAAACCAACTTACAAGTGGATGTGAAGGACCTCTTCAAGGAGAACTACAAACCACTGCTCAATGAAATAAAAGAGGACAACAAACAGATGGAAGAACACACCATGCTCATGGATAGGAAGAATCAATATCATGAAAATGGCCATACTGCCCAAGGTAATTTATAGATTCAATGCCATCCCCATCAAGCTACCAATGACATTCTTCACAGAATTGGAAAAAACTACTTTAAAGTTCATATGGAACCAAAAAAGGGCTCACATTGCCAAGACAATCCTAAGCCAAAAGAACAAAGCTGGAGACATCATGCTACCTGACTTCAAACTATACTACAAGGCTATAGTAACCAAAACAGCATGGTACTGGTACCAAAACAGAGATATAGACCAATGGAACAGAACAGAGCCCTCAGAAATAATGCCACACATCTACAACCATCTGATCTTTGACAAACCTGACAAAAACAAGAAATGGGGAAAGGATTCCCTATTCAATAAATGGTACTGGAAAAACTGGCTAGCCATATGTAGAAAGCTGAAACTGGATCCCTTCCTTACACCTTATACAAACATTAATTCAAGATGGATTAAAGCCTTAAATGTTAGATGTAAAACCATAAAAACCCTAGAAGAAAACCTAGGCAATATCATTCAGGACATAGGCATGGGCAAGGACTTCATGTCTAAAACACCAAAAGCAATGGCAACAAAAGCCAAAATAGACAAATGGGATCTAATTAAACTAAAGAGCTTCTACACAGCAAAAGAAACTACCATCAGATTGAACAGGCAACCTATAGAATGGGAGAAAATCTTTGCAATCTACTTATCTGACAAAGGGCTAATATCCAGAATCTACAAAGAACTCGAACAAATTTACAAGAAAAAAACAACCCCATCAAAAAGTGGGCAAAGGATATGAACAGACACTTCTCAAAAGAAGACATTTATGCAGCCAAAAAACACATGAAAAAATGCTCACCATCACTGGCTATCAGAGAAATGCAAATCAAAACCACAATGAGATACCATCTCACACCAGTTAGAATGGCAATCATTAAAAAGTCAGGAAACAAGAGGTGCTGGAGAGGATGTGGAGAAATAGGAACACTTTTACACTGTTGGTGGGACTGTAAACTAGTTCAACCATTGTGGAAGTCAGTGTGGCAATTCCTCAAGGATCTAGAACTAGAAATACCATTTGACCCAGCCATCCCATTACTGGGTATATACCCAAAGGATTATAAATCATGCTGCTATAAAGACACATGCACACATATGTTTATTGTGGCACTATTCACAATAGCAAAGACTTGGAACCAACCCAAATGTCCATCAATGATAGACTGGATTAAGAAAATGTGGCACATGTATACACCATGTAATACTATGCAGCCATAAAAAATGATGAGTTCATGTCCTTTGTAGGGACATGGATGAAGCTGGAAACCATCATTCTTAGCAAACTATCACAAGGACAAAAAACCAAACACTGCATGTTCTCACTCATAGGTAGGAATTGAACAATGAGAACATTTGGACACAGGAAGGGGAACATCACACACCAGGGCCTGTCATGGGGTGGGGGAATGGGGAGGGATAGCATTAGGAGATATACTTAATATAAATGACGAGTTAATGGTTGCAGCACACCAACATGGCGCATGTATACATATGTAGCAAACCTGCACGTTGTGCACATGTACCCTAGAACTTAAAGTATAATAAAAAAAAGGAATAATATTGGATCAAAAAATTTAACTGGTAACATTACAATGTTAAAAGTAAATTGGAAATGTCAATATAAATTTATGACCTTAAAATATAAATTTCACAGTATTTATTTTATAGCTCTTAATTTCGAACTGGTGTAGAGCAAATTGTCATCTTTAATAAACATTAAAGTTGCCCAAATCATGATTTCTAATACTTTGTTTTTCTACTGAAAGGATGGCTACTTTAAGAAATTTCTGATTTTATGTCTGGACCAGGAAGGAACAAGAAGACCCTTAAATAATTTTTGTGATAGAAAGAAAAACAGTAATTTAAGTGATGTCTAAACAAAACAAGACCTAACCTAAAGGAAATTCTAAGTGACCAGCTTTTACCATTTGAGCATCAAAAGAAGAAAACTTGATTGTGGTTGATTAAAATATATTGAAAATACACGAGTCTCTATTGAAATATACAAAAATAAATAAATGAATAAAACAGAGAGAAAGAGAGAAGCACTAAACATTGTTAAGCAGAATACCATGCACTGGTATCCACCTCTGGGATAGAGGCACCATATAGCAGTCACTAATCTGAGGAAAGGACTCTAAATACCTCACTAATTTCTTCTAAGATTCTTATGTTTGGCAGAAAATTTTGTACAAAACAATCTGCCGGAGATCTGCAAGTGTTCTTGACTCTGGCAGGGGGCTCATAGAAGACCCAGATGCATAGTAGTCACACTGCTACCACTTTCCTTCTGAAGCCTAGTCTTTTAAAACCGAATACTCTCACAAGTCACGCAGCCATTACTCCCTGGTAGGCAGTAAGAATGAAAATAAGTTGAGCCAGTGCCCCATGGATCAAGGAAGCTGCCCAGGATGGATAGGGTCTTGTCTTTGTGTGCCACATTGTACCACAGGTGAGAGACCCCAAAAGCATTTTGCTCTGGGTTTTATATTCTGGGTGTAACTGGGATTGCTGTGCTAAAGCTTTGTGGACATCCTATTCTAGGAGAGATGAGGACAATGACTGGGCTGTTCTGTACAGTTCCTCCTTATCACTCGATGTTGCATTCTTGGTACATCCTACACAAGACTTGCAAGCAAGAGGGTAAAGTGTAGGATTGGCCAAGGTTACATAGAAACTTGTCATTCTGCAAATATAATTGCATAACTTTAATAAAGTTAACTAGAATATTTTTGTTATAATTCAATTTTGTTAGTCATGCTATGACTGTGAATTCAATTATTTTATTTTAAAAGAATACATAAATGGGATACATAAATACATCAATCAGAAGGCACTTTATACCTCAAGATGTAAGGAGTAGAATTAACAATGCTATAAGCTGTGACCCTAAGTCACACCAAATTGTAAAAAACATACAAAATTAAATGTTATTTAAAGATTACCAAGTGTCCTAAAATAGTGAAAGTATCAAAGATTCCATCAGCTCCAATGTCATTAATATAAAAATCACATATTTATATGCATTATCAATGGAAATGATATTGCCACCACTCAGGAAATAATTGGTTCTTAGGCGTCAAAAATATACATACACTATATAAACAAAGTACAGTATATTTGTGGTATTAAAATTCACTTGAGTGATTAGAAAAAAACTACCATGAAAGGCTTAGAAAGGCAATAATGAAAATAAGGTTTTGTCTATGAACACGAGCTAGAAAACCTAAAAGAAATTGATAAATTCCTGGATGCATACAACCTCCCAAGATTGAACGAGAAAGAGATTGAATCCCTGAACAGACCAATAGTGAGTTTTAAAGTTGAATCAGTAATTAAAGTTCTACCAATCAGAGGAAGCCCGGGAAGTGACAGATTCACAGCCAAATTCTACTAGATATATAAGGAAGAGCTGGTACCATTTCTGCTGAAACTATTAAAAAAACATTGAGGAGGAGGGAATCCTTCCTAACTCATTCTATGAGTACTCATCCTGATACTAAAACCTGGCAGAGACACAACAGCTCCAAAACAACTTTAGGCCAAGATCCTTAATGAACACAAATGCAAAAAATCTTTAACTACTAGCAAACCAAATCCAGCAGCACATCAAAAAGCTAACCCACCATGATCAAGTAGGCTTTACCCATGAATGTAAGGTTGGCTCAACACACGTTAATCAATAAATGTTATTCCACATAAACAGAAGAAAAAACACACGATAATCTGAATAGATGCAGAAGGTACTTTCTATAAAATTCAATATCTCTTTATGTTAAAAGCCCTCAACAAACTAGACATTGAAGGAACATACCTCAGAATAGTAAGGGCCATTTATGACTATCTGACAGCAAACATCATATTGAATGAAAAAAAGCTGGAAGCATTCTCCTTGAAAACTGAAACAAGACAAGGATACCCTCTCTCACCACTCCTATTCAACATAGTACTGGAAGTCTTAGCCAGAACAGTCAAGCAAGAGAAAGAAATAAAAGGCATCCACATAGTAAGCCAGGAGAACAAACTATTTCTGTTTGAAGATGATATAATTAAATACCTAGAAAATTCCATAGTTTATGCCCCAAAGCTACTTGATCTGATAAACAACTTCCGCAAAGTTTTGGCATACAAAATCAGTGTACAAAAATCAGTAATGCATACACCAGGCGCAGCGGCTCACACCTATAATCCCAGCAGTTTGGGAGGCTGAGGTCAGCGGATCATTTGAGGTCAGGATTTCAAGACCAGCCTGGCCAGTCTGGTGAAACCCTGTCTCTACTAAAAATACAAAAAAAGTTAGCCAAGTGTGGTGGCACACACCTGTAATCCCAGCTACTCAGGAGGCTGAGGCAAGAGAATCACTTGAACCCAGGAGGTGGAGGTTGTGGTGAACCAAGATCATGCCACTGCACACCAGCCTGGGCAAAAAATCGAGACTTCATTTAGAAAAAAAAAATTAGTAGTATTTTTATACACCAACAAGATCCAAGCTAAGAGCCAAATCAAGAATGCAGTCCCATTCACAATAGCCTCAAAATGAATAAAATATTTAGGAATATAGCTAACCAAATAAGTGAAAGACCTCTATAACAATTACAAAACACTGATAAAAGAAATTAGAGACAACACAAACAAATGGAGAAACATTCCATGCTCATGTATAGGAAAAATCAATATTGTTAAAATGGCCATATGGCCCAGAGCAATTCATAGGTTCAATGCTATTTGTATCAAAGTACCAACATTTTTCACAAAAGTATAAAAAAACTATTTAAAAATTCATATGGAACCAAAAAAGAGCCTGAATAGCCAAGAGAATCCTAACCAAAAAGAACAAAGCTGCAGGCATCACATTATTAGACTATACTACAAAGCTACAATACACAAAACAGCACAGTACTGGTACAAAACAGACACATAGATCAAAGGAACAGAATAAAGAGCCCAGAAATAATGCCACACACAACCATCTGATATTTCATAAAATTTACCAAAAACAAGCAATGTGGAAAAGACTCCCTATTCCATAAATGGTGCTGTGATAACTGGCTAGCCATATGCAGGAGATTGAACCTGGACCCTTTCCTTACATCATATACAAAAAATAACTCATGATGGAGTAAAGGCTTAAATCAAAAATCAAAATCTATAAAAATGCTGGAAGATAACCTAGGAAATAGATTTCTGGCTGTAGGACCTGGTAAAGACTTTATGATGAAGATGCCAAAAGCAATTGCAGCAAAAACAACAATTAACAAATGGGATCTAATTAAACTAAAGAGCTTGTGCACAGCAAAAGAAACTATCAATAGAGTAAACAACCTACATCATGGGAGAAAATATTTGGAAAGTATGCATTCAACAGAGGTGTAAAATCCAGACTATAGGAAACTTAAATTACAAGCAGAAAACAAACAACCCCATTAGAAAGTGGGCAAAGGACATGAGCAGACATTTTTCCAAGGAAGACATTCATGCAACGAACAAGTACATGACAAAATGCTCAATGTCATTAATTATGAGATAAATGCAAATAAAAACTACAATGAGATATCATCTCACACCAGTCAGAATGGCTACTGTTTCAAAAGTCAAAAAATAACAGATGCTAGTGAGCTTATGGAGAAAAGGGAATGCTTATGCACTGCTGGTGGAAATGTAAGATAGTTCAGCCATTGTGGAAAGCAATTTTGTGATTCCTCAAAAAATTTAAAACAGAATTATTTGATTCAGTAATCCCATTGGAAATGTACCCAAAGGAATCTAAATCATTCTACCATAAGGACACATGCATGTGTATGTTCATGGTGGAACTATTTGCAATAACAAAAACATGGATTCAACCTAAATGCTAACCAATGGTACTACGGATAAAGAAAATTTGGTAAATATACACCATGGAATACTGTGCAGCCATAAAGAAGAATGAGATCATGGCCTTTGCAGCAAGTCTAGATATCATTGAGGGTAGGAGGATGGTGAAGATTGAAAAACTACCTATCAGATACTATGCTTATTTACCTGAGTGATGAAATAATTTGTACACCAAATTCCTATGACATGCAATTTACCTATATAGCAAATCTGCACATGTAC